>NC_000008.11:144474480-144776558 GCF_000001405.40 Homo sapiens | reverse complement strand
GTGGCGCAATCTTAGTTCACTGCAACCTCCACCTCCTGGTTTCAAGCGATTCTGCCTCAGCCTCCTGAGTAGCTGGGACTACAGGTGCCTGCCGCCATGCCTGGCTAATTTTTGTATTTTTAGTAGAGACAGGGTTTCACTGTGTTGACCAGGCTGGTCTCAAACCCCTGGGCTCAAGCGATCCTCCCACCTTGGCCTCCCAAAGTACTGGGATTATAGGTGTGAGCCATTCTTTTTTTTTTTTTTTGAGACAGAGTCTTGCTCTGTTGCCCAGGCTGGAGGGCAGTGGTGTGATCTCGGCTCACTGCAACCTCTGCCTCCCAGGTTCAAGCAATTCTTTTGCCTCAGCCTCCCCAGTAGCTGGGACTACAGGTGCACGCCACCATGCCTGGCTAATTTTTGTATTTTTAATAGAGACGGGGTTACACCGTATTGGCCAGGCTGGTCTCAAGCTCCTGACCTTGTGATCCGCCTGCCTTGGCCTCCCAAAGTGCTGGGATTACAGCCACTGTGCCTGGCTGACACTGCTTCTTAACAGAAATGATAGTGTGTTCTGCTGTGCAGACACGGAATGTGTTTCCATTTCTGTGCGCATGAGTCTCAGTCATGTCTTCAGTGCAAGTGCAGGCCAAAAGATTGGATAGCTCTGATGGTCACCTTTTTGCATGTGTCTGATGGTGTCTGAGGAAGGAACTGCTGGCTCAAAGGACTTCTTATTTTGTAAATTTGCTTATTTGAATGTAAATATCTATAGAAATAGGACAAACCCTAAGTTTATAACTCAGTGAATTTTTATGAAAAATCATCCTTCAGATTAAAATACAGACTGTTTCCGCTCCCCAGGAGCTCCCTGGCTCTCCTCTGCCATTTCCCACTGCTCCCCACAGGGGTCTTCTTTCTGACTCCTGTCACAAGAGGCTGCTTCCTCCTTTGGATTTTTCTGTGTAGACTCACACAGGGCATCTTTTGCTGAACACTGTGAGAGCTGCTTGTGTTTCATGGAGTAGCAGTGTGGTCTGTTTGGTTGCCATTGTTCTATTGTATGAACACACCACAACTTATGTTCCCTTCTACTTGTGGAGGACATTCAGTTGTCCAGGTTTGGGGTTGTACAGGAACTGCTGTGGACACTCTTGTGCATGTCTCTCTCTGGCGCCCGGAATACATTTCTGGCGCGTGTGTACCTGGGAGCAGAGTCACTGAGTCAGCATTTTCATAGATCAGCTTTAGATAAGGTTGCCAAGCCGTCCTCCAAAGCAGCAGCTCCAGCATAGGCTCCTGTAGTAGTGTGTGAGCACCGTCTGCTGCACATCTTGGCAGATATTGGTGTTCAGCACCTGTTCATGTGCAGTGCAGAGCCAGGCAAGGGGTGGAAGGATAGACCCCTTAGGACTAGGAAGAGAGCAGTAATGAAAGTGGCAGTCATGAGGTGCTTGCACCTGGAACTCACTGTGCTGGGCACTGGGCTGAGTGCTTCATGGTCAGTCTGTTGTATTAATCTGTTTTGTTCTCATGAGAGTGCCATGTGGTCACAGATGGAGAAACCAAGGCTCAGAAAGGTAGGTGAGTTGTTGCCTCAGGTGACTCAGCTGGCAAGTAGGGGCCAGGACTAATCAATCCTGACTGTGGCTGCTGGTATCAGTCTCTGAGCGGCCATGTGGCAGGACCCCACTTGGGTACTTGTCACTCTCCATTCTTGGGGAGTGGCCACCCAGGAGAGGTTTGTTGTGTGAGTGTCAAATCAAGGAAGGAAGGAGTGAATGTTTGAAGGGCTGTATGACTGTGGCCCCAGGTGAGCTGCATAAGCCTCTGAGCTCCAGGCTCTTATCTTTGCAAGGCTGTTGGGACTTTGGAGATGATCAAATTGGTTCCCCACAGGTGGCCAGCAGCATCTCATGCCTACCTTCCAGAGTCAGAGCAGGTGACCCTTAGATGTTCTGTTTTTTGTTTCAGCTCTTGGGACCAGAACTGAGTACAAGGAGTTGACTTCACAGGAGACATTTGGTGAGGAAGATCCCCAGGGATCTGAGCCAGTAGAAGCCTGTGACCACATCAGTAAGTCAGAGGGGAGCCTGGAAAAGCTAGTGGAGCAGAGAGGCCCCAGGGCAGTCACACTGACCAACGGGGAGAGCAGCAGGGAGTCTGGGGGAAACCTCAGGTTGCTGTCAAGACCTGTTCCTGATCAGAGACCTCACAAATGTGATATATGTGAGCAAAGTTTTGAACAGAGATCATATCTCAACAACCATAAGCGTGTACACAGGTCAAAAAAAACAAATACAGTTCGTAACTCTGGGGAAATCTTCAGTGCAAACTTAGTTGTTAAAGAAGATCAGAAAATTCCTACTGGGAAAAAATTGCATTATTGCAGTTACTGTGGGAAAACATTCAGGTACAGTGCCAACCTTGTCAAGCATCAGCGGCTTCACACTGAAGAGAAGCCCTACAAATGTGATGAGTGTGGGAAAGCCTTCAGCCAGAGCTGCGAGTTCATCAATCACCGAAGGATGCACTCAGGAGAGATTCCCTACCGGTGTGACGAGTGTGGGAAGACATTCACCCGGAGGCCCAACCTCATGAAGCACCAGAGGATTCACACTGGGGAGAAACCCTACAAGTGTGGGGAGTGTGGGAAGCACTTTAGCGCCTACTCTTCCCTGATTTATCACCAGAGAATCCACACCGGAGAGAAACCCTATAAATGTAATGACTGCGGGAAAGCCTTCAGTGATGGCTCAATCCTTATCCGACATCGTCGGACTCACACCGGAGAGAAGCCATTTGAGTGCAAGGAATGTGGCAAAGGCTTTACACAAAGTTCTAACCTTATCCAACATCAGAGAATTCACACTGGAGAGAAACCCTATAAATGTAATGAATGTGAGAAAGCTTTCATTCAAAAAACCAAACTCGTGGAACATCAGAGAAGCCACACTGGAGAGAAGCCCTATGAATGCAATGACTGTGGCAAAGTTTTCAGCCAAAGCACACACCTCATCCAGCACCAGAGAATCCACACAGGAGAGAAGCCCTACAAGTGCAGCGAGTGTGGGAAGGCCTTCCACAACAGTTCCAGACTCATCCACCACCAGAGGCTGCACCACGGAGAGAAACCCTACAGATGCAGCGATTGCAAGAAAGCCTTCAGCCAGAGCACGTACTTGATTCAGCACCGGAGGATCCACACCGGGGAGAAGCCCTACAAGTGCAGCGAGTGTGGGAAGGCCTTCCGGCACAGTTCCAACATGTGTCAGCATCAGCGGATTCACCTCCGGGAGGACTTCTCCATGTAACAGTGGCGCGGTGTCCGAGGGCAGAGTCCAGCTGAGCACTTCCTGCATGCGCCCCCGGCACCTGACTCTGCCCTTTATGTATTATCCACACGATGTTTTCACAGAGTGAAAGGACGTTTCTCATTAAACAAACCTCTTTTCTTAAATCAAAAGCAGTGCATGTTCATTTTAGAGAAATTGAGACAGAAAAGTGGGCAAAAAAGAAGCTTCTGTGATCTCTCCCACTTAGAAAAAAAATTCATTGCTGCTGATTTACGAATATTTTCGAGACATACTGGAGAGCATTTTAAAAAGAAAATACCGTAATGCTTGTCATTGCAGCACCTAGGATCTTCACTTTTGCTATTTCCTCAATATCAGAAAATTCACACTGAAGAGAGCACCATATATTTTAACATTTTTACATATTGTAAATTTAAAAGCATCGGCCAGGTGTGGTGGCTCATGCCTGTAATACCAGCATTTTGAGAGGCCAAGGTGGGTGGATCACTTGAGGTCAGGAGTTTGAGACCAGCCTGGCCAACATGGTGAAACCCCGTCTCTACTAAAAATACAAAAATTAGCCAGGTGTGGTGGTGGGTGCCTGTAATCCCAGCTACTCGGGAGGCTGAGGCAGGAGCATTGCTTGAACCTGGGAGGCGGAGGTTGCAGTGAGCCAAGACTGTGCCACTGTACTCCAGCCTGGGTGACAGAGCGAGACGCTGTCTCAAAAAATAAATGAAACAAACTTAACATTCATACTTTTTATGTCAATAGAGTTGAAGTTGCCTTTAACTGTGGTGAAATAACATAATATGAAATTTACAATTTTAACCATTTTTAAGTGTACAATTCAGTGGCATTAAGTACATTCATGGTGTTGTGTAACCATCATCACTGTGTATTTCCAGAACTGTTTTATTACTCCAAACAGAAACCCTGTACCTATTAAATAATAACTCTTCATTTCCCCCTTCTCCCTACTGCTGGTAACCTCAATTCTATTTTCTGTCTCTTTGAATTTGCCTATTCTAGGAACATAAATATGTGTGGAATCATGCAATCTGTGTTTCTTTCTATGTCTGGCTTAGTTCATTCAGCATAATGTTTTCAAGGTTTCTCTGTGTTGTTTCCTGTTTCAGAACTCCATTACTTTTTTTTTTTTTGAGACCGGGTCTTACTCACCCAGGCTGGAGTGCAATGGCATGATCTTGGCTCTGCAACTTCACCCTCCCAGGTTCAAGCAACTCTTTCACCTCACCCTCTTGAGTAGCTGGGACCATAGGCGCATGCCACTGTGCCTGGCTAATTTTTGTATTTTTTGGTAGAGATGGGGTTTCACCACGTTGCTCAGGCTGGTTTCAAACTCCTGTCCTCAAGTGATCCACCCACCTTGGCCTCCCAAAGTGCTGGGATTGCAGGCATGAGCCACTGTGCCTGGCCTCTGTTACTTTTAGTTTTTTTAGATGGAGTCTAACTCTGTCGCCAGGCTGGAGTGCAGTGGTGCGATCTCAGCTCACTGCAACCTCCACCTTCCGGGTTCAAGCGATTCTCCTGCCTGAGCCTCCCGAGTAGCTGGGACTACAGGCACGCAGTACCACACCCAGCTAATTTTTTATTTTTAGTAGAGACGGGGTTTCACCATGTTGGCCAGGATGGTCTTGATCTCTTGACCTTGTGATCCACCCGCCTCAGTCTTCCAAAGTGCTGGGATGATAGGCGTGAGCCACTGCGCCCGGCTTCCATTACTTTTTATAACCAAGTAATATTATGTCGTATGTATGTAGCACATTTTGTTTATCCGTTAATTTGTTGTTGGACACTTGGGTGTTCCTACATTTTGCCTATTGTAAATAATGCTAGTGTGAACACTGGTGTGAAAATATGTTTTCGAATCCCTACTTCAAGTACTTTTAGCTATATACCTAGGAGTGAAATAGCTGAATCATACGGTAATTTAACTGTTTTGTCCAGGCATGGTGGCTCACGCCTGTAATGCCAGCACTTTGGGAGGCTGAGCTGGGCGGATCCGTCCATTTGTTTAGGTGTTCTTTAACTTCTTTCAGTGAATCTTTTGTAGTTTTTTGCAACCCCCACCTCCCGGGTTCAAGTGATTCTCCTGCCTCAGCCTCCTTAGTAGCTGGGATTACAGGCATGCACCACCACGCCCAGCTAATTTTTTTATTTTTAGTAGAGACAGGGCTTCACCACGTTGGACAGGCTGCTCTTGAACTCCTGACCTCAAGTGATCCGCCTGCCTTGGCCTCCCAAAGTGCTGGGATTACAGGCGTGAGCTGTCTTGCCCAGCCAGTATCTATTGAATAGACTCCTTTTCCAATTGAATGATGTATTAGCTTGGGCTGCCATAAGAACATACTACGGACTAGGTGGCTTGGCATAAGCAACAGAAATTTATTTCTCACAATTCCGGAGGCTGGGAAGGTAAGGTGCCAGCCGATTCAGTTCCCAGTGAGGGTTCGCTTCCTGGCTTGCAGATGGCTGCCTTCTTGCTGTGTTCTTACATGGTGGAGAGAGACAGATCTCTGGTGTCTCTTCCTCTTTTAGAGGCACCAGCCCTATTGCATTAGGGCCCCACCCTATGGCCTCATTTAACCTGTGTCACCTTCTCACAGCCACTGTCTCCCACACTGGGGGTTGGGGCTTCAACATACAAAATTTGGTGGGACCCAAACGACAAAGGGTCTAAGCATCCTTGCTGAAAGTCAACTGATAATATATGCAAGGCTTTGTTTCTGGGCTCTCTATTGTATTACATTTTATTTCCTGTCATGCCAGTATCACATTGTTTTTTATTGTAGCTTTGTATTAAGTTTTGAAATCAGGAAGTGTGAGTCCTCCAACTTTGTTCTTTTTCAAGATTGTTTTGGCTATTTGGGGTCACTTGCCATTCCATATGAAGTTCAGGATAGTCCTTTTTTTCTTTTTTTCTTTGAAGCAGGATCTCACTCTGTCACCCAGGCTGGAGTGCCATGGCACAAACTCAGCTCACTGCAGCTTCGACCTCATGGGCTCAAGCGACCCTTCCATCTCAGCTTCCTGAGTAGCTGGGACTACAGGTTCGTGGCACCACGCCCAGTTAAGGGTTTTTCTATATGTACAAAAAACACCATTAAGATTTTGATAGGTATTGAATCTGTAGATAACTTTGGGTAGTATTGTCACCTTAACAATATGAAGTCTTCCCATCCATGAACAGCAAGTGTATTTCCATTTATTTATGTGTTCTTTAACTTCTTTCAGTGATCTTTTGTAGTTTTTCAGTTTATGAGTCTTTTGCCTCTTGATTATATTTATTCCTGAATATTTTATTCATTTTAATGCTCTTGTGAATGGAATTGTTTCCCTTAATTTCTTTCTTTCTTTCTTTCTTTCTTTTTTTTTTTTTTTTTGGATATGGAGTCTTGCTCTGTCACCCAGGCTGGACTACAGTGGTGCGATCTTGGCTCACTGCAACCTCCTCCTCCCGGGTTCAAGTGACTCTCCTACCTCAGCCTCCTGGGTAGCTGGGATTACAGGCCTACGCCACCATGCCCAGCTAATTTTTTTTTTTTTTTTGGTACTTTTAGCAGAGACGGGTTTCACATGTTGGCCAGGCTGGTCTCGAACTCCTGACCTCGAGTGATCCACCCACCTTGGCTTCTCAAAGTGCTGGGATTAAAGGCATGAGCCACCACACCCGTCTTTTTTTTTTTTTTTTTTTTTGAGACAGAGTCTCGCCCTGTCGCCCAGGCTGGAGTACAGTGGTGTGATCTCAGCTCACTGCAACCTCCGCCTACCGGGTTCAAACGATTCTCCTGCCTCAGCTTCGTGAGTAGCTGAGACTTCAAACACATGCCACCAAACCTGGCTAATTTTTGTATTTTTAGTAGAGGCGGGGTTTTGCCATGTTGGCCAGGCTGGTCTCGAACTCCTGACCTCAAGTGATGCACCCGCCTTGGCCTCCCAAAATGCTGGGATTATAGGTGTGAGCCATCGTGCCCAGCCTGGCTCTGTTTTTTTTTTTTTTTTTTTTTTTGAGACGGAGTCTTGCTCTGTCGCCCAGGCTGGAGAGCAGAGGCGCGATCTCGGCTCACTGCAAGCTCTGCCTCCTGGGTTCATGCCATTCTTCTGCCTCAGCCTCCCGAGTAGCTGGGACTACAGGCGCCTGCCACCACGCCCAGCTAATTTTTTGTATTTTTAGTAGAGACGAGGTTTCACCGTGTTAGCTGGAATGGTCTCCTGACTTTGTGATCCGCCTGCCTCTGCCTCCCAAAGTGCTGGGATTACAGGCGTGAGCCACCGCGCGCAGCCGCCTGGCTCTGTTTTTTCAGGTTATGTCTCCTAATGTATCCCACTACTGCCTCCTCCAGAACTGCTTCCCTCTTCTCACCTGGGAAGGAGCATCTCTGTGTGTCTGTATTTTCAGTCCCTGGAACATCTGGCAGCCATGGCTCTTCCTCTCTCTCCAGCTAGAAGATCAGGTCAGGTTTGAGGCCTGAAAATTCTGCTGGCAGAGATGGAAACACAACACGTGCATTTCTGCTGAGAACCAAAGCCTACGGTCTGCAGAGAGCAGGCAGAGAGATTCAGCTGGACCAGGTAGGAAGGCCCAGGATGGTGGAATAGGTAGGGGCTCTAAAGATAAAACTATGTCCGGGGTGGGGAGGGATGAGGGTGAGTCATGGCTGAGGGAGAAAGAAGGGGAAAGGGAGAAAAGAGTGCAAGGTGATTAAGAGGTTCAGACTCTGGCTGGGTGCAGTGCTCATGCCTGTAAGGTTCAGGCTCTGGCTGGGAGTAGGGGCTTATGCCTGTAAGGTTCAGACTCTTGCTGGGAGTAGGGGCTTATGCCTATAAGGTTCAGACTCTGGCTGGGTGCAGTGCTCATGCCTGTAAGGTTCAGACTCTGGCTGGGTGCACTGCTCATGCCTGTAAGGTTCAGACTCTGGCTGGGTGCACTGCTCATGCCTGTAAGGTTCAGACTCTGGCTGGGTGCAATGACTCATGCCTGTAAGGTTCAGACTCTGGCTGGGTGAAGTGCTCATGCCTGTAAGGTTCAGACTCTGGCTGGGTGCACTGCTCATGCCTGTAAGGTTCAGACTCTGGCTGGGTGCAATGACTCATGCCTGTAAGGTTCAGACTCTGGCTGGGTGAAGTGCTCATGCCTGTAAGGTTCAGACTCTGGCTGGGAGTAGGGGCTCATGCCTGTAAGGTTCAGACTCTGGCTGAGTGCAGTGCTCATGCCTGTAAGGTTCAGACTCTGGCTGGGTACAATGACTCATGCCTGTAAGGTTCAGACTCTGGCTGGGTGCAGTGCTCATGCCTGTAAGGTTCAGACTCTGGCTGGGTGCAGTGCTCATGCCTGTAAGGTTCAGACTCTGGCTGGGAGTAGGGGCTCATGCCTGTAAGGTTCAGACTCTGGCTGGGTACAATGACTCATGCCTGTAAGGTTCAGACTCTGGCTGGGAGTAGGGGCTTATGCCTGTAAGGTTCAGACTCTGGCTGGGTGCAGTGCTCATGCCTGTAAGGTTCAGACTCTGGCTGGGTGCAGTGACTCCTGCCTGTAAGGTTCAGACTCTGGCTGGGTGCAGTGACTCATGCCTGTAAGGTTCAGACTCTGGCTGGGAGTAGGGGCTTATGCCTGTAAGGTTCAGATTCTGGCTGGGTGCAGTGCTCATGCCTGTAAGGTTCAGACTCTGGCTGGGTGCAGTGACTCATGCCTGTAAGGTTCAGACTCTGGCTGGGTACAATGACTCATGCCTGTACGGTTCAGACTCTGGCTGAGTACAATGACTCATGCCTATAATCCCAGCACTTTGGAGGCTGAGGCAGGAGGATCACTTGAGCCCAGGAGTTCGAGACCAGCCTGGGCAACAGAGTGAGACCCTGTCTCTACAAAGAACCAAAAAAATTACCCAGGCGTGGTGGCTCGTGCCTGTAGTCCCAGCTACATGGGAAGCAGAGGTGGGAGGGTCACTTGAGCCTGGGAGGTTGAGGCTGCAGTGAGCCATGATTGTGCCACTGCACTCCAGCCTGGGCAACAGAGTGAAATCCTGTCTCAAAAGAAAAAAGAAAAGAAAAGAAAAAAAAATTCAGATTCATCAGGACTATACCAAATCATGCTGGGGAGACAGCAAGTCCTGCCAAGCATGAGTGGAATTCCATGGTGCAACATCTATAGGGAACTTGGAGAGAGGGGCTACCTCAGGCCCAGCCTCTTTCCTCCCTGTGGAGCTCAGGTCTGTCACGTGGAGAAAGGGTCTAGTTTCTAGGTCTAGAAAGGATGTGGAATTGCCCTCATTCTCAACAAGTGAAGTACTCAGAGAGCCTGGAGAGGGGCAGGGGAGAGGGCAGAGCCTACCCAGCCAGGTCAAGTTCCCACAGTTCTCCAGCCGCCTTTTGGTGAAGAGCTAGATGCATCCATTTCCTCCTTGTGAAATATGCAGCCACGTCATCAAATGTCACTGACCCCTGAAATAATACGTGGGTGTGGGGAAAAAGGCACTGCTAGAGATCAATTTAAGACAAGGCAAAAATAGTTTTGTTTTTTTTTAAGAGATGGAGTCTCGCTCTTTCGCCCAGGCTGGACTGCAGTGGCGCTATCTCGGCTCACTGCAAGCTCCGCCTCCCGGGTTCATGCCATTCTCCTGCCTCAGTCTCCTGAGTAGCTGGGATTACAGGCGCCCGCCACCGTGCCCGGCTAATTTTTTTGTATTTTTAGTAGAGACGGGGTTTCACCGCGTTAGCCAACATGGTCTCAATCTCCTGACCTCGTGATCCGCCCGCCTCGGCCTCCCAAAGTGCTGGGATGGGTCCACCGGCTGCCGCGCCCGGCCAAAAATACTTTTAAGTTACAGAAAAAAATAGATGGAATTCACTACCCTCAGTAATGTAACTGGGATCAAGCAGAGTGATAAAAATTACTGGAGGCAAATAAATACAGTTATGATTTCTTTTTTTTTTTGAGACGGAGTCTTGCTCTATTGCTAGGCTGGAGTGCAGTGGTGCGATCTTGGCTCACTGCAACCCCCGCCTCCCGGGTTCAAGCGATTCCCCTGCCTCAGCCTCCCCAAGTAGCTGGGATTACAGGTGCACGCCAGCACTCCCGGCTAATTATTTGTGTTTTACTAGAGATGGGGTTTCACCATGTTGGCCAGGATGGTCTCGATCTCCTGACCTTGTGATTCACCTGCCTCGGCTTCCCAAAGTGCTGGGATTACAGGCGTGAGCCACCGCGCCTGGCCACAGTATGGTTTTATTGCTTATCTTCTGTACTCACCTTTTGCTTCTCCAAGCCCCAGCTGGAAGAAACAAATCTGGTGTTCCCTGACTCTGCACCACCCAAGTCAGGGTGGTTCAGTCCCCCAGCTTCGACAGAAGAACCACATCACTCAGGCCCACAATTCCCCAAACCACAGGAAGAGCAACCAGGTTTTAGGCCCTGGTGATGGGACAGGTGGCCATGAGGCCTCCTGTGTAAACCTGGAACTTGGGAAGAGGCCTTGGAGCAACCGGCTACACCCAGAAGCTCCCACCCCAGCTCACGGGTGAAGGGCCAGTGGAACAGGAGAAGCTCCCACCCCAGCTCACGGGGGAAGGGCCAGTGGAACAGGGATGTGTTCTTCCTACAGAAAGCCTTGTGACTTCCTGCCCTTTCAGTAAAGGCTTTTGTGCATTCTACTGGAATGTCAGGTATCAAACCACTACCGCCACCGCATAGCCCTTGCCCGCCTGCAGTCGGCCTTCTGGTCCGTCTGACGCAGTCGAACTCTGCAGCGTTCACCTTGCTTCCTATCTTGTTTTGCTTCCAACTTTCCATTACAAAAAACTTCCAACATAGAGAATATTAACAACTACTTCCGACCGGGCGCGGTGGCTCACACCTGTAATCCCAGCACTTTCGGAGGCTAAGGAGGGTGGATCACGAGGTCAGGAGATCAAGACCAGCCTGGCCAAGATGGTGAAACCCCGTCTCTATGAAAGATACAAAACAGCTGGGCGTGGTGGCAAGCGCCTGTAATCCCAGCTGCTTGGGAGGCTGAGGCAGGAGAATCGCTTAAACCTGGGAGGCAGAGGTTGCAGTGAGCCGAGATTGTACCAGTGCACTCCAGCCTGGGTGACAGAGCGAGACTCCATCTCAAAAAAAAAAAAAAAACCACGCCTTCCATATCCACCTGAATTCAGCAGCTGCCGCGCTGTTGTCCTGTTCTCCGAAATGCTCTCTACATGTTGTATTTCTGGCTGAACCATTTGGAAGTGATTTGCAGCTGGTAACACATCTCCCCAAGTGTCGCAGCCCTCCTCTCAAGAATGAGACCATCACTGCACATAACCACACCTAAGAAAATTAACAGTAATTCTGTAATCTCATTTAATAGCCAGCCCATGTTCAAATTTTCCCAATGTCCCCAAAATGTCCAGTAAAGTATGTTGCCCAGTCTGGTCTCAAACTCCTGGGCTCAGCTCAAGCGATCCTCCTGCCTTGGCCTCCCAAAGTGCTGGAACTACAGATGTGAGCCACTATGCCCAGTCTCCACCTACACAGGAGAAACGGCGCCCTGTCTGCTTGTGGGCTGCCTCTTCCAGCTTTGGAACTACAGGCAGCATTATAGCCACAAGCCTTCAATACCCTATTATTTCTCAGGACCAGGCCCCTTTCTGAATAGGCCTGTGACAAGCCCCAAATTCCAGTGTCAAGAACTCCAGTAGACGGGGGAGACCCTTCTTCCTGAGCCTGCAAGTTGCAACAGAGGATGAGTGGTCCTTGTCCCTGCAGCTTTGTCCCGGGTGGCCCCTCCCCCGCTCTCATTCAGGTCATTCCATGTTCTCATTGCTGGGACATCCCTTGCGTGCGTCCCCTCATGAACCCACAAAGGGAACTCTCTGGATGTGTACACGTGGGATTCCGGTTCGCAGGGAAGTTACGTATTTTTCTGCCAAAATAGTTACTCCGCTTCCCATTTCCGCCAGCTCTGAAGACTCGCACCAGTTCCCCACATCTGTGCATTTGTTACTGTCGGGTGTTTCTTGGCCATGTGCTTTTCAACTTTGTCCCTGTTTTTGCCCATTTTTTTCTATTGGAATTTTTTTTTTTAGACAGACTCTCACTCTGTAGCTGGAGTGCAGTGGTGTGATCTCGGCTCACTGCAAGCTCTGCCTCCCAGGTCCCGGTTCAAGCAATTCTCCTGCCTCAGCCTCCCGAGTAGCTGGGATTACACGCACCCACCACCACGTCCAGCTAATTTTTTTGTATTTTTAGCAGAGACGGGGTTTCACCATGTTGGCCAGGCTGGCCTTGAACTCTTGACCTCGTGATCCGCCTGCTTCGGCCTCCCAAAGTGCTGGGATTACAGGCGTGGGCCACCACACCCGGTCCGGAAAATTTTTTATTTGTCTTATTTCATTGATTTGGGTGAGGCCTGTGTCTATTTTGCAAACATTTCCCCACTTGTTGCTTCTTTTCTGGTGTGGTGGCCATGACGGCCACCTGGGCCTAGCCCACACAGGGTCACCTCTGGCTCCAATGTTGACTTTTCTCACTCTCGCTGTCTGCGTCCCATCTGCCACCCAAACTGGGGGTTCCTGTTCCTTCTCCTCCTTACCCCCACAGGAGTCGTGCTAACACAGGTCCCTAACATTTCCCATCAGGGGCATCAACACCGCCATAGAGCAGCCAGAGAACGTAAAAAAAACAACACAGCCACTGTGAGAACCCATTAGCAGTGTCCTGTGATCCTGGAATGAAGTGCAGGCTAACAGGGTCCCCCCTAGTTTGGCCCCATCTCTAGTCTCACCTGTACCTCTTCCTCCCCAACTTAGCCTCAGGCTTTTCCTGACTTGCCACACTGTCCTGTGCCATGGGGCCTCTGCCACACAGTTCCATGGCTTAAGCCACTCTCTACCTGGCTACAGCCTCAGAATGGCCTCCCTGACCCCACAGATCAGGCTGGCTTATGTCGTGTGCTCCTGGGGCACTCGGCTCCCCTTTTTCTGCTGTGTCTTGTTTAGTATTCGTATGTCTCCAGCCCAGCAGACTGTGCACTCCACGAGGAGAAAGCCCCAGTTCCTGCACACAGCCTGGCGCACAGGTGGTACCCAATACATACTTGCTGAATGGACAAGGAGGCTCTTTTAAGCCCTAGAGGCATTTGCTAGGTAGAGAAGCTCCAGGCAGAGTAGAAGGCACTCACTGGAAGGATGGACAGCTCACCTGACGTCCAGTCTTTGAGGGCACAGCTGAGATTCCCAGCTTCTGGGCTGTGGCAATGGGCAGACATCCAGAACAGTAGGGGCTAGGGGACAGACGGACCAAGAGAGTCCAGCGGGGACTGTGGGGGGCAGACGGACCAAGAGAGTCCAGCGGGGACTGTGGGGGGCAGATGGACCAAGAGAGTCCAGCGGGGACTGTGGGGGACGGACCAAGAGAGTCCAGCGGGGACTGTGGGGGGCGGACGGACCAAGAGAGTCCAGCGGGGACTGTGGGGGGCGGACGGACGAAGAGAGTCCAGCTGTTACCTGTGGCTCCTCCACTGACCAGGTCTCTTCTCTTCCCCTGTCCTCCCGGGCTTGCTTGGAACAAGTTCTTTTGGTGACATTAAGCTGCCTCTGGCACACATTCTAAAGTGGCTGTGGTCACTCCAGGCCAGCCTGAGGGCTGGAGGCCGCCCCAGGGTTTGTGTGCGTCTCAGTGCGGGATGTGAAGTGGTCACTCCGGGCCAGCCTGAGGGCTGGAGGCCGTACCAGGGTTTGTGTGCGTCTCAGTGCGGGATGTGAAGTGGTCACTCCGGGTCAGCCTGAGGGCTGGAGGCCGCACCAGGGTTTGTGTGCGTCTCAGTGCAGGATGTGAAGTGGGCCCCCCATGGGACTTCTTTTCCCAGCAACAATGGAGGCCTGGCTGATCCAGGCAGGATGCAGTGCGGCAGCTGGCCACACCCAGCCAGGACAAAGATGGGGATAGGAACAGCCCTAGTTGCCCTCACTGCTCATTACACGCAAATTGTAATTAATACATTAGCATAAGACATGCCCGCCAGCGTGTGACTGTTTACAGATGCCATAGCAGCACCACAGGTTCCCCTTATACGGCTTAAAAGAGAGGGTTCCTCCGTTCAGGGAACTGCCCACTCCTTTTGTAGAAAACTTGTGAATAACCCACTCCTTCTTTTTTGTTTTTGAAACAGAGTCTCACTCTGTCGCCCAAGCTGGAGTGCAGTGGCACAATCTCAGTTCACCTGCGCCTCCCAGGTTCAAGTGATTCTCCTGCCTCAGCCTCCTGAGTAGCTGGGATTACAGGCACGTGTCACTATGCCCGGCTAATTTCTGTATTTTTAGTAGAGACAGGTTTTGCCATGTTGGCCAGGATGGTCTTGATCTCCTGACCTCGTGATCCTCCTGCCTCGGCCTCCCAAAGTGCTGGGATAACAGGTGTGAGCCACCGCACCTGGCCAACCCACCCCTTCTTTAGCATATTGCATTAGTCCATTCTCACACTGCTATAAAGAAATATCCAAGACTGGGTAGTTTATAAAGAAAGAGGGTTAATTGGCCCATGGTTCTGCAGGCTGTACAGGAAGCATGGCAGAACCTGCTTCTTGGCAGAAGGCAAAGGGGGAGCCAGCACTTTACACGGTGGAAGCAGGAGGAAGAGAGAAGAGAGGGGGTAGAGGTGCCACACACCTTTAAATGACCAGCTCTCAAGAACTCACTCACTCTCAGAAGAGCATTAAGGGGGAAATCCACCATTGTCATCCAGTCCCCTCCCACCAGGCCCACCGCCAGCATTGGGGATTAAATTTCAGCATGAGATTTGGGTGGGGACACAGATCCAAAACATATCACATATAACTCAGGAGTAGCTATGAAGACTGCTAGCCAGCCGTCCACCAGTGCTGCCCTGCCTGTGGGGTAGCCCTGCTCTGTCTACAGAGCAGGCATTTTCCTATACTCTGTTGCTCTGATAAATGTGCTTTGCTTTCACTTTACTCTGTCAACTCACTCTTGAATTCCTTCCTGTGCAAAGCCAAGAACCCTCCCAGGCCGAGCCCTGATGGTGGGGTTCGCCTGCATCTGATGTGTGGACAAAACCATTTATGTTGAGAGTCTGCAGTTCTTAAAGACCAAGATTGGAGCCTAGTTGGGAGGAGGGCTTAGAGAAGCCTGAATTGGAGAGGAGACTCTTTGCCATCCCACAGCTCACCCTCCTCCAGGCATAAGGGACCGCCCTGGCATGGCCACAGCCTTGGTGACCTCCTTCTCCACATCCAGCCAGGGGAGAGTCTCAGAGAGCCCCAGCCTGCTCTCCGTGCTGCTGCCAGAATTGTTTTCCTACAACACTCTCAGGACCAGGGAAACACAGAAAGCTGTTTTAGGGGAGCATCTGGCTTCTGCTCCTCCAACTCATTCTCTGCAGAGCAGCAAGAGTGAAGTACCTGCGTGTGGAGAAGGAACCGGTAACAGGTAGTATTGGGGAATCTGCCCCGATATTCACGTAAGTTCTTTTCTATTTTTCCTAAGCATCGGCTGGCTTGAGAAATAAAGGGACAGAGTAAAAAAGAGAGAAATTTTAAAGCTGGGCGTCCAGAGGAGACATCACATGTCGGTAGGTTCCCTGATGCCCCACAAGCCACAAAAACCAGCAAGTTTTTATTAGGGATTTTCAAAAGGGGAGGGAGTGTGCGAATAAGTGTGGGTCACAGACATCAAGTACTTAACAGGGTAATAGAATATCACAAGGCAAGTGGAGGCAGGGCGAGATCACAGGACCACAGGACCGAGGCGAAATTAAAATTGCTAATGAAGTTTCGGGCACCATTGTCATTGATAACATCTTATCAGGAGACAGCGTTTTGAGAGCAACCAGTCTCACCAAAATTATTAGGTGGGAATTTCCTCTTCCTAATAAGCCTGGGAGCGCTATGGGAGACTGGAGTCTATCTCATCTCTGCAGTTTCGACCATAAGAGACAGGCGCACCTGGGGGGACTGTTTATAAGCCTATACCTCCAGGTGCGTATTCTCTTTCTCAGGGATGTTCCATGCTGAGAAAAAGAATTCAGCGATATTTCTCCCATTTGCTTTTGAAAGAAGAGAAATATGACTCTGTTCTGCCCGGCTCACTGGAGGTCAGAGCTTAAGGTTATCTCTTATTCCCTGAACAATTGCTGTTATCCTGTTCTTTTTTCAAGGTGCCCACATTTCATATTGCTCAAACACACATGCTCTACAATTTGTGCAGTTAATGCAATTATTACAGGGTCCTGAGGCGACATACATCTTCCTCAGCTGACAGGATTAAGAGATTAAAGTAAAGACAGGCATAGGAAATCGCAAGGGTACTGATTGGGGAAGTGATAAGTGTCCATGAAATGTTTACAATTTATGTTTAGAGATTGCAGTAAAGACAGGCATAAGAAATTATAAAAGTATTAATTTGGGGAACTAATAAATGTCCATAAAATCTTCACAATCCACGTTCTTCTGCCATGGCTTCCGCCGGTCCCTCCGTTTGGGGTCCCTGACTTCCCGCAACAAGGTAGCTCCCGCCCCTCCAGCTTCTTTGTCCTTCCAATCTTCCTGGGATCAGACGGAATGCACTGGGGTCTGCTCTTTGCCATGGCAGAGGCCTCTACATATGACTGGGAGGGTCAGTTTCTCATGACAGTTAGCAGGCGCTTGTGGCTGCAGATGCAAAATCATGGTCCCTAATCGGCTTTATTATTATTTTATTTATTTTATTTTTAGAAATGGGTTCTCACTATGTTGGCCAGGCTGCCTGAATTCTGGTGTTTTTGTACGTGGAAACTGGTGATGCAAGTACTGAATGTACCTCAGGCAGCTGGAGGAAGATACAGACGGATTGCCATCCGTCCCCCAGGTTAAGGATTCCCAATGAAGTCACTCTCTTCCCACCACTCCTCCTGAGAGGGTACGGTGGAAGGAAGGGTCTGAATTTTCCTCCCCAGAATTTCCCAAGACACAGGTATATTTGTCATGAATGTGAGGAGTGAGAACAAGGGCCTGCCCCGGCCCCCAGTCTGATTGCCCTCTCCGGCACTGCTTGCCGTGGGTGTTAGGCCCGCTTAAATTTTTGTTGTTGTTGTTGTGGTTGTTCTTCATGGAGTCTCGCTCTGTCGCCCAGGCTGGAGTGCAATGGTATGATCTCGGCTCACTGCAACCTCCACCTCCCAGGTTCAAGCGATTCTCCTGCCTCAGCCTCCCGAGTAGCTGGGATTACAAGCGTGCACCACCACACCCGGCTAATTTTTTGTAGTTTTAGTAGAGATGGAGTTTCACCACGTTGGCCAGGCTAGTCTCAAACTCCTGACCTCAGTTGATCCGCTCACCTCGGCCTCCCAAAGTGCTGGGATTATAGGCGCGAGCCACCGTGCCCAGCCAATGGGTAAATATGCTGAGTATGTATTTCTAAAGGTTTGAACACAGAAGAAAGGTCTGAGATGGAATTTTTTTAAGTGGGGTAATTTACATGTAAGTAGCAGTTGAAGAAATGAGACAAGGTAAGCTCTCTTAGAGGAAAATGTAGAATAAAGTAAGGAGAATGCGCAGGGCAGACACTGAGTAGAGGAGAAAGTAGCAAAGGAGATTGAGAGTGGTTGGCAGAAAATGAAGGAAGGGTGGTATTATTGATGATAAGGAAATCAAGTGTTCCAAGAAGGACAGACAGTTCATGGTGTCAAATATTGCTGAGAGGTCAAGTAAAGGAAAACTAAAAAATGCCCACTGGTGGCCAGGCACTATGGCTCACACCTGTAATCCCAGCACTTTGGGAGGCCAAAGCAGGTGGATTACTTGAGGTCAGGAGTTTGAGACCAGCCTGGGCAACAGAGCAAGACCCTGTCTCTACCAAAAAAATACAAAAAATTAGCCCGATGTGGTGGCACGCATCTGTGATCCCAACTACTCATAAGGCTGAGGTGGGAGGATTGCTTGAGCCCGGGGAGGTGAAGGTTGCAGTGAGCTGAGATTGTGCTACTGCACTCCAGCCTGGGTAACAGAGAGAGACCTTGTCTCAAAGGAAAAAAAAAGCCCACTGGTTTTAGAAACAGGGAGGTCAGTGGAGTAGGGAACAGCTCTGTTCTGGGCCCTGAGGACCTTGGACATCTTCACATAGCTGTGTGGCAAGGTCCATCACCGTGTGAACTGAGTTTGGCAGAATGCTTGGAGGTTCCTCCTGAAACTAAGGGAGACAAGCAACCTTGTAAGAAACGACAGTGACAGCAGCGCCCCTGGGCCCCTGGTTGGCTGCGTCTGGGATGCTCCCTTTGCCCCTCCTTGGGGTACAGCTGCGGACACACCACTGCCTGGCTGCAGTGTGGAGCTGGCGCCTCAGCAGCACCGTGGCCACCATCTGTGCTTTCTGTCATCTGGCCCCTATGGTTTGCTGTCATCTTGTGTGTCTAGGGACACAGGCTGCTGATCATGCTGTAGCTGTTTGAGTAAGAAATAAACAATCTAGGCTGGGCACAGTGGCACACACCTGTAATCCTAGCACTTTGGGAGGCCGACGCAGGTGGATCACTTGAGGTCAGGAGTTTGCCACCAGCCTGACTAATATGGTGAAACCCCGTCTCTACGAAATACAAAAAAATTAGCTGGACATGGTCCTGCATGCCTGTAATCCGAGCTACTTGTGAAGCTGAGACAGGAGAATCACTTGTACCTGGGAGGTGGAGGTTGCAGTGAGCCAAGATCTCACCATTGCGCTCCAGCGTGGGCAACAAGAGTAAAACTCCACCTCAAAAAAAAGAAAGAAAGAAACAATCTCTATCTTTTGTGCTCATTGCTGATCAAATCCATGTAAATATGGCAAACCAGCCTAGCATCTGTGGCAGTTGACGCCGGTAACCCTGTCAGCTGCTGGATTGCTGCCTAGGGACTGCTTGGATGCTTGGCAGTTGGTAGCCCTGTAAATAGGAAATATCCATTAGGAGAGCCTGCAGCCACCAGTCACAGAGTGATTACACGCCCCCTGTAGGAGATGTGAAAAAGAAAAAGAGGAAATCAAATATTCTGCAATCTTACAACTAGTAATGATGTATTTATTTTCAGCTTTTTATATACGTTTTTCAAGCACTTCCCAAGTATTTATAGAGTACTTACTATGTTCCAGGCTGGTGGCTGAGCAGTGAACAAACCAACCTAGGTCCTTATATCTGGAAACCTTAAGTTTGTGAACTTAAACACCCATATATACAATTGAGATCATATCATAAATATAATTTTGTATTCTATTTTTCACATTCTATTTCATAAGCATTACCCTCTGCCAATACTTTTTTTTCAAATACCACACATAATGGCTGCATAATGTTCAACTGAGTGTACAGAAGACAATAGATTTATCTATTTCTGTGCTGCAAAAAGCATAATTATCTTCCATTTCCCCTTCTATGAATAACTAGCTATTTTCCAAATTCTCCCCATTATTTAAAAAAAACCACACACACAACAAACTCTGGAATGGGCACCCTTCTCTTTGTCATTTTTGTTATTTCCATAGGATAGATTCCTAGATTAATTGAAGTGTTTAAGGCTCTTTATGTACAGCTTAATTCATTTTCAACATTGTACTAAACACGCTTCCTCAAGCATAGCAGTGCGTAATTCTCCACAATCTCCCCAGCACTGATATTAATAATGTAAGGCATCTTCTTAATCATGTGTGACTTTGCATGGTGCTTTAGACTTCTAGACATTCTCCATCCTCGTTGATCGTCTCAAGTTCAGATATAAAATTTCTGCCTTGATTCTAACACAGTGTACAGGGCCTACACTATATTCTGGGTGACAAGATGGCTTGGCTTTCCTTTCCTTCTCCCCCTGCTCCTAAGCTGGTCTCCTCACCTTTATCAAGTGCTATTTTTTCAACCATGCTTTATTGTGTAGGGGCCAAAGGGAAAGTTCCTCTTTGCCCTCTGAAGGTTCACTGAAAGCCAACTCATAAAAGGCAGATTTTTGGAGAAAAGGCAAATAAATGGATTATTTATTTATTTATTATTTATTTTTGAGATGGAGTCTCGCTCTGTCACCCAGGCTGGAGTGCAGTGGCGCGATCTCGGCTCACTGCAACCTCCGCCTCCCGGGTTCAAGCGATTCTCCCGCCTCAGCCTCCGGAGTAGCTGGGACTACAGACGCCCGCCACCACGCCCGGCCTTTACCGCCAGTTTTCACACAGAAAAGCGGGGGGAACATCAGAGTCGTGTTTTTAGGTTTTGTGGCTGGCTTTGGGGGTCTGGCCTCTGGGACTCGCCTTGGGTAAAAGGGATTCACTCTGTGAGGAGCCTCGCGGGAGAAAAGAACTGAGACTGGAGGCCTGGGAAGGTCAGAGGGAAACTGCCTCCCAGGCCTTCATTTTGGGGCGTTGTGTTCTGAGCCCCGATAATTGTAACATCTTCATAAGCGACTTTCTGGTGGTTATGGTGAATCGGGACACACGATGTATGGTGACCGACGGGGGAGCCGGGAGCCCAGCGGGGTTAGGGTTCAGGTGAGGGTTTAGGGTCGGGGCGAGCGCGGCGCGGCCCGGATGCGCAGCGTCACCGCGCCAGACCCTCCGCTCAGCTGCCGTGGGCTCTCCCCCTCCCCGACCATAGACGGCGCAGGCCTCCAGTCATCCCAGAGCGGCCCCGGAAGAATCCGGGCGGAACCGCGGCTGGCTTCCGGTTCCCGGCGTTCTCGGAGGCGTACTGAGGCCCCGCAGGGGGCGGGGAAGCCTGCGTGTGCGCAGCTCGGCCCGGCCCGCCCTCTTCATCCTAGCCCGCCCCCTCCCCGGCTCTGGACCCGGTTCTGTGGGAGGGTCCGTTCCGGGCTCGGTGCGACTGCGCAGCTCCTCGGCGCTTCCTCGGTGGCTTCCCCGGGTCGAGCAAACAGGTGGGGCAGTGTCGGACCAGGAAGGAGCGCCAAGCGGGCAGGCAGGCGGGGAGGGCGCGGGGAGGGCGCGGGGAGGCGGCGGCCAGTCCAGGAGGAGCCTGTTCTGGGTGCCGCGGGAGCCACCGACGGGCTGCAGAGGCCGGGAGGAGGCGACCGCGGCGCGGCCCTAGAAGGCTGGACTGAGGACCACAGCTGGCTTCCGGCCTCTCCCCGGAGCCTGGGGCCTTCGGCAGCATCCCCGCGGCCTCCTTCTCACGTCCTCAGCCTTGGTGAGGCTGCACCCTCACGTGGCTCTTTGCCCCAGGTTGGCCAGGCAGGTAGAACGGCCCTGCACCCCATTTCCAGGGCCTTCAGCAGGTCTGGACCACGGGAACTGCCAGCTTTCACCCCTTAGCCGGGCGTCCCTGGATCCCCCCGGGCTCTGGCTCTGGCCGTTCTGGGATTTCAGGAGTCACTGAGCAGTAGGGCACGTCGGCCCGTGCTGCATAGTGACCTGCCTCCCGCGACCCAGGAGGCCACAGCAGCAATCAGCTTCTGCCTCCTGGCCATCCTTCCACACCCCTGGTTGAATGGGGCTGAGCCTGAGTTCTCCCCACTGAAGGTAAGTTCGGGGAGACTTCAGGCCAGGGCAGTCTCCTGTCTTCTCTTGGAAACCACAGCAGCCCATGCACACAGAATGGCAGCCACATTCCAGCTTCCAGGGCACCAGGTGAGTTAACCCTCCTTCCTGCCCACCTCTTCATCTTCATCCCCATCCCAGTCAGAAGCTACTCTCCTCTGGAGCCGTGAGCCCGGCAACTGGTAAGGCCAGCCAGGGGCTCATAGCAACCGTGAGGAAAGGGTTCTGAGAGGTAGACTCGCCCTCCTGCAGGGAGAGGGGCTCTGAGCTCAGCTGGGTCCCCGTGTAGCTGAAGTTGGCTGGTCCTCAGCGCTCTCAGCTGCCCCATCAGGGACCTGCTGATACACAGTTCATACTGACCACAGCAGGGCCCTGGGTAGTGGGGCCCCACCAGGTCAGGGCCCTTTTAGTGCAGGCTGCTGCCCCGTGGGCATGGCCTGGGCAGCGGCGATGTTTTGTTGCAGGAGATGCCGCTGACCTTCCAGGATGTGGCCGTGTACTTCTCTCAGGCGGAGGGGCGGCAGCTGGGCCCCCAGCAGCGGGCGCTCTACCGGGATGTGATGCTGGAGAACTATGGGAACGTGGCCTCTCTGGGTGAGGCTCTCTGCACTTGGCCTGGTTCGCAGTGGGGGCCTCTGAGGAGCTTGGGAGGCTGCTTTGGCTCTTTGGATCCCAAAGAAGAGGGTCCTGCCCCTTGTCCCCGGGTATCAGTCTGATCTCTACAGAAGGAACATTTCCCATGGGAAAAGCCTGCCTTGCTCCCCAGTTCTAGGGACTTCACTCCCTGTTGCCAGTGGCCCCACTGGTGTCCCTCCAGTGGCAGGAGAGCTGATGAGTGGATTCTCCTTCAGTACTTAGTCTCAGCCCACGGGCCCCCTGACCAACACACGTGCAGGCGTACACACGTGCACACAGGGCCCATCTCTCCACACCTGGCCTGGAAGGCCCAGTGGGCCATGCCAGCTCACCAGTGTCCTCATCCTCAACAGGATTCCCTGTCCCTAAGCCGGAGTTGATCTCCCAGCTGGAGCAGGGGAAGGAACTTTGGGTCCTGAATCTTCTGGGAGCTGAGGAACCAGATATCTTGAAAAGCTGCCAGAAAGGTGAGAATGGATGGGATGCTAATCCTGGGAGCAGCCTCCCAATCCTGCCTTAAGAGGCTCCAAGCGAGGGACAGCTGGGGCATGGCGTTCATATTAATGGCCTCCCCCAGGGGCAGTCTCACAGATACAGCCCCTCTACAAATGTGAGCATGTGCACATGCTTTAGAAGTTTTATCTTGCTGGTCTGTTTCTTTGCTTTAAAAATATATATATACTACTTCTGATCATATTTTTGTTTTGGTGATTTACCTTGATAACAACTTCATTCCCTTCTTTATAATACACTTATTTCCTTTTGACAATAGATATCGGTACCCTACCATGTCCTTTTTATTCTTCACTCCATTCTCTCCTTCATTTGCCAAGTTTAGTCAGTAGTAGTCTTTTTTTTTTTTTTTTTTTTTTTTTCGAGACAGAATCTCACTCTGTCACCAGGCTGGAGTGCAGTGGCACGATCTCGGCTCACTGCAACCTCCACGTACCAGGCTCAGGCAATCCTCCCACCTCAGCTTTCCAAGTAGCTAGGACTACAGGCACATGTCACCATACCTGGCTAGTTTTTTTTTTATTTTTGTTGAGACAAGGTTTCACCACGTTGCCCAAACTGGTCTTAAATTCTTGAGATCAAGTGATCCATGTCGACCTCCCAAAGTGCTGAGATTACAAGCATGAGCCACTGCACCTGACCAGTGGCTTTTTTTAATGTTTACCTTTGTTCTATTGAATATACATCTACTACTTGATATGTCAGCTGTAAGTATTATCTTTGACTGCCAGCTACTGAGACAGTCAACAAGCTTGTTCTACTTTTCTCCCTTTTCCTCCTCATTCCTTTCCCAGTTTTTGTTGGTTATATTGTTTCTACACTGTCAGAACATATAACACTTTACAACTCATATCCGCAGCTTTGTTACTGGCTTATATCTCCAGTTAAGTATGTTATTAATAATTGTTTATCTCTGGTCCTTTTACCAAAAATTTCCCCATCTCTTGGTTGGCTGGAGCTTGTCTTCTAGTTTATTCAGAAAGGCTCGTGAAAAATATACCCCATATTTGTGCACATTCAAAATTGGTTGAATAAAGCATTTGGTTTCTACATGTAAGAGCTAAGATTGTAAAATTATATCGTTTTCTCAAAGTGCAGCTTAAGTTGCATCTCACAAAATTTTAATATGTTGTATTTTCATTAACATTTAGTTCAAAATGTTATCTAGTTTTTCTTGTGACTTCTTCTTTGACCCAATGATTATTTGGACATGCATTAATTTCCAGATAGTTGGTGTTTTCCTAGTTATCTTATTGTTATTGTCATTTAATTCCACTGTGGTCAGAGAACATACTCTGTATTATTTCATTCCTTTCATATTTGTTGCTTCTTGTTTTATGACCCCAAATGTGGTCTCTCCCAGTACAAATACCACGTGCACTGAAAAAGAATGTGTATTCTGCCATTTGGGGGTTAGATAAATATCAGTTAAGTCAAGGTGGTTGATGGTATTGTTCAGGTCTTCTGTATCCTTGCTGATTTTTTTTTTTTTTTTTTTTTTGGTCTAGTTATTCTTTCAGTTGCTGAGAGAGGGGTGTTAAAATACAGAAGTATGATTGTGGAATTGTCTTTTCTTCACTTTAATTTTTGTAGTGTTGGCTTCATGTATCTTGAAGCTGTATTATAAGACTTACTTCACTTATGACTATCATTATGAGAGATAAGAGAATTCCTGTTTGTCTCTGGTAATACATTTTGTTTTGAAATATATTTTATCTAATATTAATGTAGCAATTCCATCCTTCTTATACTTACTGTTAGCATAGTATATCTTCTTTCATCCATTTAATTTCAACCTGTCTTTACACTTAAAGTGAATCTCTTGCAGATATCATACAATTGGGTCTTGTTTCTTCATCCTAACAATCTTTGTCTTTTAATTGTAGTGTTTAGTCTGTTAATGTTTAATGTAATTGTTTATATGGTTCAGGAATGCACTTGTGCATAATATTTTATTTTTTACTTACATTTACCTCTTCTGTTTTTTAAATTCCTCTTTCCGGCCTTTATTTGGGTTATTTGAATACTTTTTATAACTCCATTTAAATTTTATTATTTGCTTTTTACATAATCTTTTTGCATTATTTTTTACAGTGATTTTCCTAAGGTTTACAGTATACATAAGTTTCCACAGTTTACTTACAGTTCATTTGTGTACTACTTCACATAAATCCAGAAATCTTGTAACCATCCCTCCCATCCTTTTTGTTATAGTTGTTATGTGTAATACATCTACATAACATTTTAAACTCAGAAAGACAATGTGATAATTTCAGTTTTAAACAGTTATATAGTTTATAAAAAAGGAAAAGGAAAAAGGCCAAATAAATAGTATTTTAGCTGTTTCTGACATGTAAGGACTTTAGAAGTCATCACTGTGTCCTAACAAGTAAAAAGCTGAACAAACTGAAAAATCAACAAATCTTAGCTCCATCAGAGAGGTGTGAGGTCAGAGGACAAATCACTGCTCTCAAAATTGGAGAGGTATGGCCGGGTGCGGTGGCTCACACCTGTAATCCCAGCACTTTGGGAGGCCGAGGCAGGTGGATCAGTTGAGGCCAGGAGTTCAAGACCAGCCTGGCCAACATGGTGAAACCCTGTCTCTATTAAAAACACAAAATTAGCTGGGCGTGGTGGTGGGTTCCTGTAATCCCAGCTACTCGGGAGGCTGAGGCAGGAGAATCGCTGAAACTCAGGAGGTAAAGGTTGCAGTGAGCCAAGATTGCACTACTGCACTCCAGCCTGAGTGACAGAGCGAGACTCTAAAAAAAAAAAAAGAAAAAAAAAAAACTCTGGAGAGATAAACAGGCAGATACAAAGAATCACAACCACATCTTGTGAGCAATAATCTCCCAGGGAACCGGTGGCCAGATGGGTAAGCCTAAAATGTAACTGGCAAATTGCTAGAGGCTCAGTGTGGACAACTCTGAAAAAAAACTCCAGGGGGACCCGGTCATGGGAGGACCCCATACTTTTGTGAGCTTTACCTCCAGGAGCTCTATTAGGTACTGACAGTGAATATCAGAGAAAAATCTCCTTGTGCTTCTGGCAGGAGGAAGTGAAAAGGGACCACTTTGGAATATACCATTCTGTTCTTAACAAGACCTGCCCTCAGGAGAAACAATTTTACCAGGGCCTAACCTGCTGGTGTTTTTATCAGAACTTAACCTTCCTGGGGGAAGGGAAATACCTAACACTAGCTACTTCTGGATATTCTGTCCCACCTAATGGCAGGTGGGGGAAGCTGAAAAGCACTTGGGAAGTTCATAGTCCAGGGACACAAGCTCAGCAAGACTGAGCCCTGCTCATAGTATCATAGAACACTTTCCCACCCCAACACCTGAAAACAGGATGAAAGCCCTGTTTACTGCAATTCCTTTTACCCAGTGTATCATGTCTACCTATCAACAGAAAATTACAAAGCATACTTAAAAGGCAGAAAATGCAGTTTGAAGAGACTGAACAAGCATTAGAACCAGAGTCAGTCGTGGCAGGAGTGTTGGAGTAATCAGACCAGGTATTTTTTTAAAACTATGATTAACGTGCTGAGGGCTTTAAGGGAAAAAGTAGACAGTATGCAAAAACAGATTGATAATGTAAGCAAAAGAGATTAAAATTTTAAGAAGCTGGATGTGGTGGCACATACCTGTATTTGCAACTCCTCATAGTGTAGCAGGATTGCTTGAGCCCAGGAGTTCAAGGCCAGCCTAGGCAGCATAGCGAGATCATCTTTCTTAAAAAAAAAAAAAAAAGAAAAAAAAGAAAAGAAAAAGAAATTTTAAGAATTTTTTAAATACTAGAGACCAAAAACACCATAACCGAAAGGAACAGTGCCTTTGACAGGCTCGTTAGTGGATGGTACACGGCCTCCAAGAGATTGTTATTTGAAAGTGGACTTGTATTAGCTGTAAATGCAGATTGCAAACCAATTTAAAAAGTTAAAAAAGAAGTATAGTTGATATGCTAAAAAAGGATACAAAATGGAATTACATATAATAGAATGCTCAGGTAAACCCACAAAAGGTAGAAGAGTATGGAAAACAGAAATAGGAATGAAGAACAAGGGCAAAAAGTAGAAAATGGTAACAAATGTGGTAGATGTTAATTCAGCAACATCAGTAATCACCTTTTTAAATTTTTTTTTTATTTTTTTGAGACAGTCTCACTCTGTCCCCCAGGGTGGAGTGCAGTGGCACAGTCCCAGTCTATTGAAAGCTTTGACCTCCCAGGCTCGAGTGATCCTCCCACCACAGCCTCCCAAGTAGCTGGGACTACAGGCATGTACTACCACACCTGGCTGATTTTTGTGTTTTGTACAGACAGGGTTTCACCATATTGTCCAGGCTGGTCTTGACCTCCTGGTCTCAAGACATCCACCCACCTTGGCCTCCCAAAGTGCTGGGATTACAGGAATGAGCCACTGTACCCAGCCAATAATCCCCTTTTTAAAAAGTTATTTATTTATATTTTTAGAGATGGGGTCTCACTCTATTGCTCAGACTAGAGTGCAGTAGCTTGATCATGACTCATGGCAGCCTTGACCCCCTGGGCTCAAGCGATCCTCCCACATCAGCATCCCGGGCAGCTGGGACTACAGGTGCATGTCACCACATCCAGCTCTTTTTTTATTTTTGTAGAGATCAGGTCTCACTATTTTGCCCAGGTTGGTCTCAAACTCTTGAGCCTCAAGCAGTCCTCCTGCTTTGGCCTCCTAAAGCACTGGTATTACAGGCCACAGTGCCTGGCCCCAACTGTGTTTTCTATAAGGAACCTGCTTCGGCCAGGAGTGATGGCTCCTGTAATTCCAGCACTTTGGGAGGCCGAGGTGGGAGGATCCCTTGAGCCTGGGAGTTTGAGACCAGCCTAAACAACATAGTGAGAAATCATCTCATCAAAAAGTTAAAAAAATTAGCTTGGTGTGGTGTTGTGTACCTATAAGTCTCAGCTACTCAAGAGGCTGATGTGGTAGGATCGCTTGAGCCCAGGAAGTTGAGGTTGTAGTGAGCTGTGATTGCACCACTGCTCTGCAGCCTGGGCAACAGAGCAAGACCCCATTGCAAAGAAAAAAGAAACCTGCTGTCTCATGACAAGATCTTGCCATGAACAAAAAAAAAGAAAAGAAGCCCACTTTAAACATAAAAACACAAAAGGGATGGAGAAAGATAGTAATCCAAAGAAAGCGGAAATATCTTACTACTTTAGACACAAAACATAACAGATCTTGAGGTGTATGGGCCTAACAACAGCATCAAAATATGTGAGGTTGGCCAGGCACAGTGGCTAACACCTGTAATCCCAGCACTGGGAGGCCGAGGCGGGCAGATAACTTGAGGTCAGGAGTTCAAGACTAGCCTGGCCAACATGATGAAACCCCATCTCTACTAAAAACACAAAAATTAGCCAGGCATGGTGGAGTGCACCTGTAATCCCCCCTACTCAAGAGACTAAGACAGGAGAATCACTTGAACCTGGGAGATGGAGGTTGCAGTGAGCCAAGATTGCACCATTGCACTGCAGCCTGGGCGACAGAGTGAGACTCCATCTCAAAAAAAAAAAGTGAGGTTGTCAAGTGTGGTAGTCATGCCTGTAATCCCAGCACTCTGGAAGGCCAGGAAGGGCAGATCGCTTGAGCCCAGGACATTGAAGCTGCGGTGAGCTATGATCACGTCACTGCGCTCCAGGCTGGGCAACTGAGTGAGACACTATCTCTAAAAACCACAAAACCAGCTGGACACGGTGGCTCACGCCTGTAATCCCAGCACTTTGGGAGGCCGAGGCGGGTGGATCACCTGAGGTCAGGAGTTCGAGACCAGCCTGACCAACATGGAGAAACCCCATCTCTACTAAAAATACAAAATTAGCCGGGCGTGGTGGCTCATGCCTGTAATCTCAGCTACTCGGGAGGCTGAGGCAGGAGAATTGCTTGAACCCAGGAGGCAGAGGTTGCAGTCAGCCGAGATTCGCGCCATCGCACTCCAGCCTGGGCAACAGAGCGAGACTCCGTCTCAAAAAACAACAACAACAAAATATGTGATGCGAAAACTGATAGAACTACAAGGGGAAATAGATGAGTTCACTGTCTGCAGTTGGAGATCCAGCACCCTCTATCGTAAATGGACAGATCCAGCAGGATGCAGTTGAGTTTAACAGCACCATCACATCAGTCAGCTGGGAATAATTTACATCTGTAGACTGCTTCATCCAACGATAGCAGAATGCACATTCCTGCCAAGCTCATGTGGAACATTCACTAAGATAGACCACATTCTGGGCCACAAAACACTTTAACATACTTGAAGAATAGAAAACATAGAATGTCTATTCTCAGACCACAATGACATGAAACTAGAAATGAAACCAGAAAGATAGCTAGAAAATCCTAAAGTACTTGGCAAATAACACACTTCCAAATAACACGAGTCAAAGAAGATATCTCAAGATAAATTTTAGAATATTTTGAATTAAGTGAAAATGAAAATAAAACTTACCAAAATTTGTGGAATGCTGTGAATGCAGTGCTTAGAGGGAAATTTATAGCATTGACTGCATGTATTAGAAAATGGGAAAGATCTAAAATCATAATGTAAGCTTTCACTCTAGGAAACTAGAAAAAGAAGAGCAAATTAAATACAAAGTAAGCAGAAGAAAAGAAATAAAAATTCAAGCAGAAATCAATGAAATGGAAAACAGGAAATCAATAGAGAAAATCAACGAAACCAGAAGATGGTTTGAAAAAACAATAAAATCAGTAAACCTTTAGCCAGACTAAGACAAAGAAGAGAGAGGACACAAAATACTAATATCAAATGAAAGAGGGAACATCACTACAGAGATGTCCCACAGACTTTTAAAGGGTAATAAAAAAAAAAAGATGAACAACTCTGTGCCCAAATTTGATAAATGAACCAATTCCTTGAAGTACACAATCTCCCAAACACGGGAAGAAATAGACAATCTGAATAGGGCTATGTCTGTTAAATAAGTCAAATCAACAATTACCTTCCAAAATAGAATCCACTGGGCTCAGATGGGTTCACTTATGACTTCTACCAAACATTTAAGGAAGAAATTATACCAGTTCTCTATAATCTCTTCCAGAAAATAAAAACAGAGGGAATACTTCCTAACTCATATGAGGTCAGTGTTATCCACCCAAATGCCAAAACCAAACAGACATTACAAGAAAAGGAAACTACAGACAGACACCTCTTATGAACATAAATGCAAAAATCCCAACAAAATATTAGCAAATCAAATCCAACAATGTATAAAAAGAATTATATACCATGACCAAGTGGGATTTGTCCCAGGTTTACAAGGCTGGTCCAACATTAGGAAATAAATTAATGTAATGTGATGTACCACATCAACAGGCTGAAGAAAGATCATGTGGTCATATCAGTAGATGCGGAGAAAGCATTTGACAAAATCCAACCTCGATTCATGATTACAAATTCAACAAACTAGGAATAGAGAGGAACTTCCTCAAGTTGATAGAGAGCATCTACAGAAAATCTACATTTTCCTTTATACTGGCAACGAAGAAGTGGAATTTGAAGTTAAAAACACATTATTTACATTAGCACCACTAAAGATAAAATACTGAGGTGTAAGTCTAACAAAATATGTACAAAATCTGTGAGGAAAAATACAAGACTGATAAAAATATATCAAAGAAGAGCTAAATAAATGAAGAGATAGTCTGTTCATGAGGAAAACTCAGTATTATCATGATGTCAGTCCTCTGCTTGATTTACAGATTCAACACAATCTCAATCACAGTCTCAGGGGCTAAGTGTGGTGGTTTATGCCTATAATCCAGCACTTTGGGAGGCTAAGGCAGGAGGATCGCTTAAGCCCAGGAGTTTAAGACCAGCCTAGGCAACATAGTGAGACCCCATATCTACAAAAAAATTTTTTTTGTTAGCTAGGCCTGGTGGCATGTGCCTATATTCCCAGCTATTTGGGAGGCTGAGGTGGGAGGACTGCTTGAGCCTAGGAGTCTGAGGTTTCAGTAAGTTATGATCATGCCACTGTATTCCAGCCTGGCTGACAGAGCAAGACCCTGTCTCTAAAAAACGAAAAAAACTCAGCAGGTTATTCTGTGGATATTAGCAAACTGATTGTAATGTTTATAAGGAGAGGTAAAAGACCCAGAATAGTCAACTCAATATTGAAAGAGAAGAGCAAGGTTGGAGGACCCATAGTACCCAATTTCAGTACTTTTACTATAAAGCCACAGTAATCAAGGCAGTGTGGTATTGGTCAAAAAACAGAAAAAATAGATCAATGAAACAGAACAGAGAGCCCAGATAAAAACCTGCATAAACATATGCAACTGATCTTTGACAAGGGAACAAACACACCTCAATGTAGAAAGGATGATCTTTTCAAGAAATGGTGCTGGAATAACTGAACATCCACGTGCCAAAAAAAAAAAAAAAAAAAGAATCTAGACACCCATCACAAAAAATTAACTTAAAATGTGTCTTATTCTGCTCAGACTTAAAACCACAAGCTGAGTGCTTAAAACAGTAACTTTCCTCCGCTCCCCTTCCCCTCCCGCTCCCCGTCCCCCTCCATATGGAGTCTCGTTCTGGTCACCCAGGCTGGGGTGCTGTAGCACAATCTCTGCTCACTGCAACCTCCACCTCCTGGGTTCAAGTGATTCTCCTGCCTCAGCCTCCCTAGTAGCTGGGATTACAGGCGCCCGCCACCACGCCCAGCTGGTTTTTGTACTTTTAGTAGAGATGGGGTTTTGCCATGTTGGCCATGCTGGTCTCGAACTGCTGACCTCAGGTGATCCGCCCGCCTCGGCTTCCCAAAGTGCTGGGATTACAGACATGAGCCACTGCGCCCGGCCTTATTTTCTTACAGTTCTGGAGGCTACACGTCCGAGATCAGTGTGTTAGCATGGTTAGTTTCTGGTGAGGGGTCTCTTTCTAGGTTACAGATGACTGCCTTCTCACTGTGTCCTCACATGGTGGAGAGAGAAAGTGCAAGTTCTCTGGTATCTCTTCTTATAAGAGCACTAATTCTGCCATGACGACCCTCATGACCTCATCTAACTCGAATGACCTCTCAAAGACCCCATCTCCAAACGTCATCACATTGAGGCTTCAACATGTGAATTTGGGGTGAGCAGGACACATTTCATTCCATGGCAAAATGGATCATACATCTAAATGTAAACCACAAAACTGTGAAACTTCTAGATGATAATATAGGAAAAAAAGAGGTGACCTTGGTTTGACAATGAGTTTTTAGGTACAACACCAAAGGCACAATCCATGGAAGAAACAATTGACAAGCTGGACTTCATTAAAATGAAAAACTTCTGCTCTGTAAAAGACGGCATCAACTTTGGGAGGCCGAGGCAGGCAGATCACCCGAGGTCAGGAGTTCGAGACCAGCCTGGCCAACATGGTGAAACCCCATCTCTACTAAAAATACAAAAACCAGCTGGGTGTGTGGTGGCACCTGTAATTCCAGCTACTCCAGAGGCTGAGGCAGGAGAATCGCCTGAACCCGGGAGGCAGAGGTTGCAGTGAGCCGAGACTGAGCCACTGCACTCCAGCCTGGGTGACAGAGTGAGACTCCATCTCCAAAAAAAAAAAAAAAAAAAAAGACAACGAGAGAATGAGAAACAGTCCATAGATTGGGAGAAGATATTTGTAAAAGGCACATATAAATGACCATTATCCAAAATACACAAAAAACTCAGTAAGAAAATGAACAGCCCATTTTAAAAAATGGGCGAAAGGCCTGAATAGGCTCCGAATGGAAGGAGATACCCAGATGACAGGTGGGCATTGTGAGAAGATCAATGTCATATCTCTAAGGAACTGCACATTAAAACAGTGAGATTCCACTGCACACCTATTAGAATGGCCAAAATCCACACCACTGATAACCCCCAGTGCTGGCCAAGATGTGGAACAGGAACTCTGATTCATTGCAGGTGGGGATGCAAAACGGTGGTCACTCTGGAAGACAGTTCGACAGTCTTACAAAACTAAACATACCTTTACCATGTGATCCAGCAGTTTTGTCCCTTTGTATTTACCCAAATGAATTGAAAATTTATGTCCACACAAAATCCTGCACACAGATATTTACGGCAGCCTTATTCATAATTACCAAACCTTATTCATAATTTCATAATTACCAAAAGTCGGAAGCAACTGAGACGTTCCTCAGTAGATAAGCGGGTAAATAAACCAGTGGCACATCCAGAGAATGGGATCATATTCAGGGCTAAAAGGAAATGATTGGCCGGGCACGGTGCTTCATGCCTGTAACCCCAGCACTTTGGGAGGCCAAGGCGGGTGGATCACTTGAGGTCAGCAGTTCGAGACGAGCCTGGCCAACATGATGAAACTCTGTCTCTACTAAAAATACAAAAATCAGCCAGGCATGGTGGTTGGTGCCTGTAATCCCAGCTACTCAGGAGGCTGAGGCAGGAGAATCACTTGAACCCGGGAGGCGGAGTTTGCAGTGAGCCCAGATGGTGCCACTGCACTCCAGCCTGGGCGAAACAGTGAAACTGCGTCTCAAAAATAAAATAAATAAAAATAAATGAGCTACGAAGCTATGAAAAGACATAGAGGAACCTTAAGTGCACATTACCAAGTGAAAGCAGTTAGTCTGAAAAGATGATACAGTTGGCCTTTGAACAACATGGGTTTGAACTTCCCAGGTCCACTTATATGTGGATTTTTTTCAACCAAACACATGTGAAACCCATGTCCAGAGGGCTGGCTTCATATAAGTGGATTCTGAAAGGCCAGCTGTGGAACTTGAGTATGCATGGATTTGGGTATACGTGGGGGTCTCGGACCCAATCCCCTTTGTTTACCAACGGACACCTATACTGTATGATTCCAACTATGTGACATTCTGGATGAGGCAACACTATAGAGACAGCAAAAAGATCAGCAGTGCCAAGGAGTAGAGAAGCAGGGTGAAGCCAGAGGATTTTTAGGGCGGTGACACTAGTCTGTACAGTACTGCAGTGGTGGATGCAAAACCCATAGATCACGCGGCACCACGAGTGAGCCCTAAACTGAGATTTTAGATGGTCATGATGTGTCAGTGTGGGTTCATTCATTGTGACGCTGTTATCACTGTTGCGGGAGGTAAGTAGTGGGGGAGGTGTGTGGGGGGTGGGGTATGCAGGAACTGTGTTTTCTGCTTAATATTGCTGTGAAATGCTCTAAAAATAAAGTATTTTCAAAAAAATCTCATGTTTCCCCAGATTTTCCATCTCTAGTGCTCTTCATCCCTTTCTGATGATCTGAGTTTCTAGCTGGCACCATTTCCCTTCAGCCCAAAGACCTTTGCATTTCTCGTGGTGCGAGTCTGCTGCCCCAGTTCTTAGTTTTCTCGTGTATGAAAGTACCTTTATTTTGCTTTTTTTTTTCCTTTTCCCATTCAGCACTTTAAAGCTGCTATTTTACTCTTTTCTGGCCTCCTTGACTTTCGATGAGGAGTCAGCCATTCATGGGATCACTGGCTCGTGGTGTGTCGTGGGTCACTCTCCTGCTTTTGAGGTGAGCTGCCTGTCGTTTCGGTTCCCAGCAGGTGGACTCTGATGTACTGCAGCACCGGCCTCTTGGTTTTTACTCTGCTAGGTGTTCATATAGCATCTTGATCCTGTAGATTTCTGTCTTTCATCAAATTTGGGAAATTTTTGACCATTATTTCTTCACATTTCTTTCTGTACCATTCTCTCTCTGGTCTCCTGAGATACCAATTATAAGTGACCATTTGAATTATCTAACAGATTTGTAAGGCTGTTTATTATTTTTAAAATATTTTTATCTGTATTCTTCAGATAATTTCTGTTCATCTCGATTCAAGTTGACTTACTCTTTCCTTTATTGTGCCCATTCAGCTGTTAGTCTGTCAAGTAATGCTTTATTTCAGAGATTGTGTTCTTCAGTTCCAGAATGACTGTTTTATTCCTTTTTATTATTTCTGTGTCTCTGCTGAGAGTTTTCACTCCCTGAGATTTTCCTGTTTTGTTTTACTTCACTGAGGATAATTATAATTCCTGTTTTTAAATCCTTGTCTGTTAGTTTCAACATCTGACTCATTTCAGGGTCAGATGGTTGATTTCCTTTTCTCACAAAAACGTGCTCTATTTTCTTGGTTCTTTATGTGTTTGTTAATTTTGGAGTGGAGACTGTGGATTCTGTATGTATGGGTGTATGTGTATCTGCATCGTGTGTATGTACATGTTTACGCATGTGAGTGTGTGTGAGTGTGTGTATGAGTGTGTGTGTACATCTGTGCAGCTGGTCACCAGCATGTACCTTCACAAGTTAGATTTTGCTGGCATATCCACGAGCTGTCACCACTGTGCCCTGGGCACTGAGCTTTCTGAGGCTTGTGTGTTGGCCTGTCCCAGGGCTCTGCCATCGTCAGTATTGGCCCCACTCACAGATGTTCTTTCCTGGGTTGGGCCAGCTCCTTTTGGACACTTTTGAGATCCACCTCGGGCCCGTCTGCGTTTGCGATGCTGCTTTTCTGTGGCTCCTTCCGGCTACTGGGACTGTTCCCTTCTGGCATTGCCTTCGGCAGCACTTCGAGGAACTCAGCCTCCAGGGCCTCCTGTTGTCCTTGAAAATGCAGTTTTATTTCATTATTTTTATTTATTTATTTTTGGGGGTTTTTTTTTGTTTCTTTTTTTTTGTTTTTTGAGACGGAGTTTCGCTCTTCTTGCCCAGGCCGGAGTGCGATGGCGCCATCTCAGCTCATCACAACCTGCGCCTCCCAGGTTCAAGTGATTCTCCTGCCTCAGCCTCCCGAGTAGCTGGGATTACAGGCACCTGCCACCACGCCCAGCTAATTTTGTATTTTTAGTAGAGATGGGGTTTCACCATGTTGGTCAGGCTGGTCTCGAATTCCTGAGCTTAGGCAATCTGCCCGCCTCAGCCTCCCAAAGTGCTGGGATTACAGGCGTGAGCCACCATGGTGGCCTATTTTTATTTTTTTTTGAGATTTAGTCTTGTTTTGTTGCCCAGGCTGGAGTGCAGTGGTGCCATCTTGGCTCAGTGCAACTTCTGCCTCCCAGGTTCAAGTGATTCTCCTGCCTCAGCCTCCCAAGTAGCTGGGATTACAGGTGCTTGCCACCATACCCTGCTAATTTTGTATTTTTAGTAGAGACAGGGTTTCACCATGTTGGCCAGGGTGGTCTCGAACTCCTGACCTCAGGTGATCCACCCACCTCGGCCTCCCAAAGTGCTGGGATTACGGGCATGAGCCACTGCGCCCAGCCTGAAAATGAAGTTAAAACACAACAAAACTTCATTTTGCTTGTTTGTATTTTTCTGTTGTTATTATTTTTGAGACGGAGTTTCACTCTTGTTGCCCAGGCTAGAGTGCAATGGCGCGATCTCGGCTCACAGCAACCTCCACCTCCCGGGTTCAAGCCATTCTCCTGCCTCAGCCTCCGGAGTAGATGGGATTACAGGCATGCACCACCACACCTGGCTAATTTTGTATTTTTAGTAGAGACGGGGTTTCTCCATGTTGGTCAGGCTGGTCTCGAACTCCGGACCTCAGGTGATCTGCCCGCCTCGGCCTCCCAAAGTGCTGGGATTACAGGCGTGAGCCATGGCACCTGGCATGTATTTTTCTGTTGTTATTTTTGTGGTTTCCTGAAGAAGACATGAGAAGATTCAGAGCTAAACTTTGTTCCCACTGGGACCAGATAATGAAATGCTTTTTTTTTTTTTGAAACAGAGCCTTGCTCTGTCACCAAGGCTGGAGTGCAGTGGTGCCATCTTGGCTCGCTGCAGCCTTACCCTCCCAGGTTCAAGTGATCCTCCCGCCTCAGCCTCCTGAGTGGGACTACAGGTGCGCTCCACCATGCCCAGATAATTTTTGTATTTTTGGTAGAGACAAGGTTTCACCATATTGGTCAGGGTGGTTTTGAACTCCTGGGCTCAAGCAATTTACCTGCCTTGGCCTCCCAAAGTGCTGGGATTACAGCATCAAAATACATGAGGTTTCCGGGCACAGTGGTCACACCTGTAATTCCGGCACTTTGGGCATTTTTGTTGCTATGTAGTTCATATGTCAAGCGTAGGCTATTTCAGCAAAATAAGGTTCCTGGCATCCCTGGGCTCTATATTTTGTAGAAAGCCCTGTAGGTTGGAGTCTAGTTGCAAGTCCATAGTTGGACAGAGGCAACCCTTTTGATCCTAGTTTAGGCGGGGGAGTGGAGTCGTGATTTGTGATCCTAGTTTAGGCGGGGGAGTGGAGTCATGATTTGTGATCCTAGTTTGGGGAGTGGAGTCATGATTTGTGATCCTAGTTTGGGGAGGTGGAGTCGTGATTTGTGATCCTAGTTTGGCGGGGTGGAGTCATGATTTGTGATCCTAGTTTTGGGGGGGTGGGGTTGTGATTTGTGATCCTAGTTTGGGGGAGTGGAGTTGTGATTTGTGATCCTGGTTTCAGGGAGTGGAGTCGTGATTTGTGATCCTAGTTTGGAGGGGTGGAGTCGTGATGGGAGTCAGCAGCAGGGAGGGTCTGTGTTCTCGGTGTTGAAGTTGGAGCGATGTCATCCCCCATGAGATGGGGGCTGTCCAGGTGGATGAATGGTGTGTCCCCAGTTGGCCATCCCCGTCAGGAAGGCCTTGTAGTCCCCTGGGAGGGCTGCTGTGTGCATCTCTGGCGCTGTTTCAAGTGTCACCCTGCATTTATTGTGATCCCTTGCAGACTAAAGTGAGGAAGCCCTTAGGAGGCAACTTCTTCCCAAACAGGTGCCCCCATGAGGTTGCCTTGAACAAGAAAACCATCCTGTTTCCACAAACAGGTGCCCCCAGGAGGTTGCCTTGAATGAGAGAACTGTGCTGTTTCCACAAACAGGTGCCCCCACGAGGTTGCCTTGAACAAGAAAACCATCCTGTTTCCACAAACAGGTGCCCCCACGAGGTTGCCTTGAACGAGAGAACTGTGCTGTTTCCACTTGCCTGACTGAGTCTAAATCTATGGGCAGAAGGCAGTTTGGACTTGCAGGCATGTTGCATCACGAGGCTGCCAATTTGACTGATTGGTCCTCCAACACCATGAGGAAGGGGCCGGGGATGAGTAAAGCCACACCCTCCTGGAGTTTGGGAAGACCCTGTGTGTCAGGTCAGCCTGGTCCCGCAGTTGCCATTTCCATGTAGCAAGGAGGCACCTGCCTGTGCTGGGTGGGAGGTGTCCTGAGCTGTGGCATGGTGGGGATTGGAGTCCACAGGGGTGCTGCTTCCACTCAGTGTGGGACCCTCAGTTTCTAATCGAGCTCAATAGGCGGATAGCGTTTGCCTTTCTACGGGGCATATTGAGCTGCTCTTTGGGGCTTGTTGAGTTCAGAACCCCATGGGCAACCAGGTGGACCATGTTTCCTCCTGAGACTCCACGAGGCAGAGTGGGTGTCGCCAGAGCTTCCATGCAAGAGTGGGACCTGGAGGCATGGTGGCATGGTGTGCTGGGCCGCCTGCTGGGCCGGGTGAGGGCTGTGGAGCCTCCCCACTGAGAGGTGGTTGCTTTATAGGTTATGGCAGAAAAGGGTCTGGGTATTAGAGTAAGATATGGAAACTCTTGTCTCCAAAACATGAAGAATCCAAATAAATGTGTCCGTCAAAGACCTGTGGGTGGTAACAGTGTCAGCAGTTTATGTTTAACGATTAATAGGATCTGCTGCACCCTGACCAGACAGTGCCCAAGAATTTTACTGAAGGCACCGGCCCCTGTATTTTATGTGGGGTGATAGCATAACCCTTTTTTTTTTTTTTTTTTTTTTTTTGAGACAGAGTCTCGCTCTGTTGCCCAGGCTGGAGTGCAGTGGTGCGATCTCGATCTCGGCTCACTGCAAGCTCTGCCTCCCGGGTTCACGCCATTCTCCTGCCTCAGCCTCCCAAGTAGCTGGGACTACAGGCGCCTGCCACCACGCCTGGCTAATTTCTTCTATTTTTAGTAGAGACGGGGTTTCACCGTGTTAGCCAGGATGGTCTCGATCTCCTGACCTTGTGATCCACCCGCCTTGGCCTCCCAACCAAAGTGCTGGGATTACAGGTGTGAGCCACTGCGCCCAGCCTCGTAGCTGGTTTTTTGTTTGTTTGTTTGTTTGTTTTTGCGACGGAATCTCGCTCTGTCACCCAGGCTGGAGTGCAGTGGCGAGATCTGCACTCTGACTGCAAGCTCCACCTCCCGGGTTCACACCATTCTCCTGCCTCAGCCTCCCGAGTAGCTCCCAGGTGGCTCATGCCTGTAATCCCAGCACTTTAAAAGGCCAAAGCGGGCAGATCACTTGAGACCAGGAGTTCAAGACCAGCCTGGCCAACATAGTAAAACCCCATCTCTACTAAAAATACAAAAATTAACTGGGTGTGGTAGTGAGCACCTGTAATCCTAGCTACTCGGGAGGCTGAGGTGGGAGGATTGCTTGAGCCTGGAAGGTCAAGACTGCCATGAGCTGAGATCATCCACTGTACTCCAGCCTGGGCAACAGAGCAAGACTGTCTTAAGCAAAATAAAATAGGCCGGGTGCCGTGGCTCACGCCTGTAATCCCAGCACTTTGGGAAGCTAAGGCAGGCGGATCATCGGAGGTCAGGAATTCAAGACCAGCCTGGCCAACATGGTGAAACCCCATCTCTACTAAAAATACAAAAAAATTAGCAGGCATGGTGGTGGGCGCCTGTAATCCCAGCTACTTGGGAGGCTGAGTCAGGAGAATTGCTTGAACTCGGGAGCCGGAGGTTGCAGTGAGCCGAGACCACGCCATTGCACTTCAAACTGGGCAACAAGAACCAAAAAAAACCTCCATCTCAAAAATTAACAATAATAAAGTAGGCCGGGCACGGTGGCTCACGCCTGTAATCCCATCACTTTGGGAGGCCAAGGCAGATGGATCACCTGAGGTCGGGAGTTCAAGACCAGCCTGACCAACTTGGAGAAACCCCAACTCTACTAAAAATATAAAAATTAGCTGGGCGTGGTGGCGCCTGCCTGTAATCCCAGCTACTTGGGAGGCTGAGGCAGGAGAATCACTTGAACCCAGGAGGTGGAAGTTGCGGTGAGCCAAGATCATGCCATTGCACTCTAGCCTGGGCAACAAGAGCGAAACTCTGTCTCAAAAATAAATAAATAAATAAATAAATAAATAAATAAATAAATAAATAAATAAAATAAAGGAAGGTGAACTCCCGAGGGTTTGTTCGTGATTCCCTTTATTTTAAAAGCTTTCCCTTTTGTAGGCTCCTCAGGAACTACTGTGACTTGGGCCCCCTTATAAAGTACTGAAAGTTTTTCTTGTCCCAATTAATAGAGTAGTAAAAGGGTAATTGTCCCCTCAGAGTGGGATAGTCCCTGGAGGACCACCAAGTCCCCAGGCTAAGGGATGAGGAGGCTGCCATTCTCTCAAGTCGGGAAAGGAGGGAGGGTATTAGTGTTCTGTGAGAACAGGCTGTCGAGGGTCCTCAGCCTTCAGAAATGCGGCTGCGTGAGCCCAGGTGTTTGACGGCCACCAGCTTGTTTTCTGGTTGTCCCATGATGAGGGCGTTGGGCACAGCCGCCCAGCGTGGGGGCCCATGAGGGTCCGGTTCTTAGTCCAGGGATTTGGGGAAGGGTTTCCAGGTGCTCAGGGAAAATAATGGTGAGGCCTGGGTCCCGCTGTGGGGGGCCAGGGTCAGTTGAGGTCCGGCTGGGGGCCCTCAGCAGGCGACTGCCGAGCACCAGGAAGCAGCTGCCCATGTCTCACCTTTGCACAAGTCTTGTCCAGAGCTGCCGTGTGACTGAGAGGAGCCTCTTCAGGACTGGAGATAGTCCCATGGTACCCCGGCAGTGGCATTCAAAGAGACAACAGACCCCTCTTGCTGTCTGCCATCACTTAGCAGGAGGTGGGTGTGGTCTCCAGGGCCACTCTACAGTGAGCTCTGGCTGTTGTCACTATGGTGGGCGGTTGAGTCTGGGCCACACCTTGAGTATCCACGGCACGGAGGCTCCGAGTGCGCCCGTCCTTCCCACCCGGTGAGGCTTCCGTGACCTCGTCAGTGCTTTTTCTGATTTGTGGGCATGGGATTGGCCACATTGAGGGACAGATGTGGGGGATGTGGGCCAGTGTCCTGGAGGAATTTAGTACACATTTCTGTGGGAGTGAGCGCTAACTCTGACCTGGTACTACATGCCCTGAGTAGCTGGCCAGCCCCCTTTTCACTCTGGCAATACAAAAATACAAAATCTCTTTTTTTTTTTTTTTTTTTGAGACGGAGTCTTGCTCTGTTGCCCAGGCTGCAATGGGGTGATCTCAGCTCACTGCAACCTCTGCCTCCTGGGTTCAAGCAATTCTCCCACCTCAGCCTCCCAAGTAGCTGGGATTACAGGTGCACTCCACTACTGGCCAGCTAATTTTTGTATTTTAAGTAGAGATGGGGTTTTACCATGTTGGCTAGGATGGTCTCGAACTCCTGACTTCAGATGATCTACCCTCCTCAGCCTCCCAAAGTGTTGGGATTACAGGCGTGAGCCACCATGCCCAGCCAATGTAAAATCTCTTTTTTTTTTATTTTTTTGAGACGGAGTCTTGCTTTGTCCCCTGGCTGGAGTGCAGTGGTGCGATCTTGGCTCACTGCAACCTCTGCCTCCCTGGTTCAAGTGATTCTCCTGCCTCAGCCTCCCAAGTAGCTGGGATCACAGGCATGCACCACCACGTCTGGCTAATTTTTGTATTTTTAGTAGAGACGGGGTTTCTCTGTGTTGGTCAGGCTGGTCTCAAACTCCTGACCTCAGGTGATCTACCCACCTCGGCCTCCCAAAGTGCTGGGATTACAGGCGTGAGCTACCACGCCCGGCCTGCAAAATCCCTTAAGACAAATTTGAATTTTCTACCACAGAGGAATTTTGGTCTCCAGTTCTAATTCGCCCGTCTCCTGTGATTTTGACCTTTGAGATTATTACCAGAAGAATCTGAGGGTGACCTCTGTGTGTCCCTACCTTTCAGGCAGCGCCTCCCTCTTCAGGGTGTCCCAGTGACCTCTGTGGGAGGTCACTGACCCAGGGTCAGCACCCACCAGCGCCGTCATTTTCTGGTGTCAGGGTTGGCCCCCAGGCCCCAGGACCACAGGGCCAGCGGCACCAAGTAGAGTTCATGCCGTTGCTGTGAGCCTTACACTCATCTCAGAGCCAGGTGGAGGCCTCCAGCGTCCGGTGGGGCAGGAACCGGGTGCTCAGGGCATTTGCTTTTGCCCACCAATCGTAGCCGGTTTGTGCCAGGGATTAGACCCGTGACACCCGCTGGAGTTGGGGGACAGGGCCGACAGCCACAGGGACAAAGCATGGATATTTGCAAGGGGTCATGACCAGCCCTGCAGGGATTGCCCATGGTCTGGGGTCTGCAGTAGACCTGGATACCTGTGAACGCCACGGGAGGTGTCCTTACAGCCAGGAGCTCCGCTCGGCTCAGCGCTGGGACAAAGGAAAACACCAGGCAGGTGTGGCATGGGAAGGTCCCAACAGAGGGACTGTGGTCTGAGTGGGCGCCTCCTGGGTCAGGATTTCGGAAACACAGAGCCACGCTTACCTGCCCAACAGTCATTCAGGCTGCACAGTTTAGGCATCTGGCACGTGCAGCCTAAGATTCTGCCGGCTGCGGAACAGACCTAGCGGCATCTCTGTCTTCCCAGATGTAGTTGTCCCCACTGGCGGTGATTTTAGTCAGCCAGGCGCAGCTGAAGCATCTCATGCTAAGCATGGGTGCGCTCCCTCCCAGCAACGGTGTTAGCTGTTCCAGGGTTTTTTCTTTTTTTCTTTTTTCCTTTTGTTTCTCTTGAGAAAACCTCTTCAGTGATCAGACACAAGATGGAAAATAAAGATTTGCTTACGTATATGTCTTGGGGGTACACGGCACGCCTGAAGGCCACATGGAGGTCGGCGCGAGGAGAGAGGATGGAGGGCGAGGATCTGGGGCATCTGCCTTCCTGGGTTCCAGGGTATGGGTGGAAGCCCAGATGGAGAAGAGGGGTGCAAGGGTTTGAAGCAAACACGTCCAAGGAGGGCTCCTGCTCCATTATCAGTCCAGGTTTTGCGTCCAGTCAAGCAGCTGTGTGTAGGTGGGGTTGTAGCGGTGGCCTCTGACCCACAGGGACCAAGAGGGAGGGGTTGGGAACTCAGGCCGCTGCCGGAGGCCTCATGGCAGCCGGAGCTCATGTCAAAGAGCATAGCACATGCGGAGGCAGCTCAGAAACAGGCGTGCTGCACTGTGGTCTGCTTTAGAGGTGGGGTCTCAACATCTTGCCCAGGCAGGTCTCAAACTTTTGGCCTCAAGTGATCCTCCCACCTCAGCCTCTCAAAGTGCTAGGATTACAGGCGTGAGCCACCACACCCAACTTAAGTAATATTTTATCAACATTTTTGTTTTGTTTTGTTTTGAGACGGAGTCTCCCTCTGTTGCCCAGGCTGGAGTGCAGTGGTATGATCTCGGCTCATTACAACCTCTGCCTCCCGGGTTCAAGCAATTCTGCCTCAGCTTCCCGTGTACCTGGGACTACAGGCATATGCCACCACGCCTGGCTAATTTTTGTATTTTTAGTGGAGACAGGGTTTCTCCATGTTGGCCAGGCTGCTCTCGAACTCCTGACCTCAGATGATCCACCCGCCTCAGCCTCCCAAAGTGCTGGGATTACAGGTGTGAGCCACCCCGCCTGGCCTTTATCAACAATTTATTACATACAAGCAAATTATTACTGCTGCTAGTATTAAGTTACCTACTGTGGTTTGTTTTTTGAGGTCTGATAGGTTCTAAGGCTGTCCAATGTATTTTTTTTTTTTTTTTTTTGAGACGGAGTCTCGCTCTGTCGCCCAGGCTGGAGTGCAGTGGTGCGATCTTGGCTCACTGCAAGCTCCGCCTCCCGGGTTCACGCCATTCTCCTGCCTCAGCCTCCCAAGTAGCTGGGACTATAAGTGCCTGCCACCACACCCAGCTAATTTTTTGTATTTTTAGTAGAGACGGGGTTTCACCGTGTTGGCCAGGATGGTCTCCATCTCCTGACCTCGTGATTCCCCCGCCTTGGCCTCCCCAAGTGCTGGGATTACAGGCGTGAGCCACCGCGCCCGGCTTGGCTCAGTCTAATGTAATTGGCCAACTCGTCTTTTTACCATGACCTGTCAATCGTGCATAGGTTTTGAATTATCTAGAATTGATGTACAGCACTTTTTCCCCCAGCATGTTATGGAAGATTTCAGACATACATCAAATTTGGAAGAGCTTTATAGTGAAGACCCATACACCCACCACCAAGGTTCTGTGTTAACATTTATCATGCTTGGAAATCATGTTTCCCTATCCCACTATCCCTCTACCAGACCCATCATGTACTTTGTTTTTGTTTTTAAAGTAAATTGCAAGGCTGGGCACAGTGGCTCACACCTGTAATCCCAACACTTTGGGAGGCTGAGGTGGGCGGATCACTTGAGGCCAGGAGTTTGACACAAGCCTGGCCAACATGGTAAACTCCGTCTTTACAAAAAAATAAAAAAATTAGCCAGGCGTGGTGGCACATGCCTGTAGTCCCAGCTACTCCGGAGGCTGAGGCATGAGAATCACTTGAACCTGAGAGGCAGAGGTTGCAGTGAGTTGAGATCGCATCATTGCACTCCAGCCTGGGTGACGGAGAAAGACTCTGTCTTAAAAAAAAAAAATGCAGCTGTCAGGACATGTCCTTTATTGAATTTAATTTTATTTTTACTTTTAAAATTATTGGGCCGGGCATGGTGACTCATGTCTGTAATCCCAGCACTTTGGGAGGCCGAGGTGGGCGGATCACCTGGAGTCAGGAGTTCGAGACCTGCCTGGCCAGCATGGTGAAACCCTGTCTCTACTGAAAATACAAAAAATCAGCAGGGCGTGGTGGCTCACGCCTGTAATCCCAGCTCCTCAGGAGGCTGAGGCAGGAGAGTTGCTTGAACCTGGGAGGCAGAGGTTGCCGTGAGCAGAAATCGTGCCACTGCACTCCAGCCTGGGCAATAGAGCAAGACTCTGTCTCAAAATGCATAGATAACATACATAAAATAACAAAGAAGCAGCACTAACAGGACGCTTCCTTTAAATACATATGTGTCATTAATTGGAGATCAGTGTTTGTTTACAGTTTTTTCTTTTGAGGTGAAAATTATATAAATGAAATGCACAAATCTTAAGTGTGAATTTGCTGAGTTTTAACAAATAGACACACTTGTGTAAACCAAACCTCTATCAAGATATATAATGTTATTGTTGCCCAGAAAGTTCCATCGGTACACAGTATACCATTGAGGAAACACACACTTTTGGAGCTGGAGGAAGACGAAGAACTGCATAGTTTCGTGAAACTATGGTTCTGATAGCCACTGTTTGTGGTCATTTTGACTAAAGTGTTGATTGAGATATTCTAAACTTGCAGGGGAGCAAGGCTCCTGTGTGTGGTTTGTGCCAGACTTAGACCAGGAAGCAAGGTGGCCTTAGCTCATGGCCCAGGCATCCCGTGGATGACGTCAGTGTAGTGAACCCTAACATCATGGGGCTTCCTCGGTCCTCCGGGGGAGCCATCATCTGGAAGCATTTAAGTCCTGTTGGGGCAGTTGGAGGAGAGTCCGTCTTCAGTCTTAATCCCATGTGTCTGCGCGACACAGTGCCCAAGGTGCTGCTGTCTCCTCTGAGGGGGGCGGTTCCCACGACCGTCACTGGGTGTCTGAATGGCATGAGATCTTGAGTAAGATCTTGTCAGCCAACTGGGGAAAGATGATTCTGTTTTTGTTTGTTCGCCTTTGAAGGGGCAGTGGTGAGCACAGGTGCCCTGCATTAGAAGTTTCGAGTGTGTTTCGGGGGTGTCCAAGAAGGAGGTTAGTGATGGGCACCCCGGAGAGCCACAGGCTCCGTCCTGTCCTGCCCTACCGCCATGTCTGACCTGGCCCGGCAGGCGTCTCTGGCAGTGCCTCCATGTGGACTTTGTATCCAGGCTGAGTTTCAGTCGTGTTTGTTGGGGGTCCCTTGGCAGGGCCCTGCCCCGGGACGCCCCGTCGCAGCGTCACATGCCAGTGTCACCCCCGGGACGCCCCGTCGCAGCGTCACATGCCAGTGTCACCCCCGGGACGCCCCGTCGCAGCGTCACATGCCAGTGTCACCCCCGGGACGCCCCGTCGCAGCGTCACATGCCAGTGTCACCCCCGGGACGCCCCGTCGCAGCGTCACATGCCAGTGTCACCCCCGGGACGCCCCGTCGCAGCGTCACATGCCAGTGTCACCCCCGGGACGCCCCGTCGCAGCGTCACATGCCAGTGTCACCCCCGGGACGCCCCGTCGCAGCGGCACGCGCTGTGCTTTCCGTGGCTGTCTTACCACGGAAGGCCTCTGGGCGGCAGCAGAGCCCACCCTTGCTGCTCTTTCAGTCCAGGGATTGGCGCTCTGGGCCCCGCGCCTGGAGGGGCTTTAGGCCCGGTGGATAAAACATGGCTCTCCACTTCCCTGTTTGGTTCCTGAGTTCTCTTTTGGCACTTTTCAGCCGACTCTGGTGATGTACGAAGGGAGAGGCACTGCTGGGCCTGCCATACAGCTGCACAGTGAGTGAGCGGCCTCGAGTTGGTGGGTGAGGGCACCCGCTCCTGGGAACAACGCCAGCCCTGGGTGGGCTCAGCCCTGCCTGCAATGTTGAGAAACTGTTACAATTGAACATCTTTATCTGAGTAGTCACAAAAAACACATGTAACCTGTTGATAGCCTGATGAGAGATCTGTTTTGGTTTTGGTTCTTCAGAGACAGGGTCTCACTCTGCTGCCCAGGCTGGAGTGCGGAGGTGCGGTCTCAGCTCACTGCAGCCTCCACCTCGTGGGCTCAAGCTCTCCTCTCATTTCAGCCTCCCAAAGTGCGGGGATCACAGGCGCGAGCCACCATGCCCATCCCAAGAGATCTATTTTTAAGCGGGCAGTTACGTTGATATGAGACATCAGGGAGGACCCTGGCATTTAAAAGGAATCTTAGGCCGGGTGCGGTAGCTCACGCCTGTGATCCCAGCACTTTGGGAGGCCGAGGCGGGTGGATGGCGAGGTCAGGAGATCGAGACCATCCTGGTTAACACAGTGAAACCCCGTCTCTACTAAAAATACAAAAAATTAGCCGGGCGTGGTGGCGGGCGCCTGTAGTCCCAGCTACTCGGGAGGCTGAGGCAGGAGAATGGCGTGAACCCGGGAGGCGGAGCTTGCAGTGAGCCGAGATTGCGCCACTGCACTCCAGCCTGGGCGACAGAGCAAGACTCTATCTCACAAAAAAAAAAAAAAAAATAAAAATAAATAAATAAAAGGAATCTTATATGCTTGCTAAAAGGGCACTACGCATGGAGAAAATGACATAAAATTTTGTTTTCGTTTTTATCCCAATTTTTCTTTTGACTTTTATAACCAGGAGCTTTAGGAGTAAACTCGTATTTTTAAATTTTAACATGAATATAGGTCAGGCACACTTCATTTTATTCCACTTCACTTTGTTGTGGCTTTGCAGATACTGCTGCTTTTTTTTTTTTTTTTTTTCCATAGATGGAGTCTTGCTCGTCGCCCAGGCTGGAGTGCAATGGCGCGATCTCAGCTCACTGCAACCTCCGCCTCCCAGGTTCTAGTGATTCTCCTGCCTCAGCCTCCCAAGTAGCTGGGATTACAGGCGCGCGCCACCATGCCTGGCTAATTTTGTATTTTTAGTAGAGACAGGGTTTCACCATGTTGGCCAGGATGGTCTCAAACTTCTGACCTCAGGTGATCTGCCCCCCTGGGCCTCCAAACTGTTGGGATTACAAGTGCGAGCCACTGCGCCTGGCGAACATTTTTTTTTACAAATTGAAGGTTTGTGACGACCTTGTGTTGAGCAAGTCTGTCAGTGCCATTTTCAACAGCACGTGCTCACTTCTTTGTGTCACATTTTGGTAATTCTTGCAGTATTTCAAACCTTTTTTTTTTTTTTTTTGAGACGGAGCCTTGCTCTGTCGCCCAGACTGGAGTGCAGTGGCGCGATCTCGGCTCACTGCAAGCTCCGCCTCCCGGGTTCATGCTATTCTCCTGCCTCAGCCTCCCGGGTAGCTGGGACTACAGGCGCCCACCACCACGCCCGGCTAATTTTTTGTATTTTTAGTAGAGATGAGGTTTCACCATGTTAGCCAGGATGGTCTCGATCTCCTGACCTCGTGATCCGCCCGTCTCGGCCTCCCAAGGTGCTGGGATTGCAGGCATGAGCTACTGCGCCTGGCCTCAAACCTTTTTTTTATATCTGTTATGGTGCTCTGTGATCTGCGATCTTTAATGTTGCTATTGTAATTGTTTCAAGGGCACCATGAACTCTGCCTGTATGAGACGGTGAGCTTAATCGATGAGTGTTGGCTGTCCTGACCCACTGATCAGCCATTCCCTACCTCCCTCTCTCTCTCCTAGGGCCTCCATATTCCCTGAGACTCAGCAATATCGAAACTAGGCCAATTAATAACCCTGGAATGGCCTATAAGTGTTCAAATGAAAGGAAGAGTCACACACCTCTCGCTTTATTGCAAATGTTAGAAATGACCAAGTTTAGTAAGGAAGGTGCGGTGAAAACTGAGACAGGCCAAAGCCAGGCCTTTTGCGTCTGTTAGCTAAGTTGTGAATGCAAAGCAAAACTTCTTCAGGCGTGGTGGATCAAGCCTGTAGTCCCAGCTTCTCAGGAGGCTGAGACAGGAGGATCGCTTGAGCCCAGGAGTTTGAGGCTGCAGTGAGCTATGATCACACCACTGCACTCCAGCCTGGGTGACAGAGTGAGACCCTGTCTCAAAAAGAAAATAACAGTAAAAAGTAAAGTTCTTGAAGGAAATTGGGAGTGCTATTCTGGTGAACATATGAATGACAAGAAGGTACAGCAGCCTTATTGCTGATATGGAGACAGTTTCAGTCCCCCTCAAACTGTCTGGATAGAAGATCAAACCAGACACATTCCCTTAAGCCAAAGCTTCGCCTCAAGAGCAAGGCCCCAACTCTCTTCAATTATGCGAAAGCTGAGAGGGGTAAGGAAGCTGCAGAAGAAAACCTTGAAGCTGGCAGAGGTTGGTTCATGAGGGTTAAGGAAAGACGTAGTCTCCATAACAAAAGCACAAGGTGAAGCAGCCACTGCTGATGGAGAAGCTGCAGCACGTTGTCCAGAAGACCTAGCTAAGATGATTGATGAAGGTGGCTACACTGAATAATAGATTTTCAGTGTAGACAAAACAGCCTTCTATTGCAAGAAGATGCCATCTAGGACTCCCATAGCTAGAGAGAAGGCAATGCCTGGCTTCAAAGCTTCAAAGGACAGGCTGCCTCTCTTGTTAGGGACTATGTACACAAATTGTATTGTTTATTGAATGTTTACAAATCAGACCCAGCCATGGAACCGGCACAGATTAGGAAACAAAGCATTATCAGCTCTACAGAAGCCTAGTGGTGTCCCTGCCAGGCACTACTGCCCCAGGGATAATCACTGAGTTTTGCTTGGTTTTGAACTTTTTATAAATGGAATTTTACAGCATACACTCTTCAATGTTTGGGTTCTTTCACTAAAAAAAATTTTTTTTCAGAGACAGGGCGTCCCTCTGTTGCCCATACTGGAGTGCAGTGGCACCATCATAACTGACTAATGTCAAACTCCTGGGCTCAAGTGGTCTTCCCACCTCAGCCTCCTGAGTAGATGGGACTACAGGTGTGCACCACCATGCCCAGCTAAGTTTTCTTTTTTTCTTTTCTTTTTTTTCTTTTTTGGAGACAGAATCTTGCTCTGTTGCCCAGGCTGGAGTGCAGTGGCGCGATCTCGGCTCACTGCAAGCTCCGCCTCCCGGGTTCACGCCATTCTCCTGCCTCAGCCTCTCGAGTAGCTGGGACTACAGGCACCTGCCACCGCGCCTGGCTAATTTTTTGTATTTTTAGTAGAGACGGTGTTTCACCGTGTTAGCCAGGATGGTCTCGATCTCCTGACCTTGTGATCCACCCGCCTCGGCCTCCCAAGGTGCTGGGATTACAGGCGTGAGCCACCGCGCCCAACCTATGCCTGGCTAAGTTTTCTAATAGTCTTTATTTTTATTATTATTATTATTTTGAGACAGAGTCTCACTCTGTCACCCAGGCTGGAGTACAATGACACAATCTTGGCTCACTGCAACCTCCATCTCCTGGTTCAAGCAATTCTCCTGCCTCAGCCTCCCGAGTAGCTGGGACTACAGGTATGCGCCACCACACCTGGCTAATTTTTACATATTTCTTAGTAGAGACGGGGTTTTGCCATGTTGGCCAGGCTGGTCTTGAACTCCTAGCCTCAAGTGATCTGCCCACCTCTGCCTCCCAAAGTGCTGGGATAACAGATGTGAGCCATTGTGCCCAGCCTGATTTTCTAATACTATACTAACTTTGCATTCTTTTTTTTTTTTTTTTTTTTTTTTTGAGACAGAGTCTCGCTGTCGCCCAGGCTGGAGTGCAGTGGCACAATCTCAGCTCACTGCAACCTCTGCCTCCTGGGTTCAGGCAATTCTCCTGTCTCAGACTCCCGAGTAGCTAGGACTACAGGTGAGGATCATCACACCCAGCTAATTTTTGTATTTTTGATAGAAATGGGGTTTCACCATGTTGGCCAGGTTGGTCTCAAACTCCTGGCCTCAAGTGATCCACCCTCCTGGGCCTCCCAAAGTGCTGGGATTATAGGTGTGAGCCACCACGCCAGCCTAACACTGCATTCTTGAAATAAACCCACTTGTTGATGATGTGTTATCCTTGTTACATATATGACAGGATTTGGCTTCTGAAAATTTTGTTTAGGGATTTTACATCCGTCATTGTGAATGAGATCAGCCTTCAGTTTTGTTTTCTCGTACTGTTGTCAAATTTTGGTATCAAAGATGAATTAACCTCACATACACTGTTGGAGCATGTAGCATGTCTCTGTTTTCTGGATGTAACTGATGAAGAATAAAACAGAATGAACAAATAACCGAAATGAAAAAGGAGGCACCACCTAGATATTTCAGACTATCATAAAAAGATATATTGGGCTGAGTGCAGTGGCTCACACCTGTAATCCCAGCACTTTGGGAGGCTGAAGCAGGAGGATTGCTTGAGGTCAGGAGTTGGAGACAAGCCTGGCAACACAGTGAGACCCTGTCTCTACAAAAAAATAAGGAATTAGCCAGACTACAGGTGGTGCACACCTGTAGTCCCAGCTACTCGGGAGCCTGAAGTGGGAGGAGCACTTGATCCCAAGAGTTCAAGGCTGCAGTGAGCTGTGATCACAACACTGTACTCCAAGCCCCTGTCTTTTAAAAAAAGAGGCCGGGTGCGATGGCTCACGCCCGTAATCCCAGCACTTTGGGAGGCCGAGGCGGACGGATTGCCTGAGCTCAGGAGTTTGCAACCAGCCTAGGCAACACGGTGAAACCCCGTCTCTATTAAAATTACAAAAAATTAGCCGAGCATAGTGGTGAGCATCTGTAGTCGCAGCTACTCGGGAGGCTGAGGCAGGAGAATCGCTTGAACCCAGGAGGTGGAGGTTGTGGTGAGCCGAGATCGTGCCATTGCACTCCAGTCTGGGCAACAAGAGTGAAACTCTGTCTCAAAGAAAAAAAAAACAAGAAAGAAAGAAAAAAGGTGGTGGTGGATACATAATTGTTTGAGTGCTAAATAAATTGACTCATAATTTAAAACCCTTCCTCAGAAAAAATGCCAAGCCCAGATGGCTTCACCGACTTGTACTAAACAGTTAAGGAAGAAATAGCAACTATCTTACATATATATCTATGTTCAATAAAAGTTGGTTTATGCTGTGCATATAATTTTAGAACCTGATTCTTCTCTTTGTAATATGAGCTTTTCATTTAATTATATATCTTTCTATTATAATAATGGTAGAATTGTATTCCATTATGTGAATAGTTTTTACTGGGTTTAAACAGCCCCGTTTTTGGACATTTGGGTTCTTCCTTGTTTCCCCCCAATTACAAAATGCAGCGAGCATCATTGTAGTCATTTCAACGTACATATGGCAGTCCACTTAGGATGGATCCTAGGGGAGTAGTTTGGGGGACAAAGGGTGTGTGAGATATCAATTTTTTGGCTACATATTGTCAGCTTTTTAAAAAAGTTATATTTTGGCTAGGCACAGTGGCCTGCACCTGTAGTCCCAGCTACTTGGGAGGCTGAGGCAGGAAGATTGCTTGAGCCTGAGAGGTCAAGGCTGCTGTGAACTGTGGTTGCACCGTGGCACTCCAGCCTGGGAAACAGAGCAAGACACTATCTCAAAAAAAGGTCATTTATTTACAGTCCCACCAACAGTACACGGCATGATTGTTGCTTTAATTCTTTTTTTTTTTTTTTTTTTTTTTTTGAGACGGAGTCTTGCTCTGTTGCCCGGGCTGGAGTGCAGTGGCGCGATCTCAGCTCACTGCAAGCTCTGCCTCCCGGGTTCGCTCCGCCTCCTGGGTTCACGCCATTCTCCTGCCTCAGCCTCCTGAGTAGCTGGGACTACGGGCGCCTGCCACCTCGACTGGCTAATTTTTTTGTATTTTTAGTAGAGACGGGGTTTCACCGTGTTACCCAGGATGGTCTCGATCTCCTGACCTCGTGATCCGCCCACCTCGGCCTCCCAAAGTGCTGGGATTACGGGCGTGAGCCACCGCGCCTGGCCCTGGCCCAGATTCTTTACATCAGGAACTCGGTGGATATTTTTGTGCATCACAGCCAGGCCCAGGCCTTCCTGTCTGTCACTGCTAACTTACTTCTTTTGTCAGGTTTCAGCTTGAATCTCACTCCTGGCATTTTCTCTGACCATGTAGACTAGGTTGGGGCCAATAACACATTTACACAGTTTCTGTCACATGGTGTATCATTATTTTTAAGAACTTACTTGCTATCTAATTGAGTAGAACATAAGCTTCATGAGATCAGAGACTATATTTACCTTCCTGTATATTCCTTACCTAGAACACGCCTGGCCTTCTAAATATTTGTTGAATAATTTGCCAATTTGATAGGTGAAAAATCGTAATTTGTTTTGATTTGACTACTTTGATAACTAATGAACTTGAATATTTTTATCCTGTTGATTGGCCATCCCATCTTTACTTCTGAATTCTGCCTTTCACATCTTTTCCTATTGGAGCATCTGCCTTCTGCATGATGGTTTATAGGAGCTTCTACCACATTATGGACATTATGCCTGATGGAAGGTTTTCTCTAGTAACTCATTTATATTTTTCTTTAACAGATTCTGAGGTTGGGACCAAGAAGGAACTATCTATTTTAAACCAAAAATTTTCCGAAGAAGTAAAAACCCCAGAATTTGTATCAAGAAGACTCTTAAGGGATAATGCACAGGCCGCTGAGTTTCGGGAAGCATGGGGCCGTGAGGGCAAACTCAAAGAGCGCGTGGGAAATTCTGCCGGGCAGAGTTTGAACAAACCCAATATTCACAAGAGAGTTTTAACAGAAGCTACCGTGGGCAGGGAAAGATCTTTGGGAGAAAGAACCCAAGAGTGTAGTGCATTTGATAGAAACTTGAATCTGGACCAAAATGTTGTTAGACTTCAAAGAAATAAAACAGGAGAGAGGGTCTTTAAATGTGATATATGCAGCAAAACCTTCAAATATAATTCAGACCTAAGTAGACACCAGAGAAGTCACACTGGGGAGAAGCCGTACGAATGTGGCCGGTGTGGGCGAGCCTTTACTCACAGCTCAAATCTTGTTCTGCACCATCACATTCACACTGGAAATAAACCATTTAAATGTGATGAATGTGGGAAAACTTTTGGACTCAATTCTCACCTCCGTCTTCATCGGAGAATTCACACTGGAGAAAAACCCTTTGGCTGTGGTGAGTGTGGGAAGGCTTTCAGTCGAAGCTCAACTCTTATTCAACATCGGATCATTCACACAGGAGAGAAACCCTACAAGTGTAATGAATGTGGAAGAGGCTTTAGCCAGAGCCCCCAGTTAACTCAGCATCAGAGAATTCACACTGGAGAGAAGCCGCATGAATGCAGTCACTGTGGGAAGGCCTTCAGTCGAAGCTCCAGCCTTATTCAGCATGAGAGAATTCACACTGGAGAGAAGCCCCATAAATGCAATCAGTGTGGGAAGGCCTTCAGTCAGAGCTCAAGCCTTTTCCTCCATCATCGGGTTCATACTGGAGAGAAACCCTATGTATGTAATGAATGCGGCAGAGCCTTTGGTTTTAACTCTCATCTTACTGAACACGTAAGGATTCACACAGGAGAAAAACCCTATGTTTGTAATGAGTGCGGCAAAGCCTTTCGTCGGAGTTCCACTCTTGTTCAGCATCGAAGAGTTCACACTGGGGAGAAGCCCTACCAGTGCGTTGAATGTGGGAAAGCTTTCAGCCAGAGCTCCCAGCTCACCCTACATCAGCGAGTTCACACTGGAGAGAAGCCCTATGACTGTGGTGACTGTGGGAAGGCCTTCAGCCGGAGGTCAACCCTCATTCAGCATCAGAAAGTTCACAGCGGAGAGACTCGTAAGTGCAGAAAACATGGTCCAGCCTTTGTTCATGGCTCCAGCCTCACAGCAGATGGACAGATTCCCACTGGAGAGAAGCACGGCAGAGCCTTTAACCATGGTGCAAATCTCATTCTGCGCTGGACAGTTCACACTGGTGAGAAATCCTTTGGATGTAATGAATATGGAAAAGCTTTCAGTCCCACCTCACGACCCACTGAAGATCAGATAATGCATGCTGGGGAAAAGCCCTATAAATGTCAAGAATGTGGAAACGCCTTCAGTGGAAAGTCAACCCTTATTCAACATCAGGTAACTCACACTGGTCAGAAACCATGTCATTGCAGTGTGTATGGGAAAGCCTTCAGCCAGAGTTCACAGCTCACACCACCTCAGCAGACTCGTGTTGGAGAGAAACCTGCTTTAAATGATGGCTCTAAAAGATACTTTATTCATATCAAGAAGATTTTCCAAGAAAGACATTTTTAATGTGATAAATGCAGAAGACAGTTTAGCAACTGTTCACTTGACATTAGAAGATAAGATGGCATAATGAAAGATATATAAGGTCTAAATATTACTGGCAAAGTAAAATAAATAGTTCAGATGACTACTAAAGTCAAAGTCATTAAATCTGGAAGTAAACACGAGAATTCATTCTGGGAAATCAGGCTGTCTGTGTAAAGGTTACTGCTGTGCTCAGGAGTTGAACCGTGTGGTGCTGTATCCGGATACTCATGACGAATGGATGGAGGGCGTGAAAAGTGAGCCCAGCTGGTGCTCTGGGTCTACCCTACCTGACATCCTTCCAGTCTTATCCTTTGTTTCCTATCCAGGCCCAGGCTTGTGGCTGAGAACATCCACTTTCAGTCCCATATACCTGCCTCCAAGTGTGGTACAGAGAACTTGGGCCTGCTGGGGGCGCTTAGCCTTACTCTCTCCACCACCTCTCCCACCAACCCCCAGATGAACTGCAGGTAGACGTTTCTTCCTTGCTTGGAGCCCCAGTTTTTGCATTTCATTTTCATTAAAATGAAAGGTGGTTTGGTTTTGGTTCTAAGGAGCTCTACAGTTTAACAGAGAGAGGGACCTTAGGGGCCAAGAAAGCAGGGGCCTACCAAGTATCTCCACTTTTGAAAATTGTAATTACTGATAAAAAATTTTTTAAAGGCAGGTTTATTGAAGCATAATTTATAAACAATAAAATTTACTCTTTTTAGTGTATAGTTCTTTGGGCTTTGACAAAAACATACAATTGTGCCACTACCACATTCCAGACATTGAACATCTTCACCACCACCCAGAATTCCTTTGTGCTCTCTTGTGGTTAACCCCTCCTCAACCCCAGTCCGTGGAAACCACTGGTTTGTTTTCTATCCTCTATCCATCACCTCACCATTTCCAGAAATAGTGTGCAGCTGTTTGCACGTGGCTGCTTTTACTGAACATGATGCATTGGAGTCATCCATATTGCCTGTGTAGAGTGCTTTTTTGCACCGAGTAGCATTCCATTGTATGGATGGAGCCATTTGTTTATCCGTTCACCCATGGCAGGGTATTTGGGCATTTTCAGTATGGGCAACTATGATTAAAGCTGCCATCACTGTGTATCAACTACAGGCTGTTTTGTGAATCTAACTTTTCAGTTATCTTGGGTAAATAGGAGTGGGATTGCTGGGTCATATGGTAAGCTTATGTTTAACATTTTAAGAAACTGCCAAACTTTTACAAAGTCAGTTGTATATCCCCACTGATGATGTGTGAGTTTAGTTGCTTTGAATCCTCACCAGATCTTGGTATTGTCCTTTTTTTTTTTTTTTTTTTTCCGAGGCGGAGTTTTGCTCTTGTTGCCCAGGCTGGAGTGCAATGGCGCGATCACGGCTCACCACAACCTCCGCCTCCCGGGTTCAATTCAAACGGTTCTCCTGCCTCAGCCTCCTGAGAAGCTGGGATTAGAGGCATGCACCACCACGCCCGGCTAATTTTGTATTTTTAGTAGAGACGGGGTTTCTCTATGTTGGTCAGGCTGGTCTCCAACTCCCGACCTCAGGTGATCCACCCACCTCAGCCTCCCAAAGCGCTGGGATTACAGGCATAAGCCAACGTGCCCAGCAGTATTGTCCATTTTTTAATATTCTAGCTATTTTAGTGGAGATGTAGTGGTATCCATGGTTTTAATTTGCATTCTCCTATTGACCATGGTTTGATCAGTAAGCATCTATTTAAAGAGTTTCATTGGGAAGTTTGAATAACACTGTAGTAGTTTCTCAGAGTGTGATCACCTGTGAAATTCTGATCTTCAATTCTTTTTTTTTTTCTCCTTTTTTCTGAAACAAAGTCTCGCGTTGTCACCCAGGCTGGAGTGCAGTGGCACGATCTCAACTCACTGCAACCTCCGCCTCCCAGGTTCAAGCGATTCTTCTGCCTCAGCCTCCCGAGTAGCTGGGACTACAGACGCGTGCCACCACGCCCAGCTAATTTTTGTATTTTTCTTAGAGACGGGGTTTCACCATGTTGGCCAGGGTGGTCTCAAACTCCTGACCCCATAATCCGCCCTCCTCAGCCTCCCAAAGTGCTAGGATTACAGGTGTGAGCCACCACGCCCGGCCTCTGATTTTCAATTCTGAGACTCTACCTGCAAGAATCTTTTTTCTTTTCTTTTCTTTTCTTTTTTTTTTTTTGAGACGGAGTCTCATTCTGTCGCCCAGGCTGGAGTGCAATGGCGCAATCTCTACTCGCTGCAAGCTCCACCTCCTGGGTTCACACCATTCTCCTGCCTCAGCCTCCCAAGTAGCTGGGACTACAGGCGCCCGCCACCACGCCCAGCTAATTTTTTGTATTTTTTAGTAGAGACGGGGTTTCACTGTGTTAGCCAGGATGGTCTCAATCTCCTGACCTCGTTATCCGCCCGCCTCGGCCTCCCAAAGTGCTGGGATTACAGGCATGAACCACCGTGCCCGGCCAAGAATCTTTTTTCAAATCTACCTTTCATTCCCTCCAGGTCTAACTGAAATATTTCCCCCCTTCAAGGAGCCTACCTTAGTTAATCTCTCATTCCATCTTTGTTTTCTTTTTTTCTTTTGAGACAGTGTCTCACTCTTATCACCCAGGCTGGAGTGCAGTGAAGCGATCACAGGTCACTGCAGCCTTGACTTCCTGGGCTCAAGCAACCCTCCGACCTCAGCTCCCAAGTAGCTGGGACTACAGGCACACACCACCATACCCAGATAATTTTTTAATTTTTTGTAAAGATGGTGTCACACCATGTTGCCCAGGCTGGTCTTGAACTCTTGGAGTCAAGCGATCCACCCACCTTGCCCTTCCAAAGTGCAGGTCTTACAGGCGTGAGCCACGGCGCCTGGCCTTACTGTTTTCTTAGGGAATTTGGGGTCACCGCTACATTTGGTTTAACATCCATTCTGTGATTTGCTGCGCTTATTCCCCCGCTCAGGTTCTGTCTCCCCCACTTTATTATTAAAATTCTTATCACAGAACCTCTTCCAAGTGTGGGAATTGCCAGCCTTAGTGTGGTCCATGTGGAATGGTCCACACAAAAGAGGGAGTGGATAGCACAGGCTCACCTGGAGGGTCCTGTCTCCCTCTGAAATGGATTCACTCTGACCTCAGGGAAAACACTGAATCTTCTTGGGTCTCTTTTTCTCCAGCTCTAAAATGGGGGAAAAAAACACCTCCCCCACGTCTAAAAAATAACTCTTTTACCCTTGTATCCCACAGCACAACATTCATATCCCCACCATTTCAACTTACATTTTCCTTTCTACCTCGTTACCCTACATTATACGGAGAACTCTCTGCTGTCAGAGATGTTGTCTTATGCACCTTTTTATCTCCAGCACACGATACAGAACAGGTGCTTAGGATGTACTTGGGAAGGAAGGAAGAGAGGTGAAGGAGGCAGAGAAAGGAAACAGTGCCAAGAATGTGCTTTGCGTAAATGTGAACCTTGTGTTCTGCTTCTGCTCTGTCCATGAGCACACTGGGTACATTAAAATTGTTTTCTCCTTCTGATCTACTGGAAAGGTCCCACAATGATGCCTCCCTTAAGAGGCCCACAGGCCTCACATTTACGTAGAATGGAAGGAAGCACCGGGGCATGGGAGGGCTTGTGGGTGGCTCTAAGGGCTGTTGTGACACGTACTTGCTGTGGACCCTGGGACTGAGGATGTTAGTAGGACAATGCATGGTTAAGCACCAAGAGAGCAAGGGAACACCTCAGGGGTAAAAATGAAGACCGAAATGAAAGTCAGAGCTTCCCACCTGGAAACTGATGCTAGGACAGCTCTGGGGCTCGTTTACAGCCCCCATGAAGACAGGCCTGGGTGGCTTGAGGGTGATGGTTGGAACCTGGGCCCCTGTCTAAAGCTGGAACCCCAAAGGGTTGAACCCCCTGTATAAAGACAGACTAGGAAAAAAATCCACCTGCGCATAAGGAGATGCTGGGCAGTCTCTACAAGTTTAGGAGATGGAGATGGAGCTGGAGTCCTGGGAGTCCAAGGTGACTAGAAGTCAAAGGAGCAGAAGAAAACTAACACAACAGAAGTAAATATACTCAAGCAAGCATCTGGAGATACTAAAAACATCTAGAATCAGATATTTTAAAACTAAAAAGTGTCTCATCCTATATTCTGTACCCCCAAAAAGAAACAGGAAGAAATACAGGAAGATATGGAACATAGGAAATTATAGACAAAATGACTCTTTCAAGCCTACTTCTAAATGGTTCAGAAAAAAGTGAAAGAGAAATAATATGGCAACGGTTAAGAACTGGTGAGTCTGAGTTAAGGTTATTTGGGAGTTCTCTGCATTATTGCAACTCTTCAAGTTTAAAATTATTTCAAAATAAAAAGCTCAGGGAGGCCGGGCGTGGTGGCTCATGCCTGTAATCCCAGCACTTTGGGAGGCCAAGGCGGGTGGATGATGAGGTCAGGAGATCGAGACCATCCTGGCTAACATGATGAAACCCCGTCTCTACTAAAAATACAAAAAATTAGCTGGGCATGGTGGTGGGCGCCTGTAGTCCCAGCTACTCGGGAGGCTGAGGCAGGAGAATGGCGTGAACCCGGGAGGCGGAGCTTGCAGTGAGCCGAGATCGCGCCACCGTACTGCAGCCTGGGCGACAGAGCGAGACTCCGTCTCAAAAAAAAAAAAAAAAAGCTCAGGGAGATGTTGATCAAAGGGTACCAAATTTCCTTTGTGTCCTTTGGAGGAAGTAAATAGGAAGAATAAGTTCAAGAAATCTACTGTACAACATGGTGACTATCGTTATTAACAATGTATTGTACTCTTCAAAACTGCCTAGAGTAGCTTTTTTCTCACCACAAAAAAGTATGTGAGGATGCATATGCTATTTAGCTCCATTTAGCCATTTCACAATGTACACATATTTCAAAACATGTCCATGATAAATATATACTTCTTTTGTCAGGTTCATAATTAAATAAAAACTTTAAGAAAGCTTAAGGCCAGGCATGGTGGCTCACGCCTGTAAACTCAGCACTTTGGGAGGCTGAGGGGGGCGGATCACCTGAGGTCAGGAGTTCAAGACCAGCCTGGCCAACATGGCAAAACCCCATCGCTACTAAAAATACTGTCCTTCAACTTCTATTACTTAGAGCTTAAAAAGAATCAGCCTATTACTAAGTCCAGTCTTCATTAATTTATAAACTTTTGTCAAGTAATCTATTGTACTTTCATAATTATAAATCAAAAATTAGTCTGGGCATAGTGGCTTACAATCCCAGCACTTTGGGAAGCTGAGGCAGGAGGATTGCTTGAAGCCAGAGTTTGAGACCAGTCTCGGCAACATAGTGAGACTCTGTCCCTACAAAAAACACAAAAGTTAGCCAGTCATGGTGGCTTGAGCTTGTGGTCCCAGCTACTTGAAGACTGAGGTGAGAGGATTACTTGAGCCCAGAAGTCTGAGGCTGCAGTGAGCTATGATGGCACCACTGCACTCCTGCCTGGGTGACTATGCAAGACCCTGCCTCTTAAAAAAAAAAAAAAAAATTAATATACTAAGAAGTTAAATGTTCAACTTAAGAAGTTAGACAAAGAATATTAGAGTAAACCTAAAGAAAGAAGTAGTAATGGGAAAATGAACATTTTAAAAAAGGAAACAATAAAGTCAATGAAGAAAACCAAAAGCAGGTTATTTGAAAGAGATACCAAAAGCACAAATGACAAAATAAAAAGAGAAATATTGACCTCATCAAAATTAAGAACTTTTGTGCTGCAAATGATACCATCAAGAAAGTGAGCTGGGCATGGTGGCTCACACCTGTAATCCCAGCACTTTGGGAGGCCAAGGCGGGCAGATCACGAGGTCAGGAGTTCAAGACCAGCCTGGCCAATGTGGTGAAACCTTGTCTCTACTAAAAATACAAAAATTAGCCAGGTGTGGTGGTGGGCGCCTGTAATCCCTGCTACTCAGGAGGCCAAGGCAGATTTGCTTGAACCCAGAAGGCGGAAGTTGCAGTGAGCCGAGGTCATGCCATTGCACTCCAGCCTGGGCAACAGAGCCAGACTCCGACTCAAAAAAAAAAAGAAAGTGAAACGACAGCCAGGCGTGGTGGCTCACGCCTGTAATCCCAGCACTTGGGGAGGCTGAGGCGGGTGGATCATTTTAGGTCAGGAGTTCGAGACCAGCCTGCCCAACATGCTGAAACCCCATCTCTACTAAAAGTACAAAAACTGGCCGGGCTCACTGGCTTACGCCTGTAATCCCAGCACTTTGAGAGGCCGAGGTGGACGGATCACGAAGTCAGGAGTTTGAGACCAGCCTGGCCAACATGGTGAAACCCTGTCTCTACTAAAAATACAAAAATTAGCTGGTGTGGTGGCGAGTGCCTGTAATCCCAGCTACTCGGGAGGCTGAGGCAGGAGAATCGCTTGAACCCAGGAGGCGGAGGTTGTGGTGAGCCGAGATCGCACCATTCCACTCCAGCCTGGACGACAGAGCGAGGCTCCGTCTCACAAAAAAAAAAAAAAAAAAAAAAAGTACAAAAACCATCCAGGCACGGTGGCGCACGTCTGTAATCCCAGCCACTCGGGAGGCTGAGGCAGGCGAATGGAGTGAACCCGGGAGGCGGAGCTTGCAGTGAGCGCAGATGGCGCGCCATTGCACTCCAGCCTGGGCGACAGAGTGAGACTCCGTCTCAAAAAACAAACAACTGAAAAAGACAACCCACGGTAGGTGAAAATATCTGCAAACCATCTATCTGCTAAAGAACTTGTATCCAGAACAGAGAAACAACTCTTACAACTCAATAAAAAGACAAGTAGTTTTTAAATGGGCAAAAGATTTGAATAGATATTTCTTCAAAGATACACAAATGGCCATTAAGCATGTGAGGTGATGCTTAACATCATTACTTATCAAGGAAATACAAATCAAAACCACAAAGCGACACCACTTCACACCCACCAGCTATGACTATGATTTTTTAAAAAAAGGCCAATAACAAGTGTTGATAAGGATGTGGAGAAACTGTCATGTATGGCTGTATGGATGAACAGATACAGAATGGGAAGGTACAATGAGGCAGCTGCTTTGGAAAACAGTTTGGCGACCCCTCAAGAAGGTAAACCTGGAGAAATTCTCAGATTCAGACTCAGGCTTTCTTCCGGCACTTCCTGAGGCCACGCACGCGTCCTTTGGGCCCTTCACCACCTTCCTGCACCCAGTTCCTTGTGGCCCCTGCTTCTCTGGGTCGAGGGCCGCCGCTGCTCACCTCTTCCTGGAACAGTCCTAAAGCCGCTGAGGCAGAAAAGGCCCAGCTCCCTCCACCCCGACGGGAGGGATCCGCGCTGAGGTCCGATCCGAACATGTTCCAGACCCCCCTGCAGGACTGGACCCGGTCACCCCGCGGCCTCTGCACGACGCTCACCCGGGCTGGCCTCCTCTTCTTCCCAGTCCTCACTGGCCGAGCCTGCGCCTCCCAATAAGCCAAGAATACAGGAAGCCTCACCTCAGGGTCTGCTTCTGGGGACCCCACCCCGACGCGAATGGCCGGCATTGCAAGTTCTAAGGCGTTTTGACAAACCGTGCTTTAACCTCCACAGCAGGAAGTCCCGCGGAAACTCCGCGCGGCCCCCGCTCTCCGGCAGGTCAGGGCAGAGCGCGACTTCTGGGGGTCAGGCGCTTCCGGCGGATTTTGAAACGGGGGCTACAGCTTCCGGAACCCCAGGTTTAAGGCGCCGAAGAATCTAGGGCCGCAAGAAACCTATGGTCAGACGGCAGCTCCCACCCCGCGGAAAACGCACGCTCTGAAAACGTGGCTGACGCGATGACGCCAGGTTTTCCCTCAGAAACGTTTCTCTTTGATCTTTCCGACCCATTTAGGGGATGTTTGAGGCAAAGGATTTCTCGCCCTCTACCCTCTCGAGGCACTCGGCCAGAAATGAGGTGGAAAGCACTGGAAGAGGCGCGCGCCAGGGGCTCCGGCGGGGACCCCTCACAAGCCACTCTCGGCGTCGCCCCGCGGACTCATTAGCGACATCCCCGGTGGGCGCCTCGCGTTCCCGCCGTAGAGGAACGATCAGCGAGGCAAGGAAACGCCTGGCTGGGGCAGCGGGGACGTGGCCCCTCCCCACGCTTTTGTCTTAACCACCCCCTCGGGCGCAATTCGCCGGCCACGCGGCAATGCGGACGCCCAGACTCGGGCGCGGGGTGCAGCGGCCCTCCCCCACCGCTCCGGGACTGCGAGCGCTTCTGGGCACGGCCCCGCCACACGCCGCCACCATTGCGCCCACTGCCACTTCTAGGGGCTCCTCCGACGGTCAGGGATGTGCTGAGGCAACGCCGGGCGGGCAGCAGGGGCGAGTCCGCGCTTCCCTGGAGCCGAAAGGAGCACTGCGGCCGGTGACCCCGGGCGGAAACCTGTTGGGAGCGCACCGGAAGTAGCCGTCCACAGAGGTCTGCGCACCTGCTCTCGGTCTGCTCTGAGACACCCGGATGACCGCCCACTCGGTGGTTCAACGGTCCCCGACAGGAGCTCCGGGTCCGGGCAAGGAAGGGGCCAGTTGGGCTCTTAGTGTGAAGCGACTGTGGGACATCCTGGTGAAGACAGGACCTAAAGCCGGCAGATGCTGCTGTGATGTAGATGCAAATTGGGGCGTCTTGATGGTCAGTGATGCCACTGAGCTCGCGAGGTCGCCCAGAGACAGTGTTGAGTGAGAAGCGGCCCTGGTGCCCCTGGGGCTGTTGAAGAGGGAAGAGGCGCCCTGGGCATGGAGACCGCTGGGGCGGCCCTGGATGGGAGGGGAGGGACCCAGGGGCCAGTTGCCACAGAGTCCCTCATGGAACTAGGCCCCTGAGACCTCAGTGTTGCTCAGGACTGTTGAGTTCCTTGGAGAATGAGAACTAAGGACCGAAGGTAGGAAAAATAACTTGACTTCTCTGTAGGAAAAATAGGTATCTCGGGAATGTTTCCAGGTGGCTGTGGTTGATGATATCCACAGCAGGAGCCCGGAAGCAACATGTCAGAACCTTAGTCTTTTCACCCATTTGGGGAAAAAGTTATCTCCTGGTCACAAAGATAAAGTTGCCTTTGACCATTAGCCTACTAAAGTCCACTGTGGTGGTAATGAGAGGTGAAGCCAGCTGGACTTCCTGGGTCGAGTGGGGACTCAGAGAACGTTTCTGTCTTACAAGGAGATTGTAAAATGCACTAATCAGCACTCTGTAGCTAGCTAGAGGTTTGTAAAATGCACCAGTCAGTGCTCTGTAGAGCTAGCTAGAGGTTTGTAAAATGGACCAATCAGCACTCTGTAAAATGGACCAATCAGCAGGACATGAGCAGGGACAAATAAGGGAATAAAAGCTGACCACCCTCCAGCCAGCAGGGACAACCCGTTCGGATCTTCTTCCATGCTGTGGAAGCTTTGTTCTTTCGCGCTTCACAATAAATGTTGCTGCTACTCACTCTGGGTCCGTGCCATCTTTAAGAGCTGTAACACTCACTGTGAAGGTTGGTGGCTCCATTTTTGAAGTCAGTGAGACCACGAACCAACTGGAAGGAACCAACTCCAGACACAGTAACAGTAGCTGCCATTCATGGAGCACCTGCTATGTGCCAGGTGGTGCCAAGTGCTCTGCGTGTGCCAGGTAAGGATTGACATCACCATTTCACAGGTAAGAAAGCTGAGGTTGAACAAATTGTCTATGATCCAGATCCATCTGTCCCACTCCAAAACCCTCTTTTTACTCCCCCCAGGCTCTCACATTCGATGTGGCTGGCCATCATAGGGACAGACAAGAGACTGTCTTTAAATGTGTTACTGAATAATTTGGGAGTCGTTCTAAACTTCCATCAAGTCTAAATTTATTGTCCCAAAGGGCATAGAATGAGATTTTAATTTCATGAGCAGAAACCTAATCATTCATTAGAGAAACACAGAGGAAACTAACATTCAGCTTGGACTCTAAGCCTTAGAGGAAAGAAAATGGAAAGACAAAGAGCCAGAAATGTACAGATACTGTCCAGGCACTGTCCACTCCCCATGTTCTGGTTTCTGTTCCTCCAGCTTCCCTCAAGACCTATGCACAAACGGAGGTACAATCCCAGTGGCAACACCAGGGTTGCTAACAACTTTCGGGCAGATGTTAAGAATCTAGCCTCTAGCAGGGCTCAATCTGTGCCCTGACTTTCTGGTCTTCTATGTCCACTTCCTGGAGTGTAGGGATCATCTCAGTATGAGGGAAGAATCAGGTATCAGAGCCTGCAGAGCCACAGTCCAGACTCTGGGCAGGTGAGTTTGCCTCTCAGTAATCTCCCTGCTGATCTCCCCAGTACAAGTGCGCTATGGCCCAGGTCCTTGACCACAGCATTCAGCCACAAACTGTGTGGGTTCTTTTTTTTTTTTTTTTTAAACCATAAAATCTCATGTGAAGGAAAAGGAGCCATGAGGGTAATCAAGAAGCCAGTTTACAGTCTGAGGAACAGGGCAGCATACCTATGACACCCCTGGATGACAGGTGAGGAGAAGAGCCATGCACAACATGGAGCACAGTAACTTCGTGGGCACAGGGAGCTGCCAGGTGCTTTGCAGTCCACGTACCCAGATGGCCTTGAAGAGGAATTCTGAAACCCTCCTGGTTCAAAATATCCTACAGCTCCCATGTCTCCAGGACTGAACACACTCCCCAGCAGGGCCTGCAAGGCCAGGCTCTGCAGGATCCCAGTCCTTCCCGGGTCCTCACACTCCCAACTCCACGGCATCTGAGAGTATCAGCCTCTTCCCAGCTCATCTGTGTTCCTTCTGCCATCATCTTGTCAATCCTTCAAGGCCCAGTTCTATCCCTTCATCCAAACCTTCCTCATCCCTCTTCCCCAATCAACCCTTCCCTTCACTGCAAGTCCTGTGGCACTTACGACCTTGGCAAGTGTCACCTGGCATCCAACGGTGTGCACAACAGGACAAGTGGAAGTGAGTGAGCCAGACACAAATCAGTGATGCACAAAAGCACCTGTTGGTGACAACAGCTGCTGTGGCTCCCCTTTTATGAATGTAAGGTCCGTTTTCCCTGAAAGGAGTACAGAATTGTAGACAAGACTCAAGAGTCTACCCTCCCCTCCCTTTTGAAAACAATTTTTAATTAGCGACCAGGTGGTCTCTATCACCCAGACTGGAGTTCAGTGGGGCAGTCACGGCTCACTGTAGTCTCAAACTTCTGGCCTCAAGCGATCCTCCTGCCTCAGCCTCCCAAGTATCTGGAACTACATGTGCAGGCCACCACACCTGACTAATTTGTAATTTTTCTTTTTTTTTTTGTAGAGACAGGGTCTCACTTTGTAGTCTAGTCTTGAACTCCTGGCCTCAAGTGATCCTCCTGCCTCAGCCTCCCAAAGTGTTGGGATTACAGGCGTAAGCCACTGCACCCAGCCCCTCTCTTCTTTTTAACACATATAAGGCAACAGCTTGCTTCTTATACCCAGGACTGGGGTTGGAACCCTGGAAGATTATGTGGGCTTGGTTGCTCTTCTCTGCACCTCAGGCCTTGGAAGACAGAGGGTCATTCCTGGCTCAGATTGTGCCATTGCCTGATGACGAAGGAGGGGCAGATGGATGCATTTCATAGCTGTGTTCCTCTCCAAGCTTTCCTCCTTTCTCCTCAGATTGCGCCTAGAGGAAAAATCTAACCAGAAACTTTTTTTTTTTTTTGAGACAAGAGTTTCACTCCGTCACCCAGGCTGGAGTGCAGTGGTGTGATCTCAGCTCACTGCAACCTCTGCCTCCTGGGTTCAACCAATTCTCTTGACTCACTGGAGTAGCTGGGATTACAGGCGTGCACCACCATGCCTGGCTAATTTTTGTATTTTTAGTAGAAACAGAGTTTCTCCATGTTGGCCAGGCTGTTCTCAAGTGATCCACCTGCCTTGGCCTCCAAAAGTGCTGGGATTATAGGCATAAGCCACTGCACCCAGTCAGTCAGAAACTTTTCAACAGCTATTTTGTATAAACAACAAACTATTCAGTTAAATCTATGATTTGTAGTTCACAAAATCAATTGCTCTTACCATCAATGGCTTTATAATCCTTTATTTTCTGTTTCTACTTTAATGACCTTATTGTATGCATCACTATTTCAATTCAAATTACCTTTAGGAGGTATGAACTAGATATAAGTAATCTTTAACACACATATTTTTAGGACAGAGGCTCGCTCTGTTGCCCAGGACAGAGTACAGTAGTGAAATCATGGCTCACTCCAGCCTCAACCTCCTGGGTTCAAATGATCCTCCCACCATGCCTAGCTAATTTTATTTATTTGTAGAGATGGGGTCTCACCATGTTGCCAGGCTGGTCTCAAAAGTCCTGGCCTCGAGTGATCCATCTTGGTCTCTCAGAGTGCTGGGATTACAAGCATAAGCCACTGTGCCCAGCCTTGATTTCATTTCATAGTGAAAACTTCATTCTAAAGTCAAGGATTTTATCCTAAGCTGCTGAAGGATTATGTTAAAATAATGTTATGTTTTCAGTATAGCCAGTAGCCACAACGGATTGCCTTCTGATTAAAAGACAGATCCTACATGTTGGTGCGGCTGACACTCATTCTACATGCTTTCAGATTTAAAAAACTTAGTGCAGAGGTGTAGGAAGCTGCCTCAGCTATTCTGTTTGGTTTCACGAAGACCTGGAGTCATTGCTCATCATTGTTCAGGATAAAAAGGCAGCTCTGGAGACCCAACACTAACTCTAGTAGTTTTCCATTTTCCTGTGCATCCACTTTGGGGGTTGCATTTATCTGCCTCTCTCTGGGTCTGGTCTCTGCTTCTGGTTTCTGCATATTTGAGATCAGGCCACGCCATGGACCACTGGCCTCCCCTAGCATTTCCAGTGGCATTCCCAGCCAGGAATAAGGCTGTCTTTGTCTCCATCTTACAATCCCAGTCTAAAGCAAGATTCCCTACAGAGCATGGCCACCCTGGGGCAAGCACCTGCTAGGGCAGTTTATTCAAAAGGGAGCAGCTGGCAATAGCAGGAACCCACATTTCCACCTACTTCCCACAGTACACCAAAGCCTCTCATATCCATTATATCCTCTATGAATTATCTCATTGTAAATAATATGTGAGTTCCAAATAAATGCTTTTTCAACATTCATTACATCCATAGGGGTTCTCTCCAACAGGAACTCTCTGACATTATATAATGAGCTACAATGAAAGTCTTCCCACCTTTGTTGCATTCTTGGATGCTCTTCTCTCCTGTATGAATTGAGGGGTTCCTCTCCAGTAGAATTTGTGAGATAGTGACTGAGAAGCTAGCTCACACTGAAAGCCTGCCCACATTCCTTTAACTTATACTTCCTATCCATAATGTGAACAACCTAATGTCTAATAAGGGTTGAGCTCTGGCTGAAGCATTTCCCACATACACTACATGCATGTGGCTTCTCTACAGAATGTGTTCTGTGGCAATGAATCAAGTGTGACATCTGAATAAAGCCTCTCCCACATGACACACACATAAGTTTTCTCTCCAGTGTGTATTCTTTGATGATCAATCAGGTGTGATGTTTGAAGCCCCTTCCACACTCACTGCATTTGTAGGGCTTCTCTCAAGCATGCTTCCTTTGATTATGAATCACGTGTGATGGCTGACTGAAGCTTTTTCCACACTCTTGACATTCAAAAAGTTTCTCTCCTGTATGAATTCTCTGATATTGCATGGGATTTGCTTTCGGATTAAAGGCTTTCCCGCACTCAATACATTTATAGGGCTTCTCTCCAGTATGTATCAGTTGGTGTTTAATAAGGTTTGAATTCCCACTAAAGGCTTTGTCACATTCATCCCACCTATAGGGCTTTTCTCCAGTATGAATTCTCTGATGTTTAACAAGCTTTGATGTCTCCCTAAAGCCCTTACCACATTCACTACACACACAGGGTTTTTCTCCACCATGAATTTTCTTTTCTTTTCTTTTCTTTTGAGATGGAGTCTCACTCTGTCGCCCAGGCTGGAGTGCAGTGCCGCAATCTCAGCTCAATGCAACCTCCGCCTCCCTGGTTCAAGCAATTCTTCTGCCTCAGCCTCCTGAGTAGCCAGGATTACCAGCATACACCACCACACCCAGATAATTTTTGTGTTTTTAGTAGAGATAGGGTTTCACCATCCATGGTGAATTTTCTGATGATGTATAAGGCTTGAGTTGTGTTTTTTTCCCCACATTCAATACATACACAGGGCTTCTCTGTAGTATGAATTATCTGATGCCAAGTAAGGTGTGAGTTCTTGCTGAAAGACTTCCCATACACATGGCATCCATGGGGCTTTGTCCCACTGGTAACTGCCCGATGTCCACTCAGATATGACTCACATGGAAAGCCTCAGCCACCCATCCTCCATCCACTGGCTCTCTTTCCTGGCCTGTCCCTCAGAGGTACAACAGGCTTTGTGCCCAGAGACAAACTTTTCTCCAATTTATTACATTCCCGGTATTTGTCTGCTACAATGATTTTCAACGGGGAGCTGACCACTTGCCTCGAACCTCTCTTTTGGGGAAATAACTTCATCCTGGTCTGTATTGTGAATTTCTTCCAGCAATGTTCTGCTCCTGTCTCAGTCCTACAAGCTGATCGAAACTCAAACTCTTCTGGATTGCCTCTTGGGAAAATTTCCTGAGTTACTTCTTGTAATTGTTCTTCGGAAGATTTTTCTGTTGGCGTTGATTGTTTATGCTTTGTTTTGACCTAGGAATCTGAAACAAAGAATGGAAATTAAAAGTTTCCCTGTGAAAGAAGGAATTGATTGAGCCAAAGCAAATTTCCGTGCAGCTCATATGTCTCAGCCTGAGTTGAGTTTTATTTTCCCTTCTGTTAATCACTTTATTCCATTTTGTCTTGTATCATGCTTAGTTGTGTGTGTCCATCTCACTCTGACTGGACTGAAATTCTGAGGGCAAATGCCTTCTCACACAAGTACTTGCGGCACCTTAATGGCGCAGTGCACAAAGCAGGAACTGACAACTAAAGAACGAGGGATTCATTCCAGCAGTGTTTGCCAGGTGCCTCCTGGGTGCCTGGCACTGCTTGAGGTACCAGGGAATTGGTGAATGAATGAAGTCCCCTGTCCCTTAACTTTCTAATGTGGAGACCGACAATGTGATAGGACATCAGGCAGGATAAATAATTCTTCCACAAACTACGATGTTCTCCACAAACCAAAATGTACACTCCCTGAAGACAAGGACTTGGTTTTGCTTATACTTAACCCCAGCACCTAGAAGAATGCCTGCATGCAAGCAGCATGCAAACTGTGGAAATAGGAGAGGGTGCTGGGGGCATGCTCCCGTGTGACCACAATGTGGAGTTTTGTTTGTACTTTGACATGTAAGTGCAAATCAGCTCATCGGAAGGCTGGTCACCACTAGAAAATGGCTGTCCCACCTGAGTAGCTGCACAGTGGACTTGCACTTCCCCTCAGAGGGAAGGTGGGGCCAGGACGGGAGCCAGAATAGACAATCAGGGGTCTCTCAGCTGGCCATTTGAACTCCCCCCTCACCACTCTCACAGCTCACATGCACAACACATCACAGTTCCCCTGAGATACCCACCTCCTCACTCACCTGTGCAGGGAGGCCCTGGCAGAGCAATGACCCATGGCATTTTCCCCTGCTCCTGCTGGGAGATAACCCTGAGTGTGGACACTGAAAAACCTGTCTATCAAGAAGATAATGGTCAGTGCTAGAATATCTGAGCTGCCCCTGGCTGAGGGCCACAGAGGCTGCAAGAGGAGGGGGATCCAGAGGAGGTCTCGAGAAGAAAGAATGGGTGATGAGATCACTGGGCACTCCCTGCTGGGACACGAGCACCCCAGCATGGACTGGGGATATTTGGTCTATGAGTCAAGAGAGCCCAGGGGACCAGTCACCTGGGGATGGGGAGCAGGGACCTGAAGCCCACCATGTGATGCTTATCCAGAGCTGGTAGGGTGCAGTGGTTCTCGAGCATCACATCCTGGTAGAGTGCTCTCTGAGGGGGTCCCAGGTGCTGCCCCTCCTCCTGTGTGAGGTACATGGCCACCTCCTCAAACATCACTGTGCCCTGGAATCACAGGTGCTCACTGCCCAGAGAGCCTCACCCCTGCCCAAGGGCAAATGCACCTTGCAGCTTGGACTGAGTTTCTAGCAAGAGGCTCTACGTGCATCTCCCTACCTTCCAGGCAGATGTTTAGGAAAAGAGCTAGGGGTAGGTTGGGCAGGGAAGGTGTGACTATGGAAACACAGAGCTCTCAAAACTGGGCTCTCCCCTTAGGGCCCTGCATCCTGCTCAGCTCTGTGGAAGGGGCAGCTAGTGGGGTGGGCCTGGATCTGAGGAGGGAGATTCTGTTCTCAGGGCCCCAAGGGTCTGCTGGGCAAGGGGCTCCAGGCTGAGGGGGAGAGGCCTTGGGCAGCAACTGTTCCCCAAAGGCCAGCTCACCTGGGGCTCAGCCACCATCGCTGGGCTCCTCCTGGGAAGGATAGAGGCAGGGTGTCAAAAGGAAGACACAAAAGGGCAAGCCCATGCCCCGCAGACCTGACTGCTGCAGCGGCCCCAGGTAACAAGCTGTCTTAGGAGCTGGTGACCCTGCATTTCCTTCAGCATGAAGGGCACCTGTGCCCAAGACCTTCTCACCTGGGCTTAGTGCTGCTGCAGAGCCCTTGAATTCAGGTTCAAGGGTGATGCTGTGCCTCTGCTGCTTGGAGTCTGGAGGATGTGACCTGACCCTGACCCTGCCTGGCAACACCTCCCACTGGTACCCTCTCCCACCCCCGGAGTTTGGGTCCACTGTGGGCTCCCTCGGGTCTCCAGCTTGCCCTCCTCCCTAGAGCACCTCAAATCAATGCCTTGTGGGGGCGAGGCATGTTCAAGAGGGGCTGGAGTCATGCTGGAGGGGTGTGCATCCTCAGAGTTTCCTGCAGGAGGACCTATAGTTTGGGCCTGGAGAAAACCCTTTTGGTAGAGCTGGCAGCAGGCCCCAGGCTGGGAATGGCAGGGGGTGAGGGCTCACCCCTCCACCTGCTCCCCTCCTCCCCAGCCGCCCCCACCCCTGCCTGAGGCCAGGGCGCCTCCCTCCCCCAATCACTACCCTGGTCCTTGGTCTCTCAGTCTCTGCCGGCCCCTGGCTCAGCCCGCTCTGACTGGGGTTTGTAAACTGGCTTCCTCACCAGGCCTCTGGCCCACAGCCCTGTCCATCTTGAGGCCTCAGCTCTGCAGCCTCCCTGCACCCCCTCGAAAGAGGCCACCACAAAAGAAGCCACCATGGCATCATGGTTGCAGGTGGAGGGGCACGGCCTGAGCTGGACCCTGGAAAGGTGGTCAGCAGGGGTCTCTCCCCAGCAGCTGGGCCCAGGGGGTTGGGGGCAAGCCATAATTGGCTGCATGTCACCTCAACCACCTCTGCCTCATGGACAGCAGAGACCACGACTCCACCCACTGGGGCATGAAGGGCAGGGAGTGTTAATCTGTGTGGGCTCCATGTTACACCTAGAACATGGGGTATAACACAGATAGATGGCCACACATGGTCACAAGTCAGTGTCCTAAAGAGAAACAAAAAGCAGGGAAGCTATTCCAGATTAAAACAGCCAGCGAGGTGCGGTGGCTTAGGCCTGTAATCCTAGCACTTTGGGAGGCCAAGGCAGGCAGATCCTTTGAGTCCAGGAGTTTGAGACTAGCCTGGGTAACATGGTAAGACTTGGTCTCTATAAAAAAATACAAAAAATTAGCCAGGCGTGGTGGCACATTCCTGTAGTTCCAGCTACTCGGGAGGCTGAGGTGGGAGGATCACCTAAGCCTGGGAGGATGAGGATGCAATGAGCCATGATGGCGCCACTGCACTCCAGCCTTGGGGACAGAGTGAGACCTTGTTTCCAAAAAAAAAAAAAAAAAAAAAAAAAAAAGGCCGGGCTCACGCCTGTAATCCCAGCACTTGGGGAGGCCAAGGCAGGCAGATCACGAGGTCAGGAGATCGAGCGTCCTGGCTAACACGGTGAAACCCCGTCTCTACTAAAAATACAAAAAATTAGCTGGGCATGGTGGCAGGCGCCTGTAGTCCCAGCTACTCGGGAGGCTGAGGCAGGAGAATGGCTTGAACCCAGGAGAAGGAGCTTGCGGTGAGCCGAGATCACGCCACTGCACTCCAGCCTGGGCGACAGAGCGAGACTCTGTCTCAAAAAAAAAAAAAAAAAAAACAGCCTGAAGAGACACAATTAAATGCAACATGCAATCTTGATTAGCTTCTGAATTAGAGGGGAAAAACCCAGCTATGCAGACATTTTAGAGACAATTGGAGAAATAAGTTATGTGACCACAGGATTTTTGCTTTTGTTTGTTTTTTTGAGACGGAGTCTCACTCTGTCGCCAGGCTGGAGTGCAGTGGCACGATCTTGGCTCACCACCACCTCTGCCTCCTGAGTTCAAGTGATTTTCCTGCCTCAGCCTCCCAAGTAGCTGGGACTACAGGTGCATGCCAACACACCCAGCTAATTTTTGTATTTTTAGTAGAGATGGGGTTTCACCATGTTGGCCAGGATGGTCTCGATCTCTTGACCTCGTGATCCACCCACCTCAGCCTCCCAAAGTGCTAAGATTACAGGCATGAGCCACCGTGCCCGGGGACCACGGGATAATTGTTAATTTTCTCAGGTGAAATAAAGTATTGCTATCATGTAAGAAAATGTCCTCATCTCTAGGAAATAGGCTGAGGTACCTAAGGGAAAGTGTCATGATGTCTACAAATTACAGCTGACCCTGAAACAACACAGGTTTGAACTGCAAGGGTCAGTTATAATTGGATTTTCTTCCAACTCAGTCACCCCTGAGATTGCAAGACCAATCCTCCTCTTCCTCCTCTTCCTCAGACTACTCAATGTGAAGACAATGAGGATGAAGACTTTTATGATGATCCACTTTCACTTAATGAATATTAAATATATTATGTCTTCCTTATGATTTTCTGAACACCATTTTCTTTTCTCTAGCTTATCTAAAGAATAGAGTATATAATACATATAACATAAAAAATGTGTTAATTGACTATGTTATGCGTAAGGCTTCCAGTCAACAGTAGGCTATTAGTAGTTAAATTTTAGGGGAGTTAAAAGTTATGCTTTGATTTTCAACTGCACAGGGGTCACTGCCCCAACCCCTTTATTATTCAAGGGTCAACGGTATTTTCAAATTACTTTTCAGCAGCAAAAAGTAAATATATTCAAAGATACAGCCAGTGTGGCAAAATGTCAACAACTATAGAATCTAAATGAAGAGTTTATGGTGTTCATAATACTTTTCTGTGGATTTGAACATTCTCAAAATTAAGAGCAGTGTGGAAAGTAAAAAGTTCCTCTTCAAAGTTTCTTCTTTAAATCAGAAATGTTATTGGTATTTTCTCTCAGAGCTAGTTCTATTCAAGCTTGTTATTTTATAGTGATAACTCTGTTATGCCTTATATAGCAAATGTAACAGAATAAGCATACCGTATGCCTGTATACTCTGACTTCAGTATTTGTGTTAGACATTTTCACAGACATGTAGTACATTCTGTGTCCTTGTACCTTAACCGAAATATTCGTGCTGGACGTGCCCAGACATGTCCCAGCTTGCAGCCTATGCCCCTTCCTTATTCAGAAATGTTATTACTGTTCTAAAGTCCTTTCGTAAGCAACTTCCTCTTTTCCTTTGTTCCTCATTGTCTTTACCTATTTAGAAAGTTTTAAATTGTTAACCAATTAAGTTCAGCCTAGAATGTGAGGTCCAACTCAGCCAACGGAGATAGGACACAGCAGTAGGGACCTCATGCGTTAGGGATACATATTCCTGTCTCCCTTTGTTCGGTGTACTCTCTTGGCAAGACTGCTGGCAAGCAGTACCATTTCTGCAGAAAGTAAAGTTGCCTTGCTGAGAGTACTTTTTGTCTAAATGCTGCCTCTTCCTTGCGACACCAGGGAATGAGCATTTATTTCTAACAAGCAGCAATGGAAGACATCACTCTGGCTTCTTGCAGAGGGCAGTCTGGAGGCAGGAGAGGACACGGGAGGAAACCTGTGGTCCAGGGCACAGGTTGGGGTCCAGTGGCCCTTTCCTATCTCAGTGCTCCACGTTTGCTAAGTCAGAGGTACCACCTGTCATCACCATCCCATGGCCATTCATGCTTGAGAGGAGAGTCCTGCACAGACAGAGCCAGGCTCTGCTCCACATTTCCCTCTTTATGCTATTCCCTGGCCCCCACCACCCCCAGCACGCTTCCGGCCCAAGAGCCGTGCAGGGACAGCAGGGCAGCTTCTAGATATCTTGTAGGGCATTGGACGTGAGAAGAAGAGCTGAGAGAGGAGCCCTGGGTGATCCTTGAGTGGAATCAATGAATGAACGAATGATTTCCTCTCACTTCCTCGAGTTTACTTCATATTGGTGGATTGTCTCAGGAAGACTCCAAAAGTGATTGCCACCACTCAGCTTTCTGGCAGTACAAGTGGGGAAAACGCAGGGCTGAGGATGAGGCCAGAGGTGGGAGTCTCGCTTGTCCCTTCCCAACTTTCACCAGACAAAATGGCGGACCCCGCCCAGAGACCACGCCCCTCACCTTAGAGGACACAGCTCCTAGACAACTCCCTTCATCCTGCACTAACCTCACCCCGAAACCACGTCATTCACCCTTCACATATCCTGCTCCAGGAACACTCCCCTCACCCTTCACAGACCCGCACCACCGGCAACATGGCTCTCACCCTTCACAGCCCCTCATGCCGGAAAAACTCTCCTCATCCTTCACAAACACCCCCACCCCAGGAACATGCCCCTCACCCTTCACAGACCCTCATTCGGGGAACAAGCTCCTCACCCTACACAGACCTGCCCCCCATGACCACACCCCTCACCCAACCCAGGGACCCCGCCCCTTGCCTTTATAGACTCCGACCCGCGACCGCACATCCTGCAGAGACCCGGCCTCGCCCCTGCATCCTTCGTAGATCCCGCCCTGTGACCACACCCCTCGCCCTTCATAGGCACTGGCCCGCGGCCGTGCACGCCCCGCTTTTATTGGCTCCGCTCCGTGACCACGCCCCCGCAACCTTGATAGACTCCACCCCCGAGGACCCTTCTCAGGAGCACAGTGACCCCGCCTCCACAGGGTCCGCTCCGCCACACTGACCCTTCCGTGTCGCTCGCGGGACCCCACCCCTGTCCGCCTGCTCCGGTGCCCATGGGGAAGCCTGGTGCCAGGGGTCACCAGTCAGTCCAATTCACCGCCCGACTGGTGGGACAAGGACAGGTCAGCGGGTCACAGGCCGGAAGTGAGACTCGCCCGGCCGCTCTGGGACGCGGGAAGACCGAGGCCTCGGTGGTTCCCCTCTCTCCCGCCTGGCTCCCTCAGGAGAAGGAGCGGCTAAGGTAGGACCCGACACCGCGGTCGTACCCGCCTTCTTTTCTGTCCCAGAGTACAGCCTGGGATCTCCAGGGGGGAGACTGAATGAGTGCTGTCGAGGACCGGCGAGAGTCTGGAACGTTCGCGCCTTCGTAGGAGAACGAGGAGGTGACGGACAGGGAACGGGGAGCGGCCGTTGGGTGGGACGCCTGAGACCCTCGGGAAATGGCCGGGTCGCCGACTGTTTGCACCACTGGCATCCTGCAGCACTGTGAGATACGGCCCCGTTTGTTCCCAGAATGTAAATCATCCCGCACAGAAAAGGATGCGATTCACGGAGAAAGAGTTCTGTCTCCTCTCTGGGCACAGCTCTCTCTTTCCTGGAAGACAGCGGCCCTGGACAGGCTGGGGGCCCCCGACAGGTTCTAGCCCGGAGGAAGGCGCTGTGACTGGGGGCTCCAGTGGAGACAGAGGACCTTGATGGATTTTATTCTTGTGAGAAGCCCGCTTTCCTACCCAAACCTCATGCCAGTTGGTGACGCGAAGTCAACTTGGGCACTGATCCAGCCCACCCAGCCCCGCATGGTCCGCAGACTGTCCCACCCTCCCGTCCCGTAGCCCACCAGCACCCCGCCCCGCCCTGCCGCCGAGCGCCCACACAGCCTCCCCTCCGTGCCCCCAGCCCACCAGCCCCCTAAGCCTCCCACAGCACCTTGCCCCACAGCGCCTCACGAGGCCTCGACCTCGGGTCCCTCAGCCCCACCGCCCCTGACAGCGCCAGGCCCCACCCCACAATACCCCACAGCCTCCCACCCCCGCCTCAAGGCCCCAACCTATGACCCTCCACATTGCCCCACCCACAGCACCCCCACACCGGCCCGCCCCAAGGTGCCCCACAGCACCCCACCCCACAGCTCCCCAGAGTGCCCCTTCCCATAGCCCCCCACACCACCCCGCCCCACAGCGCCCGCCCCAAGGCCCCGCCCCACTGCCCTGCCCCACCCATCCCCTACACCGCCCTCCCCTACAACACACCACCCCGCATCCTCCATAGCGCCCCCACCTTCAGTTCCCACACCACCCTGCCTCACAGCGCCCCTCACTGCCCCATCTCCCAGGGCTTACAGTCCCCACCCCCTGCATCGCCCAGCGCCTGAGAGGCTGGGCTCCGGGTACCTCCCAAGAGACAAGAGGTGTGTCCCACGCCCTGTGCAGTGAGAAGCCCTGGAACTCCAGGACCCTGCTTTTTTAGGCAGAATGCTATGGATGGGCCACTCCAAAGAGAAACGCGGCTGGGGCCTTCTCACTGGGGTTGCAGGCCGTGGGATGGTGTGAACACTCCATGTTTATTCACATCTTGGACCCCCCAACCCCCCCAAGGGAGGGGTGGCCTTGTCTTTGCAAGAAGGCTTCTGAGTCCTTAGAGGTGAAGCTGTGTCCTCATTCCACTCCCCACTGATACCCAAGCCAACAAGGAGATGCCCTGACCCACTCATGGCCAAGGACACTCATGGAAAAGGCCTTCGTCCTCTCAGTACAGACTGTGCCAGGCAGGCCAGGAAAAGCCAAGAAAATATGGATGGAACAGATAGGTTCCTAGCAAAATACTAAAGCTGAGCCAAAGTAGAAAACTTGAATTAACTAATTGCCAAAAAAAAAACAGATTAGAGAGGTGATTAAAAAGCTACCATTAAGAAAGCTCTAGATGGCTCCAGATCACAGCTGAGCTCTCACCAACCTTTAGAGATCAGATAATTTGAAAGTTAATTACAATCTTCCAAGCCACAGAAAAAGATTAAAAACCTCAATTCACTTTACGAAGCCTTCTGTCTGTAAGCTTGTCTAAGTCTATGTTGCTATAAAGGGAATACCTGAGACTGGGTAATATAAAGAAAGGAGGTTTATTTGGCTCACAGTTCTGCAGGCTGTGCAGGAAGCATGGCACCAGTATCTACTGGTGAGGCCTCAGGCTGCTTTCACTTATGGTGGAAGATGAAGGGGAGCTGGTGTGCAGAGATCACACAGCAAGAGAAAAGGCAAGAAAGAGAGTGGGTAGAGGCCAGGCTTGTTTAAACAACCAGCTTTTGGGGGAATTCATAGAACTAGAACTCCCTTATTACCATGAAGAGGGCACCACGCATTCATGAGGGATCCACCCCCATAATCCAAACACCTCCTACCAAGTACCACCTCCAACATTGGGGATCAAATCTCAGCATGAGGTTTAGGAGGACAAACACCCAAACCATAGCGAAGCTTAACACGCCAAAATGATAGAGCTCAAAGAATCTATAGACCCAGATCTCTATGTTTAATATTGAAAAACAAATTATAAATAAGACAGTAGCAAATAGAATCAAGCAGCATATCAAAAAAATAATATGCCATGGCCAAGTATGGTTTATTTCAGGAATACAAGGATACCTACATACCATTGCAATTCATTAGCTCAACAAATTAAAAGAGAAAAAACAGGCCGGGTGCAGTGGCCCACACCTGTAATCCCAGCACATTGGGAGGCCGAGGCAGGCAGATCACCTGAGGTCAGGAGTTCGAGACCAGCCTGGCCAACATGGTGAAACCCTGTCTCTACTAAAAATACAAAAAAATTAGCTGGGCATGGGAGGCTGAGGCAGGAGGATTGCCTGAACTCGGGAGGTGGAGGTTTCAGTGAGCTGAGATCACGCCATTGCACTCCAGCCTGGGCAACAAGAGTGAAACTCCTTCTCAAAAAAAAAGAAAAAGAAAAAGAAAAAACAGCATTCCATCCACATATGCTAAATAATAACATTGAATACAATTCTAGAGCCATTCTGAGTAAAATTTCAAAGAAAATAGGAATAAATGAAAATGATTTAAATATGGTAAAAATTATTAACCATAAACTCCAAGAACAAGCATCATTTATAGAACGATATGCTAAAGCTATTACTTTTTTTTTTTTTTTTTTGAGAGGGATCTTGCTCTGTCACCCAAGCCACGATGTCAGCTTACTGCAACCTCCTCCAGGTCCTGGGTTTAAGCGATCCTCCTGCCTCAGCCTCCCGAGTAGCTGGAACTACAGGCGCATGCCATCATGCCTGGCTAATTTTCTTGTATTTTTAGTAGAGATGGGGTTTCACTATGTTGGTCAGGCAGGTCTCAAACTCCTGACTTCAAGTGATCCGCCTGCCTCGGCCTCCCAAAGTGCTGGGATTACAGGCATGAGCCACCGCGCCCGACCAGGATCATTAATATATTTAGAAGAAATTAAAGTTGTCCTCTGTCTCATAACATATATGAAAATATTTCTAGAGGTATTTAAAGCCTTAATTAAAAACAGAGCAATAAATAAGCCAGTCACGACAAATTCTGTATAATTCTGCTTATGTGCAGTACCTAGAGCATTCAAATCCATACAGACAGAAAGAATGTTGGTTACTAGGGACTGAGGGGAGGGGAGAATGGGGAGTTAGTGTTTAATGGGGACAGTTTTAGTTTTACACAGTTAAAGAGTTCTGGAGATGGATGATGGTGATAAGTGCACAACATTGTGAATGTATTGAATATCACTGAACTGTACACTTAAAATAGGTTAAGATGGTAAATTTTATGTTATATGAATTTTACCACAATAAAATTTTTTTAAAACTCAGAGCAATAAAAATCTTAGTGAAAATTTAGGACATCATATGTGCAAGATAGATCAGCGGAATCCTTTGTAACCGTGACGGGCAACTCAGAAGCTATAAAAAACAGATTAGGCATATTTATTTAATAAAATGAAAAAGACTTGTATGACAAAAGATCCCTTAAATGAAATTGATAGACAAATTTTAACTGGGGCACGGCCAGGTGCGGTGGCTCACCCTGTAATCCCAGCACTTTGGGAGGCCAAGGCGGGTGGATCACTTGAGGTCAGGAGTTCAAGACCAGCCTGGGCAACGTGGCGAAACCCCGTCTCTACTAAACATACAAAAATTAACCAAGTGTGGTCGTACGTACTTGTCATCCTAACGACTCAGGAGGCTAAGGCATGAGAATCGCTTGAACCCAGGAGGCGGAGGTTGCAGTCAGCTGAGATTGTGCCACTGCACTCCAGCCTGGGTGACAGAGCAAGACTGTCTTAAAAAAAAAATTTAACTGGGGCAAGAAAAGTATGAAGACATGCGGCAGAGCAAAGTGGAGGCAGCGTGTGGCCCAGTGCTTAGTACTGTAATCCCCAAGCTTGTTTTCACTAACCCTGTTTTTAGACTCTCCCTCTTTCCTTTAATCACCTAGCCTTGGTTCCACCTGAATTGACTCTCCCTTAGCTAAGAGCCAGACAGACTCCATCTCGGCTCTTTCACTGGCAGCCCCTTCCTCAAGGATTTAACTTGTGCAAGCTGACTCCCAGCACATCCAAGAATGCAATTAATTGATAAGATACTGTGGCGAGCAATATCCGCAGTTCCCAAGAATTTGTCCCATTGATAACGCCCAACGACCCGCGTCTATCACCTTGTAATCGTCTTTAAGCCCCTGCACCTAGAACTGTTTACTTTCCTGTAACCATTTATCCTTTTAACTTTTTTGCCTACTTTATTTCTGTAAAATTGTTTTAACTAGACCCCCCTCCCCTTTCTAAACCAAAGTATAAAGGAAAATCTAGCCCCTTCTTCAAGGCCGAGAGAACTTTGAGCGCTAGCCGTCTCTTGGCCGCTGGCTAAATAAACAGACTCTTAATTCGTCTCAAAGTGTGGCGTTTTCTCTAACTCGCTCAAGTACAACAGTACATGCAGTGTCTGGCTCTCCTGTCACATTTTCAGAAGTCACCTAGAAGAGACAGTCCCTGGGCCTCGGTGTCCTTGTCAATGAAACAGGGTCGTGGTGAGGATCAAATGAATTAATGGTGTATAGAAAGTGCTTAGAATGGCCAGGCGCAGTGGTTCACACCTGTAATCCCAGCACTTTGGGAGGCCGAGGCGGGCAGATCATGAGATCAGGAGTTCGCAACCAACCTGGCTAACACGGTGAAACCCCGTCTCTACTTAAAATGCAAAAAATTAGCCGGGCGTGTTGGCACGCACCTGTAGTCCCAGCTACTCGGGAGGCTGAGGCAGGAGAATGGCGTGAACTCGGGAGGCGGAGCTTGCAGTAAGCTGAGATAGCGCAACTGCACTTCAGCCTGGGCCACAGAGGGAGACTCCAGCTCAAAAATAAATAAATAAATAAAAGAATGGATGATAGATTGATAGATGGTACAATCCAAATGGCCAATAAACATGAAAAAGATGCTCAACCTCACTAATCAATGGGCAACTTAAAACTCATGTGTGAACAATCACTTCTCACTCATGACATTGGCAAAAATGTAAAAAGCAATAGCACTTGGTGCTGATCGATTGTACTCTGTTGCAATAACTCCTGCCTACGACATCCCTGCCCACCCATGAGACTTGCAGTGTCCCTCCTTATGGAAGGAGAAGGCCCCCCTGTACTGATGATGTTGCTTTGATCAGTGAAACAGCTGCCACCTTTCAGCAGCCTGAAATGTTATCATAAGATTCCAGCATGGCTTTTGCCGCACTGCCATGAAAACAGCTTGTCCAGGACAGATACTCTATGGCGCTGACACCAGCATGAAGATCGTTAAAGAGCAGGTGCATAACACAAAGGCCTGAAACTCCAATGTTAAAAGCCAGAGATCTGGGAGTTGTTACTACCGCACAACTCAGCGAAAGCTGACTCATGTAGTGGGGGAACGGCGTTAACACACACAGCTGGTGGCAAGGTACATTTTCACAGGCACTTTATAAAGAAATCTAGGAGCATTTCTGAAATTCACAAATGCACCTGTCCTTGGGCTGAGCCGTTCCACTCTGGGACATCCACAGAAACGGGAGCCAGTGCATAGGCTAGGGCCCAGGGATGCACATGCAGCAGGGAAAATGGAAACAGTGAACGTTCATTACCCAACCTCTTGGTGACCCTGCAGACCCCACTCCCCGCCACCTACACTGCTGCACCACCAAGGCTGGCCTCCTTTTGGCTCCAGCTCTTGCTGCTCCCCCAAGCCTGCCACCACCTGGCCCCTGCCCCATGCAGCCTATTCCTCACAACAACCAGAATATTTCCTTTAAAACACAAGTCCCATCACCCCACCCATCCACTCACTCAGGTCCCCAGACCCTCGCCATCCCCTTCCTTCTCTCTGAACGTGGAGTCTGCTCTTTCTCCTCTTGGTAGGCCTCCGGTCACATTCCTGCCTCAGGGCCTTTGTACTGCCTTTCTCCTTTGCCCTCGCTATTTGCTTGGCTCAGCCCTTCCCTCTCTTCTGTTGTCTACAAAGACCTCCTCTCTGCAGCCTCCCCGTCTCCCTCCCCCCTTTGCCTGACTTGTCCCCACTGCACTTGGCTCCATATGGCAGCACTGTGTGACAGGCTTAGTTATTTGTCTTTCCCACAAACTTTCTAAATGTAAACTCCTGGAGGGCAGGGACATTCCTTTTCCATTTAGTGCTGTACCCCTGATGCCTAAACCAGTGTGTGATCAGTATTTGTTTAATAACTAACACCAGAACAAAACCTGCTTTCATTGGGAAACAAATCTCTCAAAGAATTTTACGGCCAGGCGGCTGGGCGCGGTGGCTCACGCCTGTAATCCCAGCACTCTGGGAGGCCGAGGCGGGTGGATCACGAGGTCAGGAGATCCAGACGATCCTGGCTAACACGGTGAAACCCCGTCTCTACTAACAATATAAAAAATTAGCCAGGGGTGGCAGCGGGCGCCTGTAGTCCCAGCTACTAGGGAGGCTGAGGCAGGAGAATGGCATGAACCCGGGAGGCGGAGCTTGCAGTGAGCCGAGATCGCGCCACTGCACTCCAGCCTGGGCGACAGAGCAAGACTCCGTCTCAAAAACAAACAAACAAAAAAGAATTTTACTGCCGGGCGCGGTGGCTCACGCCTGTAATCCCAGCACTTTGGGAGGCCGAGGTGGGAGGATCACAAGGTCAGGAGTTCGAGACCAGCCTGGCCAACATGGCGAAACCTCACCTCTATTAAAAATACAAAAATCAGCTGGGCATGGTGGCACATGCCTGTAATCCCAGCTACTTGGGAGGCTGAGGCAGGAGAATCGCTTGAACCCGGGAGGCGGAGGTTGCAGTGAGCCGAGACAGTGCCATTGCTCTCCAGCCTGGGTGACAGAGCAAGGCTCTGTCTCAATAAAAAAAAAAAAAAAAAAAAAGGCCGGGCGCAGTGGCTCACGCCTGTAATCCCAGCACTTTGGGAGGCTGAGGCAGGCGGATCACCTGAGGTCAGGAGTTTGAGATCAGCCTGGGAAACACAGTGAAACCCCATCTCTACCAAAAATACAAAATTAGCCAGGCATGCTGGCACATGCCTGTAATCCCAGCTACTCGGGAGGCTGAAGTAGGAGAATCGCTTGAACCTGGGAGGCAGAGGATGTGGTGAGCCGAGATCACACCATTGCACTGCAGCCTGGGGGACAAGAGTAAATCTCCGTCTCACCAAAAAAAAAAAAAAAAAAAAAAAAAGAATTTTACAATACACATTTTCTTCTCTTCCTAGTGTTTTTATGATGGTTTAGCTAGTCCAAGCCATCCATGGCTTATGGGGGCCAAGTGGAGCATTAGTGGTGCGGCGGATTGCAGGCCCAACCCTGAGCCACACAGTCCCTGTATGAAGAGCAAGCCGGTCCACAGCCCCCATTGAGCACCTTTTTCAGTGGTCGCTGATGTCATGTCTAGGAGCAGCAACTGGGAATGTCTTTGAGGAGGATTTATAGTTAAGCAAGTAATCGCTTCACTGTGAGACCTGCTTTGGTCCATGTGCTTTCCTGCGGCTGCCCCAGGCCATGCTGACTGGACCAGATGATTGTGGGTGCACAGCTGAGGGGCTGATGTCTGTCTCCAGCAGAGACAGATCCCACCCCCACTCCTCCTTAGGCTAGTAACACACATCCCATTTAGTGCCAGGGTTGGTGCCAAGAGACCCCACAGAGCTGGGGCGGGGCATTGGGGAGCCCCTGCATGGAAAGCAGAATAGCCAGATGAGGGCAGGGAGGGAGGGAAGGAGACAGAGAGAGGGAGGGGGAAAGAGACAGAGAGAGAAAGAGGGAAGTGGTGGGGAGAGACAGCAGGGAAGCCAAAGGCTGTGGGGAGAGAACAGTGCCAGCCCTTTCCAGGCCCTTTGTCAGCCTCATGCCATCTGCTTGTAAGAAGCTCCCATGGCTTCCAGTGAGTCCTCTTCAGTTTTAGGAGCCTGTGTAGCTTCTACTTGTGAAGGAAATAATGTATACGGTGGTCCATTTCCAAGACAAAGTGCCTTGAATCGGTTTAGGACAGCAAACTACAGAAGAAACAGGATAAACTAGGCCCCTGCTTGCGTAGTCAATGCCGGCTTCTTGTCCCCTCCCCGCCACCCCGCCGCTTAATGGCCCTCACCCGATCCAAAGAAGTTTAGTCTGAGATGAAAGTTTACTAGCCTGCAGAATAGCTTGCTTTGTCTGTTCTTATCAGCCTTCCCAGCTACTTAGGTCATAAATCAAATTCTTAAAGAGCCCCCGAGCTGACTAGGATTGCAATGCATTGTGGGCTGCAACAAAATGTAGCAAGACAACCCTAAAAAAAACACCTACAGCCTCTGCATAACAATCAATAGGTGACATCTGGGAAGACTGTGACCCCCTAGTACTCAGCCTATGAGGAACTGGGGGAGGGACCTGCACACTAGGGGATAAATTGCTTGTTGTGACTGTGCTGGGTGTGCCTGCCTACTAGACACCCGACCTTGCAAGGCCATCATTAAAAGTCTCACTTTCGCTGTTCTCTTGGTCTCTAAGTCCATTCTTTGGGTTTGGACGGGTGAGTTTGTTTCTCACACTTGCAATCAGATGATTCCAGACCAAAGACATTGGCATTTTAGGTGCAGATGTCCAAGCAGGACATCCTGCTGGGTTCCAGCAGACACAGGGCAGACATCATGGATGATCCACCAGGCCCTCAAAGCCAGCTCTCTCCTGGATCCACTTGAGGAAAGGGCTCCAAGCAGCTGTCTGTGGGGCTTCCTGAGCCAGCTGTGCCTGCAAATCAATCCTGTTTCCCCAGACACAGTCACTAGTTGAGGAAGTGTCCTGAGCCAAGGTCTGCACACTGGATGGTCACCTGGGGAGCAAGGAGGTGAGACTCGGGGAGAAGAGCTGCCAAGAAAGAAGCCGAGTGGCAGGTGCTGTGTCTCCAGTGCCATCCCAGCAGAGTGGCTCAGTCTGCTTTGAGGAGCCCCAAAGCGCCCAGCCCAGAAACTCAATTTTTTTAAATGGACAAAAGGGCTGGGCAAGGTGGCTCATGCCTGTAATCCCAGCACTTTGGGAGGCTGAGGCAGGCATATCACTTGAGCCCAGGAGTTCAAGACCAGCTTAGGCAACATGACGAAACCCCGTCTCTACAAAACTACAAAAAAAAAAAAAAAAAAATCAGCTGGGTGTGGTGGTGTGTGCCTGTAGTTCCAGCTACTTGGGAGGCTGAGGCAGGAGGATCACCAGAGCCAAGGAGGTCCAGGCTGTAGTGAGCTGAGATTATACCATTGCACTCCAGCCTGGGCAACAGAGCAAGACCCTGTCTCAAGGGAAAAAAAAAAAAGGCAGGCAAAAGATGTGAACAGACACATTATAAAAGAAAATATAAGTAGAGCAAATAAGTACATGAAAAGTTGTTCAACATCGCTAATCATTAGGGTAATGGAAATCAAAATCACAATTAGATATCGCCTCACATCCATTAGGATGACTACTGTAAAAAAAAAACAGAAATTAACAAGTGTTGGAGAAGATATGGAGAAATTGGAGCCCTTATGCACTGTCGGTGGGAATGTAAAATGGTACAATTTTGCAGTGGCTCACGCCTGTAATCCCAACACTTTGGGAGGCCAACGTGGGTGGGAGGTCAGGAGTTCAAGACCAGCTTGGCCAACATGGTGAAAACCCGCCTCTACTAAAAATACAAAAATTATCTGGGCATGGTGGCAGGCACCTGTAATCTCAGCTTCTGGGGAGGCTGAGGCAGGAGAATCGCTTGAATCTTAGCTACTGGGGAGGCAGAGGCTGCAGTGAGCTGAGATCATGCCATTGCACTCTAGCCTGGGCAACAAGAGTGAAACTCCATCTTAAAAATAAATAAATAACAAAATGGTACAATTGCTGTGAAAAAGAGTTCGGTGGTTTCTCAAAAAATTAAAAATAGGCCTGGTGCGGTGGCTCACGCCTGTAATCCCAGCACTTTGGGAGGCTGAGGCAGGCAGATCACCTGAGGTCGGGCGTTTGAGACCAGACTGGCCAACGTGGTGACACGCCATCCCTACTAAAAATACAAAAAATTAGCTGGGCATGGTGGCACATGCCTGTAATCCCAGCTACTCGGGAGGCTGAGGCAGGAGAATTGCTTGAACCCAGGAGGCGGAAGTTGCGGTGAGCTGAGATCACGCCATTGCACTCTAGCCTGGGTGACAAGAGCAAAAAACTCTGTCACAAAAAAAAAAAAAAAAAAATTAGTCAGGTGTGGTGGCTCACAACTGTAATCCCAGCACTTTGGGAGGCCGAGGTGGGCAGATCATTTGAAGTCAGGGGCTCAAGATCAGCCTGGCCAACCAACATGGTGAAACCCCATGTTACTAAAAATACAAAAATTAGCCGGGTGTGGTGGTGGGCATCTGTACTCCCAGCTACTCGGGAGGCTGAGGCAGGAGAATCGCTTGAACCTGGGAGGCAGAAGTTGCAGTGAGCCAAGATCACGCCACTTCACTCCAGCCTGGGCGGCAGAGTGAGACTCCTTTTCAAAAAAAAAAAAAAAAAAAAAAAAAAAAGATGGTTAAGATGGTAAATTTTATGTTATGTATTTTAAATACAAACAAAAAACAAAAAGAAAACCAGAAGACTGGCCACAGCAGGTGTTAGTGAGAACGCAGAGAAGCTGTAACTCGCGAGAGCTGCTGGGAGTGGTGTGATGGCTTCTTAAAAAGTCAAACTTACTTCTAGTTAAATATTTGTAAAAAAAAAAAAGTCAAACTTGCAGGCACCCTGTGATGCGCCAGGCGAGCCCTGGGCACCTCCCTAGGAGAGGAACACGGATGTGTAAATACCCCGGGGTGGCCCAGGGATCCAACTTTGTTTTTCTCCCTGTAGCTCACAAACAGAGGCTCTATTAAACAATAGACCTTTTCTCGTTGGTTTTGATGTGTGGATGTGATTAAACTCTTTGCTCCATTCCCTTGCGTGTTTCTGGGCCTGTGAAACACCCCGGCTCAGGAGCAGACCTTAATCTCTGGCAGGGTCCGTCCCCCTTCATGTCCTCCTTCACAATTGGACGTGCTATTTTTAGATCTATATTATTTTGTGCAATTTTTAAAATATGTTGTTACAGTCCTCAAAAAATCTTGCTGGAATTAAGATTATTAACATTTTGGATTTCTATATAACTTTAGGAAGACTCGACATCTTTACTATGTTATACCACCTGGTCCACGAGCGTGCTATGTTCCTCCATTTATTTATTATTGTTTTACTTTCTGAGACAGGGTCTCGCTCTGTTGCCCAGGCTGGAGGGCAGTGGTGTGATCACAGCTCACCACAGCCTCGACCTTCCCAGGCTCAAGTGATCCTCACACCTCAGCCTCTTGACTACGCCTGGCTAATTTAAAATTTCTTTTTGTAGACACGGGGTTGCCTTATGCAGCCCAGGCTGGTCTCGAATTCCTGATCTCAAGCGTTCCTCCACCTTAGCCTGGAAAAACGATGGGATTACAGCTGTGAGCCACCACACAGGTCCCCCTCCATTAGTGGGGACTTTAGATTTTCTTTTTAAGTCCTTAAAGAGTTAAGTGTCCTTGGCCAGGTGTGGTGGCTCACGCCTGTAATCCCAACACTTTGGGAGGCTGAGGTGGGTGAATCACTTGAGGTCAGGAGTTTGAGAGGAGCCTGGCCAACACGGTGAAACCCTATTTCTACTAAAAATACAAAAAATTAGCCAGGAGTTGTGGTGGGCACCTGTAATCCCAACTACTCAAGAGGTTGAGGCAGGAGAATTGCTTGAACCCAGAAGGCAGAGGTTGCAATGAGCCAAGATGGCGCCACTGTACTCCAGCCTAGGTGACACAGCAAGACTCCATCTCAAAAAAAAAAAAAAAAGAGTTAAATGTCCTCTATAAATATTTTGTATATTTTTAATTAGTTAAGTGTGTGGTCACCAGGGTGGGAAATGCTCACTGTAAATGTGTGGTCATGGGGGTGGGAAGTGCTCACCGCTAGTATGTGGTCACGGGGTTGGGAAGTGCTCACTGTAAATGTGTGGTCACGGGGTGGGAAGTGCTCACCGCCAGTGTGTGGTCACGGGGTGGGAAGTGTTCACTGTAAATGTGTGGTCACGGGGTGGGAAGTGCTCACTGCTAGTGTGTGGTCACGGGGGTGGGAAGTGCTCACCGCCAGTGTGTGGTCACGGGGTGGGAAGTGCTCACCGCCAGTGTGTGGTCACAGGGGTGGGAAGTGCTCACTGTAAATGTGTGGTCACGGGGTGGGAAGTGCTCACCGCTAGTGTGTGGTCACGGGGTGGGAAGTGCTCACTGCTAGTGTGTGGTCACGGGGGTGGGAAGTGCTCACCGCCAGTGTGTGGTCACGGGGTGGGAAGTGCTCACCGCCAGTGTGTGGTCACGGGGTGGGAACTGCTCACCGCCAGTGTGTGGTCACGGGGTGGGAAGTGCTCACCGCCAGTGTGTGGTCACGGGGTGGGAAGTGCTCACCGCCAGTGTGTGGTCACAGGGGTGGGAAGTGCTCACCGCCAGTGTGTGGTCACGGGGTGGGAAATGCTCACCGCCAGTGTGTGGTCACGGGGTGGGAAGTGCTCGCCGCCAGTGCGTGGTCACAGGGGTGGGAAATGCTCGCCGCCAGTGCGTGGTCACAGGGGTGGGAAGTGCTCGCCGCCAGTGCGTGGTCACGGGGTGGGAAGTGCTCGCCGCCAGTGCGTGGTCACGGGGTGGGAAGTGCTCACCGCCAGTGTGTGGTCACGGGGGTGGGAAATGGTCGCCGCCAGTGTGTGGTCACGGGGGTGGGAAGTGCTCGCCGCCAGTGTGTGGTCACGGGGGTGGGAAATGCTCGCCGCCAGTGCGTGGTCACGGGGGTGGGAAATGGTCGCCGCCAGTGTGTGGTCACGGGGTGGGAAGTGCTCGCCGCCAGTGCGTGGTCACGGGGGTGGGAAGTGCTCGCCGCCAGTGCGTGGTCACGGGGGTGGGAAATGGTCGCCGCCAGTGTGTGGTCACGGGGGTGGGAAGTGCTCGCCGCCAGTGCGTGGTCACAGGGGTGGGAAATGGTCGCCGCCAGTGTGTGGTCACGGGGGTGGGAAGTGCTCGCCGCCAGTGTGTTGTCACAAGTTTAAGGTGAAGGCAGTCAGCCTGGATGTGTGATTTTCTTCAGCAGTCATGGAGGAGAAGGGTTGGGCTCGCCCAGTTGGGTTTTCTAAGTGAATACAGTGGAGAGGGAGCGGGAGGCGAAAAAGCAGAGCCCTGTGTATAAGAGTGAAGAGTGAAGTGTGACGACGGCCCAACAGGGAAGCGCGGGCGGCGAGACAGCCCGACGGGAGATCTCCTGAGGCGGGAGAGTCCCTGCAAGGCGACTGAGCTGCAGGGCAGGAGGTGGAGCTCCACGGATGACTTTTGACGGGGGCCTTTCAGCCCTTTGCGGCTTCTCACAGTTGAGGACCCAGGGAATGTCCAGGACTGAAGGGTGTGCGCCCCTGTCTTCTACTATCGAAGCTTCAGGCTGTTTAGCCTCCGTTTCTCCAGAAATGCCAGTCAGATTCAATTTCCAGAAACGCACCTGGCACTAAGAGAATCTAGAAAACCAGGCTGAACGCAGATTAGAAAACGCCGAATAGAGCACTAGTCGAGCTGCAGCTGAGTGAATTACCGAGTAAAAGTGACAGGACTAAAAAGGTGAGAATAACAGGAGGTGAAGAGACACGAGCCCGCCACAAGAAGGACTGAGGAACAGGGCAGCCCACGTTTTGAGAAGAATGGCTGTATTTCTAGAGTCGAAGAAAAGTGAAATCTCAGACTCGGGAAGCCCAACGTGGTTTGAGAGGGCAAAATTACACCAAACCACACCGAGACGTGTCAGATGGTAACTGCTCTGCACCGAAAGAGACGGGAAGACACCGCTAACTCACAGGGTAGGTCCGCGCGGGAGGCCTCTGGCGCGGCGACGGGGCGGGGCCAGGCGGCTCCCAGCATGCCGCGCGCGCCCTCCGCGGGACTCCGGCTCCCGGCATGCCGCGCGCCAGCGCATGCGTGATGCGGCCTCGCGAGGCAGTGCCCCCTGGCGGCGGGTAGTGACCGCCGCGGGGGCGGAGCCGGAGGCGGGGGGTTGCGCTTGGTGACGGGAGGACGCGCGGCCGCCGCGCACTGGGCCGGCGGCGGCGGCGGAGGACGCCGACAGCACGGGCTGCCGCGGCAGCAGCGGCGGAGCAGCAGAGAGGCCGGGGAGCGGCGGCTGGCTCACGCGCGTCGCGCGGGCCGGGATGAGGGACTGTGGCGGCGCGGCCCGCGCGCAGCCGGCCGGTGAGAGCGCGGGCAACGGGCGGTGGGCGGCGCGGGCCAAGAAGATGGCGGAGGGGCCGGCGCTGCGGTCCCCGTGGTCCTGGCCCAGCCTCGGCGGAGGCTCCAGGCCCGGCAGCGCAAGGAATCCAGGCCCGCGGCGACTGCAGCGGCGGGAGGGGCTGTGACTGGGCCGTGGAGGGAGGGGGCGTGGGTGTGCGGGGCCCGGCCGGGCGGGGGGCGCGGAGGCTCGAGGGGCCGAGGCCGCGCGGGGCCCGGGTGCGCGCCGACGGGCCGGGCTGGGAGTGTGAGGGTGGGTGAGTTCGCGTGTGCCCGGCCCGAAGTGGGTGTGACTGTACCCTGTCCAGAGTGAGTTGTGTCCCTGCCCTAGGTGGGTGTGAGTGTGCCCGGCCCCAATGTGGGTGTGGGTGTGCCCCTGTCCAGAGTGAGTGTGAGTGTGCCCCTGTCCACGGTGGGTATGAGTGTGCCCGGCCCGAGGGGAGTGTGGGTGTGTCCGGCCCCAGGGGGGTGTGAGTGTGCTCCTGCCCGAGGGAGGTGTGAGTGTGCCCGGCCCTAGATGGGTGTGAGTGTGCCCCTGCCCGAGGGGGGTGTGAGGGGACCCCGCCCGTGGTGGGTGTGGGTGCACGTGTGCCCAGCCTGAGCTCGGGGCACCGGCCGCATTCCCGGGCGCCGTCGGAGTGGGGACAAGGTGGATGCCCGCCGGTCGGGTCTGGTGCCCGCGTCCTGAAGGGCGGCCCGGGTGCAGGGCTGCGGTGCGCTGCGGTGCAGCCTCGGGCTTTGTCCCCGGGGCGCAGGGAGCGGACATGGGCGTCTCCAGGTGGGGTCATGGCCGCCTGCGGGTGGGCTCTGCGGCCTCGCCTCTGCGGCAGGCGCGGGCTGGGGCTCCGGCGCTCGGAGCCTTCCCCTCCCGGTTGCCCCCCGAGCTGGAATTCCCTCGGTTGCTTCCCGGTTGCTTCCCAGTTGCTGGAGTGCTGTGGGTGGAGGCGGCGTTCCGTGCCCAGGGCGGCGAGAGAGGCGGGCTGTGCATTTTGGGGCCCAGGACGTTTTTTATTTTAAAACGTGCAGCCGGCTCCTTGGCAGCTGTGGGTGTGTTCCGAGCCGCTTCCCACCAGCAGCTGCTGTGGGCGCTGCGCAGCTTCGGAAACGCAGCCGGGCCCCCTCCCCCTCAGTGCTGTACGGGTTTAACCAGACCTCCAGTGACCTCTGCTGAAAAACCTACAGTGGTGAGGCTTCTCGTGCCTCCTGGTACAACAATACGGAGATTTGTCTTTTGAAGCCAGTGAGGGGAATTGGACGCTGCGTCCTAGGTGCCCTCTATAGACAGCAGGTGGTTCCGTCGGCGGCGCCCGATCCACAAGGAGCAAGGTGCGATTCTCGCGCCGGGGGAGGGAAAGGCGATTTGATAGGAGGTGTGGCTGTAAATCGAGGAGACTCATTCCATAAACCGCCCTGGGCGCAGGCTCTGTAGCCATAAATGCTTGGAGTGAATGAATGGGGGTGGCGCCTCGCTCCCTGCACTTGGTGTAGCCAGCTGTCTTCCTGAGAGGCAGGGGAGCAGAGTGGACAGGAGGGCGGGTTCTGGAGCCAGGCTGCCCGCCTCTGAGTCGCGACTCTTCTGTTTACTGGCTTTGTGGTCTTCGGCAAGGTCTCTGTGCCTTTGGCTTCTCATCTGTAAAATGGGAACACTAATAATATTGGCCTCATAGGGTTGTTGTGAGGACTCAGTAAATTAAGACTTGTGAAACACTTTGTTCGTGGCACACTGTGTTTTAGAAAGTTAGGAATGGTTATTACTGCCAAGATCTGGTGCTTCCGGGGTGCATGTGCTGGGTCAGTGGGTCTTCAGTTTCTCCAGCACTGCCAATGTAATGTAAACTGGAAGTTTACATTAAGCTGGAAGTCTGTGGCGCTGGTTTCTCACACAAGAAAGCTGAGGTCATATTTGGATGAACACATGTTTATAAAGGTAAAAGAGAGACAAGCCTCACATACTTAGATGAATTATTATATAAGATTGTTTTAAGACGTTCTTAGAGAAAAATGGCCAGGTGCGGTGGCTCACACCTGTAATGCCAGCACTTTGGGAAGCTGGGGCGAGCAGATCGCTTGAGGTCAGGAGTTCAAGATCAGCCTAACCAACATGGTGAAACCCCGTCTCTACTAAAAATACAAAAATTAGCTGGGTGTGGTGGCTCACGCCTGTAGTCCTAGCTACTGGGGAGGCTGAGACAGAGAATCGCTTGAACCCAGGAGGCGGAGCTTGCAGTGAGCCAAGATTGTGCCACTGCACTCCAGCCTGGGTGACAGAGCGAGACTCTGTCTCAAAAAAAAAAAAAGAATATTTTATTTTATTTTATTTTTATTTTTAATTTTTGAGACAGAGTCTCGCTCTGTCGCCCAGGCTAGAGTGCAGTGGCACTATCTTGGCTCACTGCAAGCTCTGCCTCCTGGGTTCATGCCATTCTCCTGCCTCAGCCTCCCGAGTAGCTGGGACTACAGGCTCCTGTCACCACGCCTGGCTAATTTTTTGTATTTTTAGTAGAGACGGGGTTTTACTGTGTTAGCCAGGATAGTCTCGATCTCCTGACCTCATGATCCGCCCGCCTCGGCCTCCCAAAGTGCTGGGATTACAGGTGTGAGCCACCGCGCCCAGCCAGTTTTTGCTTGTTTTTGAGACAGGGTCTCACTCTGCTGGCCAGGCTGGAGTGCAGTGGTGCGATCATGGCTCACTGCAGCCTTGACCTCCTGTGCTCAAGGCATCCTCCCACCTTAGCCTCCCAAGTAGCTGGGACTACAGGTGTGTGTCACCACACCTGGCTAATTTTTTTGTTCGGTTTTGTTTGTAGAGATGTGTTTTGCCATGTCACCCAGATTGGTCTCAAACTCCTGAGCTCAAGTGATCCACTTGCCTTGGCTTCCCAAAGTATTGGGATTACAGGCATGAGTCACTGTGCCCAGCCTGCCATTGTTGTTATACTTCTCAGTATTATCCTTGCAACAGAAACGGTGATTTATTAAAATAAACGTTAAGTGACAGGGAGGACATAACAGAAAGTGAGAAGGTGGAATCACCAGCAGTGTAACATTCTGCCTGCTAAGCTGTTGTGAGAAGTAAGAATTTTTTTTTTTTTTTTTTTTTTGAGACAGAGTCTTGCTCTGTTGCCCAGGCTGGAGTGCAGTGGCGTGATCTCGGCTCACTGCAAGCTCCGCCTCCTGGGTTCACACCATTCTCCTGCCTCAGCCTCCCGAGTAGCTGGGACTACAGGCACCTGCCACCACGCCTGGCTAATTTTTTGTATTTTTAGTAGAAACAGGGTTTCACCATGTTAGCCAAGATGGTCTCGATCTCCTGACCTCGTGATCCACCCGCCTCAGCCTCCCAAAGTGCTGGGATTACAGGAGTGAGCCACCGCGCCCGGCCTTTTTTTTTTTTTTTTTTTTTTTGAGATAGAGTCTTGCTCTGTCACCCAGGCTGCAGTGCAGTGGCGAGATCTCGGCTTGCTGTAAGCTCCGCCTCCCAAGTTCACGCCATTCTCCTGCCTCAGCCTCCCGCCACCACGCCCGGCTAATTTTTTTGTATTTTTAGTAGAGACGGGGTTTCACCGTGTTAGCCAGGATGGTCTCGATCTCCTGACCTCGTGATCTGCCCGCCTCGGCCTCCCAAAGTGCTTGGATTACAGGCGTGTGCCACCGCACCCGGCCGAGAAGTAAGATTTAACTTGTTTCAGAACATAGTGGAAAGATTCCCCATATTTCTCAAGGAGATGGTCCTCCTCAAGTCTGGTCACCTCTTCCCTCTGTATCTTAGCTTTACCTTAGAAAATCGCATCTCATCACCTTCATATTGTGTGACACAAAGATTAGGGAAAACCCTTCCACCTTTAGTAGAGTGTTTTGAGATTTGTGACCTTTAAAGTGAGAATATTTAATGTTTAGATAGTGGTAACACAAATAGCCTAAGATAGATTTTTAAATGCCCATCCCAGTTTTGTCTCCTACCTCTCTGCTGGGATGGGCTGTGGAAGCTACATGCTACATGGAGAGTTGGCATGTCCTTGAACAATTTATCAATAGTAGTTCAGAGAATGCAGCCTCCTGGTAGGCTTGTACTGGCTTCTTTGGTGCTGTTGAAAAAAAGTCCATGAAATACGCTCTTATATTGAAACACCTACTTCTACTAGCAAAGCCCCTCTGCTGTGCCTCTTCGTTGACTCAAGGTCCTGCGTCATAGACCTTATGCGATCCGTCTCACAGTTAGCTTTGCAGGTGTCCTGTAAAGACACCACAAGGCATGGCTCAAAAGAGTAGACTCTGGTGTTCAGCCTGTGGAGCAGACTCCCTCGCAGAGCTGGACAGACTCCCTCGCAGAGCTGGACTACCCTGCCTGGCCTGTCTCCTGTCCCTTCTCGTTACCTTTCTTGCTTCAACAAGTGAAATCCTTACCCTCTGACACTGGCTGTCTCTGCTGCCACTGTGCTTGCCTCGTTGTGTCTTTCATCTGCCACTTAGACTTGTTCCCAAGTTTATCTGACAAGTCTTTGCTGTGCCCTGAGGTTGAGTCTGACCCTGACTTCCATACCCTGGCCACACTGTTTCCACCTGCTGTGATCCTCCTCCTCAGCTGGTCTGCACGCCAACTCCTCTGCCACTTCTGCTGTGTTTGGTATCAAGACACCTGAGACCAGGATTTTGCAGGGGTAGTCTTCCCTAAAACTCGTGTTGGTCACTGGTGCCTGCCATCCTGCTAACCCCCTGAAATGTGATGGTGACAAAGTAATTTTATTATCATATATCTGAGTTTTGTTAACATGAAATAGCACCCCCCTCCATTGATAATCTTGTTATGAAACTCGTACCAGTCTTTGACATAGTTCGTGTATTGTGAAAAGAGATTAGTGGCCGCTATTATGATCCATTGGGTGGAATTTTTCTTGGTGCAACATTTAGTGTGGCTTTCCCCTCCTTTTCTTTTGAGTTTTTGGATTTCTGTGGGAAAACCATAATATTTAGCATTAATAATTTTTTTTTCAATTTTGTATGCAAGTGTTTTCCAAGTATTGTTTTGTAGTTTTAAAATCGAACATCTAATTTATGCTCAGTTGTACGTACATTGTAGTGCCACAGACATGCTTTCGGGGAACTTAAAAAGAAAAAATCTGCTACGGATATGAGTCCTTCTGTGATTAAAGGCCTAACCCGTACTCCAGACCAGGGGTCAGTACACTGCAGCCCCCTGGCAGACTCCTCTGCGTGTTTTTGTAAATGAGGTTTTATTCAACAGCTGCGCCTGCTTATTTCTGTGTTTTCTGTATTGTCCATGGCCGCTCTGGCTGAACTGACTCCTTGTGCAGAGGCTGTGCGGCCCGCAAAGCCTAAACCCTTTGTTATCTGGGCCATTTACAGAAAAGTTTGCTTTAGAAGTTTAAAGGGGAGATAATTGCAGGGGGCTGCAGCAGTGAAGGGAGGCTTCAAGACGAGGTGGTCTTCTAGCTGAACCGTACTCAGTGGGATATGAAGAGGGAAGAGTAGGGACATAGCACTGCAGACAGAAGTATTTTCACATTTTGGGAGCAAAGGTGAGAAGGTTGGTTATGTGTGGTTTCTAGCGGTTTAAAGGTTGTGTAAGGAATAATGGGAGATAAGGGTCATAATGAGAAGGTCTTTGAATTCCAGTTAAAGGCTTTAGATTTTAATTTTCTTTTTGTTTTTGAGATGGAGTCTTGCTCTGTCGTCCAGGCTGGAGTGCGGCGGCGCGATCTCGACTCACTGCAAGCTCCGCATCCTGGGTTCACGCCATTCTCCTGCCTCAGCCTCCCAAGTAACTGGGACTACAGGTGCCTACCACCATGCCCGGCTAATTTTTTGTGTTTTTAGTAGACACGGGGTTTCACTGTGTTAGCCAGGATGGTCTCGATCTCCTGACCTCGTGATCCGCCCGCCTTGGCCTCCCAAAGTGCTGGGATTACAGGCGTGAGACACTGCGCCCGGCCTAGATTTTAATTTTCTAGCTAACCGGGAGCCACCGCAGGCAGCTTTGTGAGCAGGGGATGTCCTGATTAATGGTTTAGGGAGATTTAATTGGCAATGTTCTGTAGGATGGGTTGGTGAAGGAAGAAATCCAAATCCAGGAGTTTACTGGACAGCTTTCTCCAGAGCGAGTTGCAGTAGCAACCCCAGCACTGCAGCGCTCACAGCAGCAGAGGCTGATTCCTGCCCGCGTTTCGTTTGCTTGTGACTCTTTTCCAAGAGTCTTCATTTCCAGATCCAGGACCAGGCCTTATGTGGCACATGCTGTTTTTATGGCAAGAGAGTGGCAGAAACCTAGTGTCTTTTCCGGCACCATCCTGGACTGGCATCTCAGGGTCCACGGACCAAAGCAGGGTGTGACGTACAGCCTCCTATGGGGAAGGTGAGCCCCTGCTCGGACGCTGTGCTGAGCAGAGCTGAGGAGCCCGTACCTGCTGTCTGGGCCATCTCACCATGACTGAAGGTGCAGCTGGATGTCTCCCCTCAGCCGCAGATGCTGGACGCTGGAGCCGGCCACCATGCGCGAGAGCCCCTGAGGCGGCTCAGACTCAGCACCCACATTCACTTCTGGCCTCAACCCTTTGGGGCTTTGGGACCTTCACCTGCTTGGTCACCACCTAGAATTTTGGCGTGCTGGGTCCCCCTCTCAGCTGCCATGTGGTACGGCTCCAGGTCCTCTTGCCAGTTCCCCCTGAACAGTGATCAGAACCCCTGCCTGAGTGGGACCTGCACCATGTCCCTCCTGCACTACGCTGTACCTCCTGGGGCTCTCCTGCCCCAGCCTTGAGCCACTCCCCTGTCTCTGCCACATAGCTGCTCAGATGATATAAACAGGGCAGTGATCTCCCCAGGGGTGATTCTGACACCACTCCCCGCCCTCCTGCCACATTTGGCAATATTTGGAGACATTTTTGGTTGTCCCAACTAGGAGGGGATGGCCAAGGATTTGTGGAGGCTGGGGATGCTGTTGAAATCCTACAGTGCACAGGATGGCGCCAGGCTCAGAGCGTCTAGGCGAGTGACTCTGCTGCCTGGCTCTCCTCCCTGGCTCCCCAGTGCCTCCTGGACCATGCTCCACAGCGCTGCGTGACCCCAACCTACTCTGCTCTCCAGAAAAACTGCCATGTGGTCATGGGCCAAGTCTTTCTTGGCGTCCCTCCTTCCAAAACTAAGCCAAGCTCACTGGTTCCTTCAGCCCTTTGACTCAGACTCAGGTAATGTCTGTGGGAGCGCCTCCTGGATCGCTGCCTTGTCCTCAGGTGCTCCACCCCCTCTCGTAGTGCTCTAGGTGGTGCTTTTGGTCACTGCACAATCACATAATATTTTCTCCCCTCTAGACTGGGAAGTCCTTGAGGGCAGCAGATACATTTGTATTTTCTTTTTTTTTTTTTAGAGAGAGAGTCAGGGTGGGTTGTCCAGGCTGGAGTGCAGTGGTATGATCACAGCTCAGTGCAGCCTCCATCTCCTGGGCTCAAGTGATCCTCCCACCTCGGCCTCCGAAAGTGCCAGGATTGTAGACATGAGCCATGGCACTTGGCTGTTTGTGTTCTGAATGTCTTGCTGCAGATTGCAACATTTTCTTTGAGCACTGGCTTCAGTAAAGATGATTGGGTTTAGGATGGGGAGTTGCCCTCAGAGAATGGCTGGCGCAGCAGGGGGAGGGACTCGTTGACACATTTCCCACGTCGGCTGCTTCCATCTTCCTGGGCCTCTCTTGTAACTTGCTTTCCTAAGTGTAAATGTCTTGATTCTCACAGATTCTCTATTTTTGCTTCCTAGAAAGTTTCAATTTTGTTTAACATTTTTGAGCAGATAATATACGTGGTTCAAAAGTACAAAGGGAGCTCAGTGAAGCCTCCTAGTCTCTACCCTGGAACCTGGTTCCCCTGGAAGCTTTGCTGGACCAGCTTCTTGTGTATCCTTCTAGAGATACTTTGTAACTTTGCAAGCAAACAAGTGTATGTATTCTGTTTTTTTCCTTACCCTTTTCTTTTTAAAAAGTTTCTGAACCTTGCCTTTTTCAACTATGTTTGAGAGATCTTTCCATATCAGTACATTTTCCGGTACATTCTTTCCATGGCCGCACTGTATTTGGCTGTATGGAGGTGCTGTGGAATTTTCATGCTGTTACCAGCAAGGCTATAGGCACAGTGTTTTGCAAATGTACCTGTAGGACCCATCCTAGAAATAGCATCTCTTTCTTCAATCACCGTTTATTCCGTCACATCAGGGTTTGCTCTTGTCTCTTAGTGTCTTTATTTCTGCACTTCCTTTGGTCATTTATTTCTCCTAATTATCTCATCTCTCTATATTTTAAATAATATAGTAGGTCAAATTAAATGAATGTCTCAGTTGGAAACTGGTTCACCTTTTGTGTGTTCTTTTGGTTGAGTGACTGGAAATATACACGTCCACGCAGAAGCTTGTCCATGAGTGTTCACAACAGCCAGAAAGTGGAGACAACCTAAATGTCCATCAGCGGATGAACGGATAAACACAATGTGGTCCATTCCTGCAATGGAATATTATTTGGCAATAAAAGGAAGTGAGTTACTGATTCATGTTATAACGTGTGTGAACCTTAAAAATATGCAGGCCAGGCACGGTGGCTCAGGCCTCTAATCCCAGCACTTTGGGAGGCCCAGGCGGGCGGATCATGAGGTCAAGAGATCAAGACCATCCTGACCAACATGGTGAAACCCTGTCTATACTAAAAGTACAAAAATTAGCTGGGCGTGGAGGTGAGAGGTGACAACGTGCTGGCAGCCCTCGCTTGCTCTCGGCGCCTCCTCGGCGTCCGCTCTGGCCACGCTGGAGGAGCCCTTCAGCCAGCTGCTGCGCTGTGGGGGCCTCTCTCTGGGGCTGGCCGAGGCCAGAGCCGGCTCCCTCTGCTCGCAGAGAGGTGTGGAGGGAGAGGCGTGGGCGGGAGCCGGTGCTGTGGCTGGCGCCTGCTGGGCTTGATCTGGGACGAGCTTCCTCTGGGCTGCCGGAGTGCCCGGGCTAGGTGCCGTGAAGTCCCACCATTGAGAGGTGAAGCCGGCTGGGCTTCTGGGTCGGGTGGGGACTTGGAGAACTTTTCTGTCTAGCTAAAGGTTTGTAAACACACCAATCAGCAGTCTGTGTCTAGCTAAAGGTTTGTAAACGCACCAATCAGCACTGTGTGTCTAGCTCAAGGTTTGTAAACGCACCAGTCAGCAGCACGTGTGTCTAGCTCAAGGTTTGTAAACGCACCAGTCAGCAGCACCCGTGTCTAGCTCAAGGTTTGTAAACGCACCAATCAGTGCTCTGTGTCTAGCTAATCTAGTGGGGACTTGGAGAACTTTTGTGTCTAGCTAAAGTATTGTAAATGCACCAATCAGCACTCTGTGTTTAGCTGAAGGTTTGTAAACATACTAATCAGCACCCTGTCAAAACGGACCAATCAGCTCTGTGTAAAATGGACCAATCGGTGGGAGGTGGGTGGAGCCAGATAAGGGAATAAAAGCAGGCCACCCAAGCCAGCAGCGGCAACACGCTGGGGTCCCCTTCCATGCTGTGGAAGCTTTGTTCTTTTGCTCTTCGCACTAAATCTTGCTGGTGCTCACTCTTTGGGTCCGCGCCGCCTTTATGAGCTGTGACACTCACCGAGAAGGTCTGCAGCTTCACTCCTGAAGCCAGCGAGACCATGAACCCACTGGGAGGGAAGAACAACTCCTGACGGGAGGAAGGAACAACTCTGGACATGCTATCTTCATGAACCGTAACACTCACCGCGAAGGTCTGCAGCTTCACTCCTGAAGCCAGGAAGACCACGAACCCACCGGAGGGAACGAACAACTCCAGATGCACTGCCTTTAAGAACTGTAATACTAACCACGAAGGTCTGCAGCTTCACTCCTGAGGCCAGCGAGACCACGAACCCACCGGAAGGAATGAACAACTCCAGACGCACCGTCTTTAAGAGCTGTAACACTAACCACGAAGGTCTGCAGTTTCACTCCTGAAGCCAGGAAGACCACGAACCCACCGGCAGGAACGAACAACTCCAGATGCACTGCCTTTAAGAGCTGTAACACTAACCACAAAGGTCTGCAGCTTCACTCCTGAGGCCAGCGAGACCACAAACCCACCGGAAGGAATGAACAACTCCAGACGCACCATCTTTAAGAGCTGTAACACTAACCACGAAGGTCTGCAGTTTCACTCCTGAAGTCAGCAAGACCACGAGCCCACCAGAAGGAACAAACTCCGGACACACCATCTTTAAGAGCTGTAACACTCACCGCGAGGGTCCGCGGCTTCGTTCTTGAAGTCAGCAAGACCAAGAACCCACCAATTCTGGACACAGTGGCGTACCGGGAGGCAGAGGTTGCAGTTAGCCGAGATCATGCCACTGCTCTGTAGCCTGGTGACAGAGTAAGACTCTGTCTCAAAAAAAAAATGCTAAGTGAAAGAAGCTGGAGACATACTGTATGATTCTAATGGCATTGGTGGCTTGTCTGGAGTGGCTGCTGCCATGACGCTGGTTGCAGCTGGGGAGGCTTGGGGCTGCATGGTCCATGGAGCTGGTGGGAACTGGGAACAGGCAGGAGCTGCACCCCCTTCCAAGTTGGAGGGGTGGGAGCCTGGCCCTCCTGGGCACAGCTGCAGCTGCCTAGCTGTGGCTATGGACCCAGACATCCCTGCTCTCTCGGGGACTCAGGAAGCCCCCCTTCCCCTGCAGACTCAGAAGCAGGCCAGCCTCCTCCCGCTACCTGGCCTCTCCCTGCTCCTGGTCCCCACGTCAATTTTGGAACAAAGTTGAGGCTGAGCCCAGGCACTGTTGCAACCTGGCCAGGTGTACATGCACTTGGGGCAAAACTGACATGCCAGCCCCCTGCCTTCTCGGCCGCCTTCGGACTTTGGGTGCCGACGAGCGAGCACAGGAGGGAGCCCGAGGAGGGGCTGAGGGCAGCTTGGTGCAGGCCTGCAGGAGCCCCTCAGCACAAATAGCCTGGGCACCATGGACGGCAGGTTGATGGTAGCAGGAGGCAGACAGGCTCCTGGGTGAAAAGGGGCAGGTCCCTGATGAAGCCCCATGTTCAAGTCAGGGACAGCCTGAAGCCTGGGGGCTGGGCTGCCAGTTCCATGGACCAGAGTAAGAGTTTATGGTGCTTTTTCTGGGCCTGCCCATGGCCACCCGTGAACCATTCAGCACATACTTTCTCCCCTCTGAAGCCCATAAAAACCCTGGACTCAGCCAGACTCAGGCAAACAACAGGACAGCCTGCCTGCAGATAGGATAGGAGCTAACCAGTCCGAGTCTCCTCTCTGCTGAGACCTGAACAGTCGTCAAGACAACCCGTATGCGGAAAGGAGCTACCCACTGTGGGTCTCCCAAGAGCTGTTCTGTCGCACAGTGAAGCTCCTCTCCACCTCGCTCACTCTCCAGTTGTTCACGTACCTCATTCTACCTGGACATGTGACAGGAACTTGGGACCTGCTGAATGGCGGGACTAAATGAGCTGCAACACAAACAGGGCTGAAACACACACTCCCCCCGACCACCGCCCCCCACCACTCACCACGTTGCAGGTAATGAAAAGGAGAGAAGAGCTGCAGCACTTTGGGGAGCCCAGACCTAGGGTCTCCTCGAGCCAGGGCTGTGACACCCTCTTTGGGGTTCTGTGGTTCCTGGCATCTCCAAGCTTCTGGATGCCACTGCATTCCCCTCATCCAGATGCAGGTGCCCACAGTGGAAGCCACATGCAGTACATCTGGTCAAGCCGCAGCCTCGCACAGAGCTGGCACCTGGAGCAGCCTGCCCCGCTGCAGCTGGCATGCCTGGCTATGCACGGTGGCCTGACCCTGCGCTTGCTTGCCCACACACCCCTTGCCACTTTGCACCTGGCTTGCACTTGGCAGGTGTGGGATCTGGGCCGGTAGTGTGAGCTGAGAGCAGTCTGCCGGCCTGAGTGGGCGGAACAATCCCAGTGGGCATGAGCAATACTCAGGCAGAAGGCACCACTGGCCACAGCGGTTTCTGGCTGGTGAAGCGACACCCCAAGGATCTCATGACAATTCCGTTTATGTGAAGTGTCCAGAAGAAGTGAATCTGTAGAGATAGAAAGTAGATTAGTGGTTGCCAAGGGCTAGGGGATGACAGCCAAGAGGTATGGAATTTCTTTTAGCATAATGAAAATATTCTAAAATTGACTGTGGTGAAGGTTGCACATATCTGTGAATATACTAAAAATAACCTAAAATCATATACTTTAATTGGGTGAATTGTATGTAATGTGAATTCTATCTCAATGAAGCTGTTAAAAACAGGAGTGACTAGGATTTTTCAGAAGAGAACATTCCAAGGTGAGAGTCAGAAGGCTGCATGCCCGCAGAGGGCCTTGGTGCGGGTGTGTTCTTGGGGGCTGTGGCAAGGCGATGAGTCCCTGATCAGTTTCTTTTCTTTCTTCCTCTTTTTTTTTTTGAGACAGGTTCTCAATCTATCACCCAGGCTAGGGGGCAGTGGCATGATATCTGCTCACTGTATCTTTGACCTCCTGGGCTCAAGCGATCCTCCTGCCTCAGCCTCCCAAGTAGCTGGAACAATAGGTGCATGTCACCATGCCCAGCTAATTTTTGTAATTTTTGTAGAGGCAGGATTTCACCCTGTTACCCAGACTGGTTTTGAACTCTTGGGCTCAAGTGATCCTCCCGCTTCTGCCTCCCAAAGTGCTGGGATTACAGGCATGAACCACTGTGCCTGGCCCCTGATCAGCGTCAAATTTCAGGTGGTAGCGATGCTACACTGGTCTCCGTGCAGAAGACTTGAGTTAAACATTGACTTAATCGCTGCCTGTGTGATTGAGCACAGATAAGTCAGTTAAGCACTCGAGCTCTTATCTGCAGATAAGATGCTTGTCCTGCTTATTTGTTCAAGGTTGTTGTGAAGCTGAAGAATGGCTGAGTCTCAGTGGGTTCTGTAAATTACTGTTATTTGTGTATAATAGGAGTTTTAAAAATTAATATCAACACTAAGAGGCTGATGAACCAGCCTCTTGCAGGCTGGTCTAGGCGCACACAGAGCACAGTTGATGGTGGTGTAGACAGATGTGAGGCGTGGGAGCACTGCTGTCTCCCCAGCTCCTGGCAGCCAGGGTGCTGGACACAGGGTCCAGAACCCCTTGTCTGGCCAACAGTGTTTGAGTCTATTTTCCTTTCTTGCCATGCTCCTTTCATCTTTCCTGCCTTTTCTCTTGATTATTACTTTAAACTACTAGAGGCCCCAACACTATCCTGACAGAGTGGCTGATGCTTCCTTCATGGGTTGAGTTTACTGTTAGCCTTGAGATACTCCTAGTGGTTTTCTGTTACGGTCCCTTCAAGCATTCCCTGGGATCACAGAGGTGGCCAGCATGTTCCTCCTGCCACTCAGAGCTGTGCTGAAGCCTCTGCAGTGTAAGTTTCCCCGGAATCTGACTGCCTGCTGCATGTGTGGCTGATAAAGGGGAGCAGCTTCTGAAACTCTAGGTGCTGTTTCTATTTAATTGCGGCTGTGTTGACCTTTTATTTTCTATTCAGAATTCAGGCGTGCTGTGGAAATTCCCACATGTGGGAGGGGGTAGTGCTGTGACGTCCCTGAGACCCTCGTTTACAGCATGTGCCGGAATCACAGACGGCGTCCAGGAACAGTGTGGGGCTTTCTGCCCAAGGCCACTGGGGCCCAGGATGAGCCTCACTTGGGCGGAGCCTGTCTCCATTGCTCTGGCAGGGCTCTCACACCTGGTCTTGTGTTTGCCAGGCCCACCCACACTCATCTCGCCCCTGTCTTTACTGTTGCCTGTATGTGCCAGCCACTTGCCAGTCAGATACCCCCGACAGGGAGGAGACAGACCAGGCCTCTGGTGGGGGACACGGGAGTGAGTTGTGCTAACATCCTGTGGACAGCAGAGGTGGCCGTGTGCCTGGGGTCGTAGGGAGAACCCTAGGGTGGCTGGCCGGGAGGGGCGTGGAGTTCAGGTAGGCTTTCTGGAGAAGGGGTGTCTTGTCTGGAAAGGAGGAGTATCAGCAGCTGAGCCTTGGGCTATTCACCAGGCACAGAAAGAGCCTCAGGCGGGAGGGATGTGTGGCCGGAGCCGGCAGCTCTGTGACTGGAGTGTTGGCGAGAGCCCAGGTGAGCAGGCATCTGGGGGTCAGGGAGCAGGTGGGAGGGTGGTGTTTGCAGCGTGTAGAGTGACACTGTCTCCTGAAGGGGAGCACTTCTCAGCTTGAGCCCCACCTTCCGAGTCAGCATGCAGTTAGGAAGAGTGAAAGGGTTGGCAATAGCTTCTTTCTAACTCCAGCTTTATTCGTTCATTTCTTTTGCGGAAAACATCAGAACTTACGTGAAGTTATTATCCACCCTTGACCCATTCTGATGTATTTTAAATGGTAAGTCATTTGCAGAATCTGCCTGTTGGTGACCCTGTGCCCCTGGCTGGGAGATGCTGCAGGGCAGAGACTCTTGTCAGTGACCCGCAGAGCCTGGCATGGGTGAGACACCCAACATAGGCCTCATTCCACAGAGAGAACTGACATTAGGATTTACAAACTGGAATTAATTAGCATGTGCTTGGTATGTGAAGGGCCCTGGTTGGGTTTCGGGAGAAGCTTGGCGGCCCTGAGGCTTGGCAGCACTGTGTGTCCTGAGTGTGAGCACATGTGTGTGGTGGGGGTCTCTGGTGTGGGAGGAGGGAGCAGCACCAGGCAGCGTCATCAGAGCTGGATTAGGTGGTCGTGCCTTTCTGGTCATCCATTCCATGGATAACTGAGTGCCGGTCAGTGGTGCTCGGGGCTGGCAGTGCAGGGGTAAAGCGTTTGTCTCTTGAAGCTCAGAGTCTAGTGCAGGAAACAGATACACACAGTTGGCAGCTGCGGTGTGTGGTCTGAAGGACGGGGATGAGGCTGTGACAGCAAATCTAGCATGCTTCATTTAGATGAGGAGCTCAGGGCAAGCCTCCAGGAGGGAGATTGAGTCTGGGGCCTGCAGGAGAAGATGGTGGGGATCAGCTCATGTGGCAGCCCTGGGGTTAGCAGGACCGGATGGCAGGAGCCCAGGGAGCCTGGAGCAGGGCGGGAGGCAGGACAAGTGAGGCAGCCAGCCAGACTGCACCAAGAGCCCACCCAAAATAGTCTTCTTGAAGCCTTGCCCAGGCTTTTATGTCCGGAGCACATCAAGGAGACTGACAGGAAATACAGAAATGGTTGAGCCACCTGTGGTTTAGGTGAATGACAGTGGGGCTGAGGCTGAGGGGAGATGGCAGAGGTGTGGGATTCAGAGGCTCGATGGCCCGGTGAGGAGGGTGATGGAGCAGTGTGGTGAACCCGGGCACAGCCTCCTGGTCCCAGGTGCTGATCCTGCTTCCCGGTACACTCTAGCACGCGTCCGAGCTCTGTTGCTTTTTACAGCCGCCTGGTCCCAGGCCCTCATCCAGCTTCCCGGTACGCTCTAGCATGCGTCCGAGCTCTGTTGCTTTTTACAGCCGCCTGGTCCCAGGCCCTGATCCTGCTTCCCGGTACGCTCTAGCATGCATCCGAGCTCTGTTGCTTTTTATTGCTGAGGGACGTTCCGTTGTACAGGTCAACCCCGTTTCCTTTAGACTTTCATCCATTGCTGGGCATTTTGAGTTGTTTCCATATTTGACTATTATGAATATTTGTGTAGTTGCTGGGTCATATGGTAATTCTATGTTTACTTTTGAGGAAATGCCAAACTGTTTTCCAAAGCAGCTGCCCCGTCCTACGTTTCCACAGCGATACATAAGGTTCCAATGTTTCCACATCCTTGACAATACTTGTGATTGTTCATCCTTCTGATTAAAGCCATCTCAGTGGATGTGAAGTGACATCTCAGTGATTTTTATTTGTATTTCCCCAATGGCTAATGATGTTGAGCATCTTTTCTTGTGTTTGTTGACCATTTGTCCATCATCTTTGCAGAAATGTCTATTCATATCCTGTCCCATTTTTCAAATGGGCTACTTATCCTTTATGACTGAGTTATGTGTTTTTTATATATTCTGTATACAAGTGCCGGATCAGATATATACAATTTACAAATGTGTTCTTCCATTCTGTGGGTTATTTTTTCTTTTTTTCTTTATTTTTTGCAGTACATAAGGCCTTGGAATTTTTATCTTTTTTTTTTTTTTTTTTTTTGAGACCGAGTCTCGCCCTATCATCCAGGCTGGAGTGCAGTGGTGTGATCTTGGCTCACTGCAAGTTCCATCTCCTGGGTTCACGCTATTCTCCTGCCTCAGCCTCCTGAATAGCTGGGACTACAGGCGCCCGCCACCACGCCCAGCTAATTTTCTGTATTTTTAGTAGAGATGGGGTTTCACTGTGTTAGCCAGGATGGTCTAAAATCTCCTGACCTCGTGATCCACCCGCCTCGGCCTCCCAAAGTGTTGGGATTATCAGCATGAGCCACTGTGCCTGGCTTACATTTCTATTTTTTATACATTGCTTTATATCATTTTGATATACATTTAGGTGTTTGATCCATTTTGAGTTAATTTTGTTCATGTGTGAGGTAAGGTCCTGCTTTGCTTTTTTAACACAGTTGCTTGGCACCATGTGTTGGAGAGATTGTTCTTTCTTTCTGTCATTGAAATGTCTTGGCACCTTTGTCAAAAATTACTTGATCATAAATTTGAGGGTTTATTTCTGAACTCAACTCTGTGCTGTTGTCCTGTGTATCTGTCCTCATGCCCGTGCCACGCTGTCTTAATTATGGTAGCTTTGTGAGAAGTTTCAAGTCAGAAGGTGTATCCCATTTTGTTCTTTTTCAAGATTGTTTTGGCTATCCTGGTGGATCCCTTGAATTTCCATATGAACTTCAGCCTGTCAGTTTCCTCAAAAAAGCAAGCTCATTGTTTTTTTTCAGCAAGCTTGACTTTGATAAGGATCTATTAAATTCTGTTGATCAGTGTGGAGTGTTCTGCCATCTTACTAATGTTGTCTTTCATTTCATGAACATGGAATGTCTTACCATTTATTTAGGACTTCTTTAATTTCTTTCAACAATGTTTTGTAGTTTTCAGTATATAAGTGCATTTCTTTTGTTAAATTGATTCCTAAATATTTTACTCCTTCTGATGTTATTCTAAATGGAATTGTTTTCTTAACCTTATTTTCAGAGTTTTTCATTGCCAATGAGTCTTCTAAAAAATACTTCCTCTTCCTGCTAAGTATTGGTTTTTATTTTTTGTTATGTTTTGTTTTGAGACAGTCTCACTCTGTCACCACCCATGATGGAGTGCAGTGGCGCGATTTTGACTCACTGCAGCCTCAACCTCCTGGGCTCAAGCTCTCCTCCCACCTCAGCCTCCTGAGTAGCTGGAACTACAGGTGCATGCCACTGTGCTCAGCTAATTTTTGTATTTTTGTAGAGACAGGATTTTGCCATGTTGTCCAGGCAGGTCTCAAACTCCTGGGCTCAAGCAGTCCTTCTGCCTTGGCCTCCCGAAGTGCTGGGACTACAGGTGTAAGCCACTGCACCTGGCCTTAAAATTTCCTTTCTGAAAAAATGGGGAGGAAACAAATATATATATAACTTCTATTCCATCCTCTAGTGTGCCAGTTTTTAGGGGACCAAGAATTCACTAGCTTTTTTGAGTCCTGAATGGAGGTTAAAAAAAAAAAAGGCTGTGAACACAATTCCATGAAGCACATACTGGCATTTTCAGCTCGCCCAATGGTTTGAACATTGCTTTGTCAGAAGAAGCCGTCACTCTCCATAAAGTCTAGGAAAAATGTTTTGAAGATAAATGTTGCCCATTTTCATTGCTGTTGGCATTGTTACTGTAATCTGATGCTTATGCTCTGAACACATTCTGTGTTTTTATATAATTTATACCTCAGAACAATGCATGCAGTGGGTGCTCTTGGTCCTGTTTCATAGATGAGGAAACCAAGGTTGGAGAGGGCTGTGACCCACCAGGGTCACACAACTAGTAGGCGGAGCCAGGATTCAAGTCCAGGTGCCATGACTCCTGAACTTTCCCTCTTACCACAGTCACACTTCTTCTCCTGTCCTGTCATCTCCGTGACCTTAGGGTGTAAACAGTTTGTTTATTGAGACTTAGTGTACACAGAAGATGTCCCAGGTGCCGGGACATCCCAGGGAGGAGGACAGGCCAAGCCCCTGCTCTCTTGGAGCTTATGTTCTCCCAGGGCAGGGAAAAGCAGACACGTGACATGTGACATCTGCAGTAGTTGGTAGGTGTCAGTGCTGCAGAGACAGGATGAGGGAGGGCCTGGAGATTGGGAAGGGGGTGGGGTCAGGTGGGCCTCAGTCACAAAGACACTTCATTTGGGCAGGTGAAGGAAGTAAACCACTTGTGGGGGAAGGAGTGCAGGCAGAGGGAATGCCCAGTGCAGAGGCTGGAGGGAGGGTCAGAGTGAGCCTGCAGTGCTGGAGGGCAGCCTGTGAGGTGGGAGCAGGAGGGCATCCAGGCTGCCTGGGGACAGGCAATGGGGGTGCGGGTGGGCTTGGAGCATCAGGGTGCTGCATCTGCCTTGTCTCTTTCTTTTTCACTTTGGGGATAAATTTTAATAGAATGTGAGTCTGAACTCTTATATTTAGAATAAACAAAACATTAAAATTGATTGGTTCGAAATGGTTTTATGGAAAAATTAATCTGTAGCAGAAACTTGGCCTTGCGTGCAAAGGTTCTACCATTTTTTGAGCAAAGTTTACAAAGGTTCAAAGGGACAGGACCAAGGAGGAGGGGCTTGGACATTTCCCACAGCAGGCATTTTATCTTCCTCTTTTTCACGGGAGGTGGGCAGAGGCCTGTTTGGGTCGCTTTGAACACTGTATTGGGGCTTTGCTGTGAGAACTGGAGCACTCCGGGTGTTGTCCAGCACTGATCGCCTTTAGCCATGTGTATTAGTCCATTTTCAAGCTGCTGATAAAGACATACCCAAGACTGGGGAGAAAAAGAAGTTTAATTGGACTTACCGTTCCACATGGCTGGGGAGCCCTCAGAATCATAGCGGGAGGTGAAGGTCACATCTTACATGGCGGCAGCAAGAGAAAATGAGAAAGAAGCAAAGGCAGAAGCCCCCCATAAACCCATTAGATCTCGTGAGACTTATTCACTATCACGAGAATAGCACAGGAAAGACCAGATCCCATGATTCGAGTACCTCCCCCTGGGTCCCTCCTACAACACATGGGAATTCTGGGAGATACAATTCACATTGAGATTTAGGTGGGGACACAGCCAAACCATATCATTCCACCCCTGGCCCCTCCAAAACTCATGTCCTCACATTTCAAAACCAATCATGCCTTCCCAACAGCCCCCCAAAGTCTTAGCTCATTTCAGCATTAACCCAGAAGTCCACAGTCCAAAGTCTCATTTGAGACAAGGGAAGTCTTTTCTGCCTGTGAGCCTGTAAAATCAAAAGCAAGCGAGTTAATTCCAAGATACAATGGGGGTACAGGTTTTAGGTAAATACAGCAGTTCCAAATGGGAGAAATTGGCCAAAAGAAAGGGGTTACAGGCCCCTTGCAAGTTCAAAATCCAGCAGGGCAGTCAAATTTTAAAGCTCAAAGTGATCTCCTTTGACCCCAGGTTTCACATCCAGGTCATGCTGATTCAAAAGGTGGGTTCCCATGGTTGGACAGCTCCACCTCTGTGGCTTTGCAGGGTATAGCCTCCCTCCTGGCTGCTTTCACAGGCTGACGTTTAGTGTCTGCAGCTTTTCCAGGCACACGGTGCAAGCTGTTGGTGGATCTACCATTCTGGGGTCAGGAGGATGGTGGCCCTCTTCTCACAGATCCACTAGGCCATGCCCCAGTAGGGACTCCAACCCCACATTTCCCTTCTGCACTGCCCTAGCAGAGGTTTTCCATGAGGGCTCCATCCCTGCAGCAAACTTCTGCCTGGGCATCCAGGCGTTTCCATACATCTTCTGAAATCTAGGTGGAGGTTCCCAAACCTCAATTCTTGACTTCTGTGCACCTGTAGGCTCAACACCACATGGGAGCTGCCAAGGCCTGGAGCTTCCACCCTCTGAAGCCGCAGCCTGAGCTTTATGTTGGTCTCTTTCAGCCACGATTGGAGAGGCTGGGACAGAGGGCACCAAGTCCCTAGGCTGCACATAGCACAGGGACCCTGGGCCTGGCCCACAAAACTACTTTTTCCTCCTGGGCCTCTGCACCTATGGTGGCAGGGGCTGCCATGAAGGTCTCTGACATGGCCTGGCGACATTTTCCCCGTGGTCTTGGGGATTGACATTCAGCTCCTTGCTACTTATGCAAATTTGTGCTGCTGGCTTGAATTTCTCCTCAGAAAATGGGTTTTTCTTTTCTACTGCATCATCAGGCTGCAAATTTTCTGAACTTCTATGCTCTGTTTCCCTTTTAAAGTGGAATGCTTTTAACAGCACCCAAGTCACCTTTTGAACACTTTGCTGCTTAGAGATTTCTTCTGCCAGATACCCTAAGTCGTCTCTCTCAAGTTCAAAGTTCCACAGATCTCTAGGGCAGGGGCAAAATGCTGCCAGTCTCTTTGCTAAAACATAACAAGAGAGTCATCTTTGCTCCAGTTCTCAACAAGTTTGTTATCTCCATCTGAGACCACCTCAGCCTGGACCTTATTCGTATCACTATCGGCATTTTTGTCAACCGTTCAACAAGTCTCTAGGAGGTTCCAGACTTTCCCACATTTTCCTGTCTTCTTTTGAACCCTCCAAACTGTTCCAACCTCTGCCTGTTACCCATTTCCAAAGTCGTTTCCACATTTTCAGGTATCTTTTCAGCAACACCCCACTCAAGTACCAATTTACTGTATTAGTCCATTTTCATGCTGCCAGACTGGGAACAAAAAGAAGTTTAATTGGACTTACAGTTCCACATGGTTGGGGAACCCTCAGAATCATGGTGGGTGGTGAAAGGCACTTCTTACATGGTGGTGGCAAGAAAAAATAAGGAAGAAGCAAAAGTGGAAGCCTCTGATAAACCCATCAGATCTCGTGAGACTTATTCACTATCGCGAGAATAACACAGGAAAGACCAGCCCCCGTGATTCAATTACCTCCTCCTGGGTCCCTCCCACAACATGTGGGAATTCTGGGAGTACAAGTTGAGATTTGGGTGGGGACACAGCCAAACCACATAACCATGGCTGAGTCCTGCAGCTCCATCTCCCATTACCACACATTGGATGGCCTGTCTCTGGGGCTAGCAGCCAGGTGCTGAGGCAGGAAGTGGCAGAGTCCTGGGGCCACTGTTTACGTGGCCTTGCCCTTCACAGAATGGAAGCTGAAGTTGGGTAGTGGCCATCACCCAAAGCTGGGGAAAACTGCTGCCTTGTCTGTTTTAAAAGGATCCTGCTGGCTGCCATGTGGAGGGAGGGAAGAGGAGACCAGTTAGGAGCTGACCGCAGCAACCCAGGCTCTACTCAGGTGGCAGAGGTGGAGGGGATAGGCTGTTGGAATCTGGAAATAGTTTTTATTTTTGTCCTCATTTTTTTTCTTTTTTTTGGGGGGACAGAGTCTCACTCTGTCACCCAGTCTGGATTATAGTGGCATGATCTCAGCTCACTGCAGCCTCCGCCTCCTGGGTTCAAGCAATTCTCCCACCTCAGCCTCCCAAGTAGCTGGGACTACAGGTGCACACCACTATGCCCGGCTAATTGTTGTATTTTTCGTAGCGACAGGCTTTCACCATGTTGCCCAAGCTGGTCTTGAACTCCTGGCCTCAAGTGATCCGCCTGTCTCAGCCACCCAGCGTGCTGGGATTACAGGCATGAGCCACTGCACCTGGCTCCTCATTTGTTTTAATCTTGTTTATTGAGTTTTCTGCACCTATCTTGAAGTTAACCAATAAAGTTTCCTGGTAGAAGCCCAGGAGTTCAGTTTGGACATGCTGCATTTATGAGCCTGAAGTATTGGAGATGGTGGTCAGAAGTTGTTCGTGGAGTGTCGGTTGGGGAGTCCTGAGCATAGAGATGAAGGGCCTGCCTGAGCCTAGGGGAGGCCTCCCGGGGAATGGGTGTAGCTGGAGAGGGTACCTGGGGCTGAGCGTGGAGCCTCCTGCCACGTGAGGCCTAGGAGCAGGAAGGAGGCTGCTGTGGTTGGCTGTGGTTTGTTCAGTCCCGCCAGGTCTTGTGTTGAAGTTTAATCCCCAGTGTTGGAGGTGGGGCCTGGTGAGAGGCGTTGGAGACATGGGGTGGCTCCCTCATGAGTGGCTTGGTCCGTTCTCTCAGGAGGGACTTCTCACTCAGTTCCCTTGAGAGCTGTCTCTCTCTTGCTCCATCTCTCATTGTGTGATCTCCACATGCCAGCTCTCATTCCTGTCTGCCAGGAATGGAAGGTTCCTGAGGCCTCACCAGAAGCAGACGCTGGTGCTGTGCTTCCTGTACAGCCTGCAGAACTGTGAGCCAAATAAACCTTTTTTTTAAAAAATAAATTACCTAGATTCAGGTATTCCTTTATAGCAGCACAAACAGGGGCTTTAGTGACCAAGAGGCCAAGTGAGGAAGGTTAACCAGGGAGGAGAGAGTGGTCCAAGGTGGATAATAGGGAGGGGGGAGTGGGCCAAGGGGGATAATGGGGAGGAGGGAGCAGTCCAAGATGGATAATGGGGGGTGGGGAGTGACCCAAGATGGATAATGGGGAGGTGAGGAGCGGCCCAAAGTGGAAAATGGGGAGGACTGGTCCAAGGTGAATAATGGGGAGAAGGGAGTGACCCAAGGTGAGTAATGGGGTGTGGGGAGCAGTCCAAGGTGGATAATGGGGGTGGGGGATAGGCCCGAGGTGGATAATGGGGAGTGGGGAGTGGTTCAAGGTGGATAATGGGGAGTGGTGAGCGGTTTAAGGTGGCTAATGGGGATGGGGGGAGTGGCCCAAGGTGGATAAGGGGGAGGGGGAAACAGTCCAAGGTGGATAATGGGGAGGAGGGAGCTGGCCAAGGTGGATAATGGGGAGGCGGGTAATGGCCCAAGGTGGATAATAGGGAGTGGGGAGCAGTCCAAAGCGGATAATGGGGAGGAGGAGTGATCCAAGGTGGATAATGGGGAGTGGGGAGCGGCCCAAGGTGGATAATCGGGAGGGAGAGTGGTCCAAGGTGGATAAGTGGGAGGGGGAGCGGTCCAAGGTGGATAATGTGGAGGAAGGAGGGGTTCAAGGTGGATAATGCTGACGGGGAGCAGTCCAAGGTGGATAATGGGGAGGGGAGGAGTGACCCAAGGTGGATAATGGGGAGGCGGGTAGCGGCCCAAGGTGGATGATGGGGAGGGGAGAGCTGTCCAAGCTGGATAATAATGGGGAGTGGAACGTGGTCCAAGGTGGATAACGGGGAGAGGGGAATCGCTCTAAGGCGGATAGTAGGGAGGGGGAGTGGTCCAAGGTGGATAAACGGGGAGTCGGGGAATGGTCCAAGGTGGATAATGGGGAGGAAGGAGGGGTTCAAGGTGGATAATGCTGACGGGGGAGCGGTCCAAGGCGGATAATGGGGAGGGTGGAGTGATCCAAGGTGGATAATGGGGAGAGAAAGTGACCCAGGGTGGAAAATGGGGAAGGTGAGCGGTCCAAGTTGGATAATGGGGAAGGGGAGCAAGCCAAGGCAGATAATGGGGAGTGGGGAGTGGTCCAAGGCAGATAATGGGATGTGGGGAACGGTCCAAGGTGGATAATGGGGATGAGGGAAGAGGCCCAAGGTGGATAATGGGGAGGGTGAGCAGTCCAAAGTGGATAACGGGGAAGAGGAAGCTGTCCAAGGTGGATAATGGAGATGCGGAAAGGGGGGCGGGGTGGGGGGTTGTCCAAGGTGAATAGTGGGGAGAGGGAGCAGTTCGAGGTGGATAATGGGGAGGAGGGAACAGTTCAAGGTGGATAATAGAGACACAGGAGGGGTCCAAGGTGGATAATGGAGAGGCGGGTAGTGGCCCAAGGCTGCAGTGAGCTGTGATCACACCACTGCACTCCAGCCTGGGCAACACAGCAAACCCCGTCTCGTTCATTCATTCATTTGTATGGTGGCTCCCACCTATAGTCTCAGTATTGTGGGAGGCTGAGGCGGGCAGATCAGTTGAGGGCAGGAGTTCGAGACCAGCCTGGTGGCCAGATGGCCTCAGGCCTTGGGCTGGTGTGAGGATTGGGAGGGGAGAAAGGGGAAGGCTGGTTAGAGGCTGTTTTCCTCTGAATGTGTTTAGCGGCAGGTGTGGATGGGGAGTGCTGGGTTAACCACAGGTGTTTGCCAGGTAAGCATGGGCCCAAGAGAGTTGAGACTATCACAGGAGTGAGGGTGCTGTTCCTGTTAGAAGGAAAGAGACCGAGGCCAGGTGGCTGGTGTGTGGAGCCCACCTCTGCAGGAGTGTCACGCGCGAATGCGCAAAGAGGAGCCGGGGAGAGGCTGAGATGTTGCTCACAGAGCTTTGGGAGCCTTGTGTGTGTAGAGTGGAATGGCCTCCTCCTGTGTGTAGAGTGGAATGGCCTCCTCTGCTCCACACTGCCTGTGTGTGAAGGGGCCATGGTGGTCCCGGAGTGGGTGAAGCTGCTGGGACCCTGTGTAGGACTGCATGTGTTTTCACGGCGGTGCTGAGAGGGCCGTCTGCAGCCAGACTGGACTGCAGCCTCCATCTCCTGGGCACAGGTGATCCTCCTGCCTCAGTCTCCTGAGCAGCTGGGACTACAGAGTCGTGTGCCACCATGCCTATTTTTTTTTTGAGATGGAGTCTCATTCTGTCACCCAGGCTGGAGTGCGATGGCACAATCTCAGCTCACTGCAAACCTCCACCTCCCAGGTTCAAGCAATTCTCCTGCCTCAGCGTCCCGAGTAGCTGGGACTACAGATGGACACCACCACTCTCAGCTAAGTTTTTTTTGTATTTTTAGTAGAGACAGGATTTCACCATGTTGGCCAGACTGGTCTCAAACTCCTGACCTCAAGTGATCTGCCTGCCTCGGCCTCCCAAAGTGCTGGGATTATAGGGGTGAGCCACCCACCCAGCCTTTTAAAAAATTATTCATTTATTTATTTAGAGATGGTTTTTATTGGAACAGAGCAGAAGTAGGAAGTCAGTCTGGGCCAAGATCCTGAGAGAAGTGTTTTCTAGAGCCTGCTGTCCTATGTGTGGCTGCTGAGCACGGAATCATGGCTTGCAAGACTGAGTATTAAATATTACTCAACTTTACTTTAAGCATAGTGACAAGTGACTAGTGTGTTGCACAGTGCAGTTCCAAGGAATGTGCTCATGCAAGGATTGTCCCTTTATTTTAGAGGCACCAGTGAATGCTTATCACGATGAAAGTGATGTGACCTTGGCTGGCTTTTTTGGAGATTCTTTAATATGGTAGTAGGGGTGAGATGGGGTTAGGGGAGGAAAGGCTGAAAGCATGAATAATCTTATATTATTTAACCAGAGGCCAGCAAGAGGGAATTCAGTCTTGAATTTGTGAGAGACCATTCAGGCTTGTGGGAATAGGTGCTGCAGAGCTGACGCCAAGGTGCCCTGGATGGGATGGACAGTGGTGGAGACCTAGGGTCCAGGAGGAGGAGACACGGGAGCATTCCACACCTTTGACCCAGGGGTCGGGGGCAGAGTGGCATGTGCTGTGGACAGAAAGAGATGCACAATGCAAGTGCATGTGGTGGTTGGGAAGAGTGATCTGGGGAGGAGGAGCATTGTGATTCAGGTGAGGGAACACCACCCAAGGAATGTCCATCTGGCATTTGTAAACTGAGGTGAACCTGGCATTTGGGAGAGAGGTGGTTGGGTAGAGAATTGGGACTTAGCTACAGAGGGATTATAACGGAGACTGGGGGAACAGAATGAGGAGTTCAAAGGGTAGCATGTAGAGGGAAATGCATCTTGGGGCGTCCCACAGTTAGAGTGGGGCTTGAATAAGTGGACCCCTCAAGACAGCCAGAGAATGGGGATGAGAGAAGCAATTGTTAGCTTAGCTCTGCAGAGAGCATGTGTCAGTGAGCTGTGAAGGGGTGGCAGAGCATCAGAACCAGCGAATAAGCCAAGGCCGGAAGATTTTGCAAAAAATTGTTTGGGATTCTCTGATTGCTTTGTTTAGGTCCCATGAAATAGTCTAGAAAATGTCCTCCAATTAAGCTTGAACTTGGAACATTGACTTAGAAATAACACTTGTCTCTCCACTCTTAGATCAGAGGGCTGGTGTGATTGAAAAGTGGGCACTCATTGGCCTCAGAGACGTTTTGTCATGGTTAAGACAGGACTCAATGGAAACAGAAAGTTGAACACGTGAAACTTTAGTTTTTTGTAGGTCAAAAACGATTGAAAAAGGCAACATCGTTTGATCATATCTAATTGTGTTAAGAAGCATTCTTCAAATGAGCAGCTTCCCAGCACGTGTTGGGAGTTACCAGGTGTTTCCTCCAAGCCTTCAGGGTGTGAATGTGTGGTTAGGCTGGTGGTAGGCTAATGGCTCTGGTCAGCATGTTGCTGGTTATCTAGCTGCCTGTCATTTTGATTACAGTAATTATGTCCTTTACAGTGTATATTATTAATTGCTGTTTGTGTCGAGTTCCCTGGGAAGTGGACTCTGAGTTGATTTGTCTTTAGGAAGTTTACTGAGGAATGCTTTTGGGATTAGCACCTGTGGAGTGAGTGAACAGAATAGGATTGGACAGAAAGACAATGGGGCTATTACACCCTAACCCTGTTGGGCTGCCACATCCATGAACCTGGTACACCTCCCCATGATTCAGGTCCTCTTAAATGTCTTTCATCAGTACTTTGTACTACTCAGTGCATGTATTTTGCCAAACTTATTTCTAATATTGGTTAAATTTAATATTTACCCCAATATTAAACATTAATATTTAATGTTTTAATTTTTTTACATATATAATCATTTTGTCTATGAATATAGTTTTATTTCTTCTTTCCTAATCCTTCTACCTTTTCTTTTTCCTGCCTTATTGCACTGGCTAGGACCTCCGGTAATGTGTCATGTTAGAGTAGTGAGGGGAAAGCAGTCAGTCTTTCGCTGTTTGTTATGATACACAGTCATCCCTCAGTGTCCATGGGGAATGGTTTTAGGACACCCTGTGGATACCAAAATTCAAGGATGATCAGGTCCCTGATTAAAAAATGCTGTAGTGGCCAGGCGCAGTAGCTCACACCTATAATCCCAGCACTTTGGGAGGCCGAGGCGAGCAGATCACCTGAGGTCAGGAGCTAGAGACCAGCCTGACCAACATGGAGAAATCCCATCTCTACTAAAAAATACAAAATTAGCTGGGCATGGTGGCACATGCCTGTAATCCCAGCTACTTGGGAGGCTGAGGCAGGAGAATTGCTTGAACCCAGGAGGTGGAGGTTGTGGTGAGCCAAGATCGCACCATTGCACTGCAGCCAGGGCAACAAGAGCAAAGCTCTGTCTCAAAAAAAAAAAAAAATTAGCCGGGTGTGGTGGTGGACACCTGTAATTCCAGCTACTTGGGAGGCTGAGGCAGGAGAATCACCTGAACCTGGGAGGCGGAGGTTACAGTGAGCCAAGATCGCGCCATTTCACTCCAGCCTGGGCAAAAAGAGCAAAACCTTGTCTCGAAAGAAAGAAGAAAGAAAGAAATGCTGTAGGATTGATATATAACCTATATATATCATCCTGTGTACTTTAAATCATCCCTAGATTAATTTTAATATCCAGTGCAGTGTTAATGCTATGTAAATAGCTGTTATGCCATATTAAAAAATTTGTATTATCTTTTATTGTTATATTGTTGTTTTTTTATTTTTATTTTAAAAATATTTTCAATCCCCAGTTGGTTCAACCCATGGATGTGGAGGGCTGACTGTAGCTATAGGTTTTAGACATGCACCTTTTATCAAGTTGAGGAAGTTTCTGTCTATTTTCAATTTGCTTTGAGTTTTTATTTAGAATAAATGGTGGATTTTGTGAACTGCTTCTTTTGCCTGTTTTGCGAAGCTTATATGTTTTTCTATTTTAGTCTGTTAATATGGTGAATTACACTGATTGATTTTTTAAATGTTAAACTAATCTTGCAATCCTGAGATAAACTCCACTTGGATATGATTGTGTTATCCTTTATTGCTGGATTCAATTTGCTAAAGTTTTTAAATTTTAAGGATGTTTGTATCTGTGGTCATAGGGATATTGGTCTGTAGTTTTCTTTGTAATGCCTTTGTCTGGTTTTGAGATCAGCATATAGTTTGTACTATTGGCTTTATAAATGAGTTGAGAAATGCATCTTCCAGACAGGGTCTCACTCTGTTGCCCAGCCTGGAGTGCAGTAGCATGATCAGAGTTGGCTGCAGCCTCAACCTTTTGGGCTCAAGCTATCCTCCTGCCTCAGCCTCCTGAGTTGCTGGGACCACAGGCACATACCACCATGCCCAGCTAATTTTTTCTTTCTTTCCTCTTTTCTGTTTTCTTTTTCTTTTTCATTTCCTTTTTTGTCTTTTATTAATATTGTTTTATTTTGTTATTTTATTTTATTTATTTTTTTCAGAGACTGGTCTTGAACTTTTGGGTTCAAACAATCTACCCACCTTGGCCTGCAAAAGTGCTGGAATTACAGGCATGAGCCACCATGCTAGGCCAAAATTATTTTTCTTAAATGTTTAATTTTAATTATTGTTCTTAAATGTTCACCAGTGCAGTCACCTTGGCCTGGGGTTTTCTTTGTGGGAAGGTCTTAACCTACAAATTCAATTTATTAAATAGATACATTGGCTATCAAGTTATCTATTTCTTCGTGAGTGATTTTTGGTAGTTTGTGTTGTTCAAGGAATTTATCCATTTCGTCTAATTAACTCATTTTATAAATGTTGGTTAAAGTGGTTTGATAGAGATCCAGTCTTATATACGCTTAGACTCACTTTTTTTTTTTTTTTTTTTTTTTTTGAGATGGAGTCTTGCTCTGTCATCCAGGCTGGAGTGCAGTGGCACCATCTCAGCTCACTGCAACCTCTGCCTCCTGGGTTCAAGTGATTCTCCTATCTCAGCCTCCCAAGTAGCTGGGATTACAGGTGTGTGCCACCACGCCTGACTAATTTTTTGTATTTTTAGTAGAGACAGGGTTTTGCCATGTTGGCCAGGCTGGTCTTAAATTCCTGACCTCAAGTGGGTGATCCGCCCACCACAGCCTCCCAGAGTGCTAGGATTACAGATGTGAATCACCGTGCCTGGCCCCTTAGACTAACTTTTGAATTTGTCCCTTACTTGTTGAAGTTCCATACTTTTTTTTTCCATGTGTTTTGAAGCTGTGTTATTAAACTAGGCATACGCATTTAGGATTGTTACATAATCTTGATGAATTGACCCTCTTAATCACATACATTTTAAAATGAGAAAACATTTGTTTTTTATTTTTTTAAATTTTGTAGAGATGGGGTCTCGCTATGTTGAGCAGGGTGGTTTTGAACTCCTGGGCTCAAGCGATTCTCCTACCTCAGTCTCTCAAAGTATTGGGATTACAGGCATGAGCCACTACACCTGGCCTTTTTTTTTTTTTTTTCCTTATTTGCTATGTCTAGTGCTCTTTATTACATTTTACATATTCAAGTTTTTATCCAGTATTATCTTTTTGCCTGAATAAGTTCATTTAATATTTCTTTTAGTATGTATCTGTTGGCAACTAATTCTCTTATGTTTGTCAGGAAGAAAAGAATCTTTGTTTTTGGTTTTATTCTTTAAGAATAGTTTAACTGGGCATGGGATTCTAGATTGATCGTTTTGTTTGATTTAGCATGTTAGATATGCTGTTCCCTTTCTTCTTTTGTGCATTGCTTTTGATGAGGTTTTCTCTTTCTGGTTTGTAGCAATTGGATAAGACTGAACTTTGGTCTGGTGTTTTCCTGCTTGGCATTCATCAAGTTTGTCACATCCATAGTGTTACGGGGTCTTTGGGGTGTCGCTTCTCTGGCCAGAAACCTCGGTGGCTAGTGGCGCCTTTGCCCAAGTTCTTGTCCTGCATCCAGGAAGAATGAGGTATGCAGACAAGTGGAGGGTGAGCAAGATGAAGAGAAGCCTTACTGAGTGTTAGAACAGCTCAGAGGAGACCTGCAGTGGGTGACTCCTCTCTGTAGGCAGGTCGTCCTGTCGTCTCTGCAGTTTTCAGCAGAGAGGAGGCCTGGAGTGGGTGGCTCCTCTCTGCTGGCAGGTCATCCTGATAAGCATTCAGCTCTCAGCAGAGAGGAGGCCCTGGAGTGGGTAGCTCCTCTCTGCAGCTGGCCATCCCAACATCTGCCCAGCTCCTAGCAGAGAAGAAGCCCTGGATTGGGCTGCTCCTCTTTGTAGCCAGTAGTCCTGGTGTCTCTGCAGGTCTCTGAAGCTTTCAGTAGAGAGGGTAGCTCCTCTCTTCAGCTGGTTGTCCTGTTTTCTGCTCAGCTCTGGCTGATCCCGGGGCTTTTATGGGCCTCAGAGGGGAGGAATTGCATGCTGATGGGTGGCCATGGGTGGGTCTGGAAAAGGCACCACAACTTCCCACTCCAGTCCATGGGACTGGCAGCCCAGCCCCCAGCCTTCAGGCCATCTCTTGCCTGAGGTGGGGCCTCACCGGGGACCTGCCCCCTTCCACTCAGGAATCTGTCTGCTTCCTGCTGCTGTTCATGGCACCTGGGCTCAGACCCAACTTTGCTCCAAGACTGGAGTGGGAGCTGACAGCAGGGAGAAGCCAGGCAGTGGGACTGAGCACTTCTGAGTCTGCAAGGGTGAGGGGCCTTCCTGGGCCCCCAAGAGTGCAGGGATGTTTGGGTGGCTGCAGCTGTGCCCATTGGGGTGGGGCTCCTGCCTGCTCCGTGGAGCAGGAGGCTGGGTCTGCAGCCATGGTTTGGGCGGTTGCAGCAGCACCTGGGAGGACAGGGCTCCTGCCTGCTCCCAGCCACCCAAGAACACAGGGAGGCTCAGATCTGCAGCCACAACTTGGGTGGCTGCAGCACCACCCAGGAGGGCTGGGCTTCCTCCTGCTCCATGGAGCAAGGGCCCTGGGTCTGCAGCAGCAGCTTGGGCAGCTACAGCAGCATGAGGGGGAGCTTCTGCCCCAACTCAGAAGGGGCGGGGCTCCTGCTTGTCCCCGGCTCCTGCCAGCTCCATGGAGTGTGCAGCCCTGGCCACGCCTCCCTGCTGCAGCCAGCGTGATGGCAGCAGCAGGCCGTCTTGACTGGCCGCTGCCAGCAACAGTTTTCATCAAATTTGGAAAAAGTTTTTTTGACAGGGTCTTGTTCTGTCATCCAGGCTGGAATGCAGTAGTGTGATCACAGATCACTGCAGCCTCCACCTCCCAGGGTCAATTGATCCTCCCACCTCAGCTCCCGAGTAACTGGGACTCCAAGCACCTGCCACCATGCCCAGGTAATTTTTGTATGTTTTGCAGAGATGGGGTTTCGCCATGTTGCCCAGGCTGGTCCCACACTCCTGGGCTCAAGCAGTCCACTTGCCTCAGCCTCCAAAAGTGCTGAGATTACAAGTGTGAGCCACTGTGCCTGGCCTCACATTTGGAAAAATTTTGACCATTATTTTTTCAACTACTTTTACTGTCTTCTCCCTTTATTTTGGGTAAAGGGTTCCAGTTATATATATGTTGGGGTGCTTCATGTTGTCCTGTAGGTCAGTGTTCATCTTCCACTGGGCTTTAGTTTGGATAATTCCATTTGCCACCTTCGGGTTCACTACTGTCTCCTCCTTTCAGTGCTCGTGTCCGGCAGTCCAGACAGCCGTGCTCACGTGCAGACGGCGCGGCTCTGTCCGCGTGGTCTGGAAAGTGCCTGCACAGAGCCGGGCTGGGAGCGGGTTTCACCTTGTTTGTTTCCCTTTTCGGCGCCAGTTCTTTCACATTCTAGTTATTACAATTTCTAGTTATTCCAACAGGAGGACAAGTCCAGTCCCTGTCATGACCCGATAGTTATTACAATTTCTAGTTATTCCAACAGGAGGACAAGTCCAGTCCCTGTCATGACCTGATAGTTATTACAATTTCTAGTTATTCCAACAGGAGGACAAGTCCAGTCCCTGTCATGACCCGAGCTGTGGCTCCCTCTCCACCATAAGGAAGGTCCTTCGATTTTTCTAGATCAGTTTTCTGCATGGGAGTCTTAACTGCAGGTTTGATGAGACCGAGAGGGTGAGGCATGGGTGTTTCAGAGTCTCTGATGGCCAGTGTTTGTGGGGGTTCTCCGTGCAAGCAGGTTCCTGACGGGAAGGTGGAGGAGCTTGTGCTTCCATTGAAGGGGCCTCTTTTTTCCATCATTTCAGCAGCTCCCAGGCAGGTAGACGCCAGGCATGGTGTTGTGCGTGTTTATAACTTGATGGACTGTTCCTTTTACTGTTTGTAGTTTCTGTGATTTCCTATTAGTGTGTTTTGCCTGAGTTTCTATTTCATATTTCAATAATTTTCTTTTATTTATTTTTCTGAGACAGAATTTCACTCTTGTTGCCCAGGCTGTAGTACAGTGGCACGATCTTGGCTCACTGCAACCTCCACTTCCCGGGTTCAAGCGATTGTGGATTCCTGCCTCAGTCTCCTGAGTAGCTGGGATTACAGGCACATGCCACCACGCCCAGCTATTTTGTATTTTTAGTCAAGACTGGGTTTCACCATGTTGATCAGGCTGGCGTCAAACTCCTGACCTCAGGTGATCTGCCCGCCTCAGCCTCCCAAAGTGCTGGGATTACAAGCGTGAGCCACTGCGCCCGGCCTCATATTTCAATAATTTTCAACCTTGGCTGCACATTAAAATCACGTTGAGAACCTGATAAATTGGACTTTTCCTTGGCTACTTTTTTTTTTAACTTTTATTTTAGATTCGGGGGGGTACATGTGAAGGTTTGTTACATAGGTGAACTCATGTCACGGGGGTTTGTTGTACAGATTATTTCATCACCCAAGTATTAAGCCCAGTACCCAGTAGTTATCCTTTATGCTCCTCTCCCTCCCTCCTCCCCACCCTCCACCCTCAGGTAGACCCTAGTGTCCGCTGGTTTCCTTTGTGTTCATGAGTTCTCATCATTTATCTCCCACTTACAAGTGAGAACATGTGGTATTTGGTTTTTTGTTCCTGTGTTAGTTTGCTAAGGAGAATAGCCTCCAGCTCCATCCATGTTCCTGCAAAGGACATGGTCTTATTCTTTTTTATGGCTGCATAGTATTCTATGGTGTTTATGTACCACATTTTAAAAATCCAATCTATCATTGATGGACGTGTAGATTGATTCCATATCTTTGCTATTGTGAATAGTGCTGCAGTGAACATTCATGTGCATGTATCTTTATGGTAGAATGATTTATATTTCTCTGGGTGTATACCCAATAATGGAATTGCTGGGCAAATGATAGTTCTGCTTTTAGCTTTTTGAGGAATACTGCTTTCCACAATGGTTGAACTGATTTACATTCCCACCAACAGTGTTAAGTGTTCACTTTTCTCCACAACCTCACTAGCATCTGTTATTTTTTTACTTTTTTATTTTTATTATTTATTTATTTATTTATTTTTGAGACGGGGTCTTGCACTGTCGCCCAGGCTGGAGTGCTAGATCTTTGTCAGATGCATAGCTTGCAAATATTTTCTCCCATTCTATAGGTTGCCTGTTTACTCTGTTGATAGTTTCATTTGCTGTGCAGAAGCTCATTTATTGATCTCATTTATCAACTTTTGCTTTTGTTGCCATTGCTTTTTGTATCTGTGTTATGAAATCTTTTCCTATTCCTGTGTCTAGGATGGTATTGCCTAGGTTGTCTTCCAGGGTTTTTATAGTTTTGGGTTTTACATTTAAGTCTTTAATCCATCTTGAGTTGATTTTTGTATATGGTGTAAGGGTTTGCCATTCGTTCCGTTGGTGCCTGTTTTTGTACCAGTACCATTCTGTTTTGGATACTGTAGCACTGTAGTATAATTTGAAGTCAGGTAACATGATGCCTCCAGCTTCTTTTTGCTTAGGATTGCCTTATCTATTTGGACTCTTTTGTGGTCCCATATGAATGTATGTATTTATTTTTAATTTTTTTTTGAGACAGAGTCTCTCTATCATCCAGGCTGGAGTGCAGTGATGTGATCTCAGATCACTGCAACCTCCTCCTCCTAGGTTCAAGTGATTCTCCTGCCTCACTCAGCCTCCCAAGTAGCTGAGATTACAGGTGTGTGCTACCATGCCCAGCTAATTTTTGAGTTTTTGGTAGAGATGGGGTTTCACCATGTTGGCCAGGCTAGTCACAAACTCCCGACCTCAGGTGATTCACTCACCTCAGCCTCCCAACATGCTAGGATTACAGGCGTGAGCCACTGTGCCCGGCTGCATATGAATTTAAAAATTATTTTTCTAGTTTTGTGAAGAATGTCGTTGGTAGTTTGTTAGGAATAGCATTGAATTTGTAAATTTCTTTGTACATTATGGCCATTTTAATGATACCGATTCTTCCTATCCATGAGTATGGGATGTTTTTCTGTTTGTTTGTGTTTTCTCTGATTTCTTTGAGCAGTGTTTTGTAATTCTCATTTTAGAGATCTTTTACCTCCCTGGTTAGCTGTATTCCTAGGTATTTTATTCTTTTTGTGGCATTTGTGAATGGGATTGCCTTCCTGATTTGACTCTCGACTTGGCTGTTGTTGGTGTATAGGAATGCTAGTGATTTTTTGGACATTGATTTTTGTATCCTGAAACTTTGATGAAGTTATCAGCTTCATTTGATGAAAGAGCTTTTGGGCTGAGACGATGGGGTTTTCTAGATATACAATCATGTCATCTGCAAACAGGGATAGTTTGACCTCCTCTCTCCCTATTTGGATGCCCTTTATTTCCTTATCTTGCCCGATTGCTCTGGCTAGGACTTCCAATATTATGTTTAATAGGAGTGGTGAGAGAGGGCATCCTTGTGCTGGTTTTCAAGGGGAATGCTTCCAGCTTTTACCATTCAGTATGATGTAGCTGTGGGTTTGTCACAGATGGCCCTTATTATTTTGAGGTATGTTCCTTCAATACTTGGTTTATTGAGAGTTTTTAACATGAGCAGTTGTGGATTTTATTGAAGCCCTTTTCTGCATCTATTGAGATAATCATGTGGTTTTTGTCTTTAGTCCTATTTATTTGATGAATCACATTTATTGATTTGCATATGTTGAACCAACCTTATATCCCGGGGATGAAGTCTGCTTGATTGTGGTGGATTAGTTTTCTGATGTGCTGCTGGATTCAGTTTGCAAGTATTTTTTTGAGGATTTTTGCATCAATGTGCATCAAGGATGTTGGCCTGAATATATATATTTTTTGTTGTTGTGCCTCTGCCAGGTTTTGGTATCAGGATGATGCTGGCATCATTGAATGAGTTGAGAAGGAATCCCTCCTCCTCAATTTTTTGGAATAGTTTCAGTAGGAATGGTATCAGCTCTTCTTTGTACATCGGGTAGAATTTGGCTGTGAATCCATCAGGTCCTAGGCTTTTTTTGGATGGTAAGCTATTTATTACTGATTCCATCTCGGAGCTTGTTAATTGTCTGTTTAGGGAATCAGTTTCTTCCTGGTTCAGTCTTGGGAGGGTGTATGTGTCCAGGAATTTTTTTTTTCTTTTTTTTTCCAAGACAGAGTCTTGCTCTATTGCCCAGGCTGCAGTGCAGTGCCACAATCTCAGCTCACTGCAACCTCCACCTCCTGGGTTCAAGAAATTCTCCTGTCTTAGCCTTCCAAGTAGCTGGGATTACAGGCGTGCACCACCATGCCCGGCTGGTTTTTGTATTTTTAGTAGAAACAGGGTTTCACCATGTTGGCCAGGCTGGTCTCGAACTCCTGACCTTGTGATCCGCCTACCTTGGCTTTCCAAAGTGCTGGGATTACAGGCATGTCCAAGAATTTATCCGTCTCTTCTAGGCTTTCTAGTTTGTGTGCATAGAGGTGTTCATAGTAGTTTCTGATGGTTATTTTTATTTCTGTGGGGTCAGTGATAACATTCCCTTCATCATTGCTTTTTATTTATTTTTTATTTTTTGAGTTGGTCTCATTTTGTCACCCAAGTTGGAGTGCAGTGGTGCAATCTCAGCTCACTGCAACTTCAGCCTCCCGAGTAGCTAGAATTACAGGCGTGTGCCACCACACCCAGCTAATTTTTGTATTTTTAGTGGAGACGGGGTTTTACCACATTGACCAAGCTGTTCTTGAACTCCTGACCTAAAGTGATCCATCTGCCTTGGCCTCCCAAAGTGCTGGGATTACAGATGTGAGCCACAGCGCCTGGCCACGTTTGTCATTTCTATTATTTATTATTATTATTTTTTGAGACGGAGTCTCGCTCTGTCACCCAGGCTGGAGTGCAGTGGCGCGATCTCAGCTCACTGCAAGTTCTGCCTCCTGGGTTCACGCCATTCTCCTGCCTCAGCCTCCCAAGTAGCTGGGACTACAGGCGCCCGCCACCACACCTGGCTAATTGGTTTTTTTTTTGTATTTTTAGTAGAGATGGGGTTTCACTGTGTTAGCCAGGATGGTCTTGATCCCCTGACCGGTGATCTGCCCACCTCAGCCTCCCAAAGTGCTGGGATTATAGGCGTGAGCCACCGCACCTGGCCTGTCATTTCTAATTGTGTTTATTTGGATCTTCTCTCTTTTCTTCTTTATTAGTCTAGCTAGTGGCCTATCTATCTTATTAATTTTTCCAAGAAGCCAACTCCTGCTCATTGATCTTTTGAATGGATTTTTGTGTCTCGATTTCCTTCAGGTCAGTTTTGATTTTGGTTATTTTTTTGTCTTTTTTTAGCTTTGGGATTGATTTGCTCTTGCCCTCTGATTCTTTCGGTTGTGATGTTAGGTTGTTAATTTGAGGTCTGTCTAACTTTCTGATGTGGGCATTTAGTGCTATGAATTTCCCTCTTAACACTGCTTTAGCTGTGTCCCAGAGATTCTGGTATGCTGCATCATTGTTCTCATTAGTTTCAAGGAACTTCTTGATTTCTGCCGTAATTTCATTATTTGCCCCAAAGTCATTCAGCTCAGCTAGCTTTAAAAAATGAGTTTTTAAAAGTTCCTCAAGAGATTCATTGGGAAGCTAGGGTTGAGCTGGCTCTGCATTTGCCTCGTCTCTACAGTGGCACTGGCTGAGCAGCCCTCCTTGGCAGTTGTTGTTCTTGTTGAGTGGAACTTGCTCTACCTTTCGGAATAAAAAGCTTTTAAACAGCCAGAAATTGAGTTTCCAATATCTGATATCGCCCTTGCTCAGTATGGTTTCCTCCTAGGCTGTTTTCTTTCTGGAACGAGCCCTTCAGTAGTTCTGTAGTGAGGGTCTGTGAGTGCTGCAATTGGATACAACTTCAGCTCTTGTTTCCTTGTGGGAGATTGCTCCAGTTACTTTTGCTGGATAACAAATTACCCCAAAATGTAGGGGCCTAAAATAGTTGTATATGATCCTCTCTCCTGGTTTCTGTGGAACAGAAATTCAGGAGCAGCTTGGCATGGGGTCTCCTGAGACTACAGTCAAGACAGGAGCTATGGATGAGCCATCTTACTGGCATGTCTGGGGCTTCTGCTGGGGAAATCAGAGCAGCTGGGGCCCTGGAGGAGCAGCTGGGGCCGTGGAGCAGCTGGTGCCATCTTGTGGATGTTATAGCATGGTGTCCTCAGGGTAGGGCAGCTCAGGGCTCTGAAGGCTCTATCCCCTTTTCCAGCCCAACCTCTGAGGTCACAGGTCCCCCATTGTGTGTGCCAGGAGTGAGTTTTTAGGGCCACCTATGCTAGAGGAAGGAGAATTAGACTCTCCACCATTTTGTAGAAATTGTACCAGGAATTTATACATGTTTTCAGCCCTCCAGTCTTTTGTCTCTGGTAGCTTTTAGTCCTTCAGGGCAATGAGTCTGGATATGGACTTATTTTATGTACAGTACTTGGCACATGGGTGCACTTTTGCTTGGAAACACTGTTCTCCATTGTTCCCTCTGGTTCCCTCTCTTGGGGTCCCCGTGGACGCATGCATGGCTTCCAGCTGCCCTCCCCTGGCACGGCGTCTTGCTTTCTCTGCATTCTGCATTGGTCTCCAGGACTGTCCCCCAGCTCCCGAGCATTTCTTGTCTTGGATTGGTCATTCCTTCCCTCACCCACCAAAGGTCCTGACCTGATCTGGTGTAAAGTCGTTTTCATTGCTGTTTTGTTTTCATTTCCTCAGGAAGAATGAGAGTCTCTGTTCAGGCGTGGCTGACAGCAGTGCACAGGGCAGTGTGGGCAGCAGGGTGGGCGGCTGCAGGCTGCCGATAGCCTTTCCTTGTGGGAATGTTCTGGGGCCATGGACATTGTGAGCACAGGACTCAAGCCCATGGTGCCTGTGGGGAAGTCTCAGGGACTCTGCACAGTGAGGGTGAGAACAGGGATGCCACCTTGACACAGCAGTCTGCGGGTTTCATGTGAGGATGGGCTGTTCGTCCCTTCCCTGCTCTTACTGGGGCCACATGCTCGAGCTTTAAGAAGGGTCAGAGCAGGCCGGGCGCAGTGGCTCACGGCTGTAATCCCAGCAGTTTGGGAGGCTGAGGCACGCGGATCATGAGGTCAAGAGATCAAGACCATCCTGGCTAACATGGTGAAACCCCGTCTCTACGAAAAATACAAAAATTAGCCGGGCATGGTGGCGGGTGGCTGTAGTCCCAGCTACTCGGGAGGCTGAGGCAGGAGAATGGTGTGAACCCAGGAGGCGGAGCTTGCAGTGAGCCGAGATGGTGTCGTTGTACTCCAGCCTGGCTATAAAGCGAGACTCTGTCTCAAAAAAAAAAAAAAAAAAAAAATGGTCAGAGCAGAGCAGATGCCTCCAGCTGTGCCCCATCAGGGAGAGAGACAGAAGGAAACACCACCCCAACCACAGGGCACTGGGGCCCTCTGGGCGTGTCTGGTCCCGGACCCTCGTCTGCAGCAAGTGTGGTGGAGAAAAACCCAAGGCCTTGTTTCCTCACGTGCAGTGCCAGGGCCATGGCCCGCTTGGACTCTGGGCCCAGCGAGGGTCTCACCAGGACCAGGCTGTCTCCTGCAGGTTCCCATGCCCTTGGCTCAGAGAGGCGTTGTTTTCTGAGAATCAAGGCTTTCAGGTAGGTTTCTGAGAAGGAACTTCACTTTTAATGAAGGTAGCCCAGGCGCAGAGCTCTAACATTGTGCGGTGGTGCAGAAAGGACGAGGCTTCCATGCCCGCCAGCCTGTGCCCACCCCAGTTGTTCTCAGAGGCAGCCGATTCGCCTCCTGTCTTTTGGTGTCCCTGCTATTCCTCATTTCTTTCTATTTTCTCCACACTTTTTTTGGTGATTTTTTAAAATTTAGTTTTTTGGCTATCGATACTTTCACAGGATTAAAAACAAACAGAAGCCAAGAAGGCATGTGCTACGAAGTTTCACTCCCTCCCCTCCCGCTCTCTGTTCCTGCCAACTCCCAGTACCACTTTTATTGCCGATGAAACAACACAGGCGCCCTTGTTCTCACTCCTGTTTGGGGCCCCCTGTTGGCCTGGTCCATACGTGCTCTTCCCTGTTGAACACGTTTGCGGTTGTTGCCCTGTCTGCACAGAGAGAACATCCACATCCCCTCCGGTGGCCTGTGCCCTTCCTCCAGCAGGCTCCAAGCTTGCGATGTGTCCGTCCTTGCTGGCGGACATTTGGTGCCACCGGTGGGGAGGGGTGACCAGTGCAGCTCCGGGGGACGCCCAGCAGGTGGTTGCTGGTCAGGTGGTGGTGTGTTCAATGTGGTTACCTTCTCTAGCTATCCTGCCTCGGCCACAGAGCCAGCTGGGCCATCTGGGTGTTACCCTGTTGTTACACAGTGACATCCTAAAGATGGTGTTGCTGCCGCATACCTTGCACCAGCACCCAGGCAAGGCCAGCTCCATCCGGGAGCATCTGCAGGTGTCTCTGTCCTCCCTGCTGCCCCCAGCTCCCCCTGCAGCCCTGGCCTCGCTCAGGCAGCCCCTTTGGTTATGACTTTCCTTAGTGTTGGGATTCCACACAAAATAAACCTCTGCCATCCAAGGTGTATCGCTCTGCTTCCTGAGAGCACGTCTGGGTTTGGGGATGGTTTTTTCTAGAGGATAAGAATCCCTCATGTTTGCACTTTACATGTCATGTCTTTCATTCCTAACACGTCTGGGATGATGACATTCATGGGACTCTGTGCCGGGAGAGACCAGAGTGAGGCAGGGAGGCCCTGCCCTCATGGAGCCCTTCAGTGACTCTGCCAGGAGAGACCAGAGTGAGGCGGGGAGGCTCTGCCCTGACGGAGACCATCAGTGACTCTGCCGGGAGAGACCAGAGTGAGGCGGGGAGGCTCTGCCCTGACGGAGTCCATCAGTGACTCTGCCGGGAGAGACCACAGTGAGGCAGGGAGGCCCTGCCCTCATGGAGCCCATCATTGAGAGCGTGGTGTCCCAGGGCTGGTTCCCAGCTGGGCATCTGACCTCATGGCCAACCTCTCCTTGACACCTGGACTTCTCGTGCCTTCAGTTCATGTAGTGTCCCAGAGCTTCCAGCCTGAGTTTCACGGCTGTGACTTCATCCAGCTTCTTCTCCACATGGTTGCACTGGCATCTGCAGCTCTGAGTATGAGAGGGATGGGGTTTTGGAGCTGTGCAGAGCCAGGCTTAGGACCCACTTCTTGTTAGAGAGTTGCAGTTTAACTGTGGACCTGCCCAGTGTTTTCTTCGCTTCCTCCTGGATAACACGGGGACTGCGGTTGACATGTGCTCTCTGCCGTGGCCCAGCGCCTGTCACCTGCCACCCAGGGACAAGCCTGCGAGGACTGACTTCTGTCCTGAATGGGCGCACTGGGCAGGGTGTGGCAGCACGGAGCAGAGGACCTGCTAGGGGCAGAGTCTGATGAGATGAAATTGAGTTCTGAGGAGGCAGCACAGCTCCTGAGGAAGGGGCTCAGGTGTAGGGTGAAGGTACAGGGCTTGGGTTTGGTGCCTGCAATGACTCAGAGTGCAGGTGCAGCCAAGAGCTGTGCAGACACCTGGTGCTGAAAGGCCAGGTGCGAAGTCACGGACAGGGACGTGGTTTGGCCTGGGTTGATGATGAAGTCCTGCAGACTGCACTGCTCCCAAGGGCCTGTAGTGAGAGAAGGCCTCGGATGCCGCTTCAAGTGACTCAGAGCTCAGAAATGCATGGTGGAAGCCGGAAGGGGTGCCGCCACGAGCCGGCGTGCATTTGGCAGTGTTTCAATTATGGAGGTATAATTTATATATAAAAAATTCACTCATTTCAAGTATATAATCCCATGGTTTTTAGTAAATTTGTAGAGTCGTGCAGCCATCACCTCCTGTTGAGCATTTCCATCACCTAGAAGATGCTGCTGCTTTGTGCCCAGCCCCGCCTCATAGCCGCCTCCATCTCTGCCGATCTGCCGCTCCTGGTCACTTCATGGACATGGAATCCTACAATATGTCATCTTTTGTGTCTGACTTTGTTGCCTGCTTTCTTTTGTTTTTTAAAACACTTTCTCCAGGGTTTCTGGAGGGCTCTTTTAGCCTTAGAGCCAATCCCTCTCTATGGCTGAAGCATCGCATTGAGTGGGTCCACCGTCTTTTCTCCCCCATCGTCTGGTGGTGAACGTGGGGCTGTGCTGTGTTTGGCTCCTGTGAATGGTGCTGCCGGGAATGTGCGTGTCCGGGTCTCACTGTGCATTTGTGACTTCATGTCTCCCGACTAGATTCCTGGGAGTGGAATTGCTGGGTCACGTGGTAGATTTTTGCCAAACTGTTTTCCAAAGTGAGTTCTTACTTGCAGTGTACGAGGGCTCTTGTTTCTCCACATTCTTGCCAACACTTTTGTGTGACTTATTTTTTTTCTCCCTTTTAAAACATTGCCTTTCTTTTTTTCCCTAGCCATCCTATTGGGTGAAAAACAATAGCAAAATAGACTTTCTATCAAAATTCATAACCTTTGTGCTTCAAAATACACCATTAAGAAGATGAAAAGACAAGCTAGGCATGGTGGTTACGCATGTAATCCCAGTACTTTGTTTTTCTTCTATCACACGTCCTTTGGTTGTTGAGTCTAAGAAGTCTTGGTCCTTTAGTAACATTGAGTACAATCCTCTGGATTCAGTTTAGTGTCTTGGAAGTCACTGGAGATTTCAGTCGAGTGGAGGCATAGACCAGAGTATCAGAGTTGAGGTCCCAGGGGAAGGTGAGGAGATGGAGGCCACTTCGTCAAAGGAACTGTGGGGACATGCGGGGTGAGAACCAAAGTGGTGGCTGGAGGGGCAGAGAGCTGGGCACCAGTCTCTCTGTGTGATTATTTTTTTCTTTTGTTTTTCTTTTTGAGATTGGGTCTGGCTCTGTCGCCTAGGCTGAAGTACAGTGGCATGATCACAGCTCACTGCAACCTCTGCCTCCCGGGCTCAAGCAGTCCTCCCACTCGGCCTCCCAAGTAGCTGAGAATGCAGGTGTGCACCACCATGCCTGGCAATTTTTTTGTAGAGACAGGGTTTTGCCATGTTGCCCAGGCTGGTCTCAAGCACCTGAGTTCAAGCAGTCCACTCACCTCAGCCTCCCAAAGTGCTACAATTACAAACGTGAGCCACCACACCATCTCTTAATACGGTGGAGATAAGAACATGTTAAATACTGGCAGGAAGGCTGGTGGGGAGGGGGAGGGCTACTCTACAGAAGAGACAAGGGATCATTGACAGCAGAAGCTTCCTGAGGAGGAGGAAGACCTTGGTGTTAATTTTCTATTGTTGTTGTTTTGTTTGCTTGTTTGAAACAGGGTCTTGCTCTGTTGCCCAGACTGGAGTGGAGTGGTGTGATGTCGGCTCACGGCAGCCTCAATCTCCTGTGCTCAAGGGATCCTCCTGCCTCAGCCTCCCAAGTAGCTGAGATCACAGGCATGAGCCATCACACCTGATGTATTAGTCTGTTATCGTGCTGCTAATAAAGACATACCCGAGACTGGGTAATTTATAAAGGAAAGAGGTTTAGTTGACTCACAGTTCAACACAGTTGGGGAGGCCTCACCATCGTGGCAGAAGGCAAAGGGGAAGCAAGAGAGTGTGTACAGGGGAACTGCCCTCTTATAAAACCATCGGATCTCATGACACTTATTCACAGTCATGAGAACAGCTCAGGAAAGACCCGTCCCCATGATTCAGTTACCTCCCACTAGGTCCCTCTCATGACACGTGGTGATTATTGCAATTCAAGGTGAGATTTGGGTGGGGACACAGAGCCAAACTGTATCACCTGGCTAATTTTTTTTTTTTTAATTTTTATCTATTTTTTTTCCCCTAAGACGGAGTCTCACTCTGTCACCCAGGCTGGAGTGTGGTAGCATGATGTCAGCTCACTGCAGCCTCCGCCTCCCAGGCTCAAGCAATTCTCCTGCCTCAGCCTCCTGAGTAGCTGGGACTACAGGCGCCCGCCACCATGCCTGGCTAATATTTTGTATTTTTAGTAGAGTCAGGGTTTCACCATGTTGGCCAGGCTAATCTTGAACTGCTGGTCTCAGGTCATCCACCCACCTCTGCCTCCCAAATTGCTGGGATTAACAGGCCTGAGCCACTGCACCCAGCCCACTTTTTATCTTTGTTTGTTTTGATTTTTAATAGAGACGAGGTCTCATGTTGCTGAGGCTGGTCTTGAACTTGTGCACTCAAGCAATCAGCCCGCCTCAGCATCCCAAAGTGCTGAGATCAGAGGTGTAAGCCACATCTGTGTTAGTATTCTATTGCTGCCATAACAAACCACCACAGATTTAACCTCTTAAAGCAACATACATCTGTTGCTCACAGATCTATGTAGCCTGGGTGTGGTTCTGAGAGTTTTGTCTCTCCAGGTTTGGATTTGCAGGTGGGTATGCCGAGGGGCCAAGGATGAGGTAGTGGGTGGCTGCAGTGGCCCACCCGGAGCTTGTGGCAGGTACCCCTCCTCCTCGTGGCTGCACTGTGATGGGATGTCCCCCTCTCCTTGCATGATGGGTAAATGCACTGGCTTCAGAGGACACTCTTGGGTACCTGTGGGGCCAGCTCAGACTGTGGCAGGAGCTTGGGTGCATCCTGGGTCTGCGTTTCTTCTTCCCGAGCTCCCCTCCTAAATAGAGCCCATGAAGCCACATCCTCGTCTCAGGCTCTGCTTTTGGCGGAGGCCGACAGAGGCTGAGTCTAAGCTGGAAGTTGAGGGGTGTGGGAGGATGGAGTCCTGGGGTGAGTGATGGGCAGAACGCAGGAGAGCTGAGGGGATGCCAGGAGACAGGTCAGGTGGTGCTGCCAGGGCCCTGCCTGAGCTCCTGCCTCGGGAGTTGGCCACCTGGGCGCCACTGCATTCCTCCTCGATGTGAGCATGGTGGGGTCTTGGTGGTCAGCTTCGCTTTACCAGCCCATCATCTGCCTGCGTCTGCATCTCCATGTTGTCTCATTTCTGCTTGACAGATTGTAGCAGCCAGTTATACAACATAAAGAGTTAATTTTCATTCCATAAAGAATTTAATAGCGTCTGCCTCTCCTTTCCCGTCCTCTGGTGCCTTGAGGGCCAGAGACCGGTGCCCCAGGGTCCCAGATGTCATAGACTAGAACCTGAGAACCAGAAGCCGGTGTGGTCTTTCCCCCCGTGATCCTGTGGCAGAACAGGTGGATGGTGGATGAAAGCTTTCAGATGTCACCTCCTGGAACACCTCTGCAAGAACTGGTGCTGGGATGGGCCCAGGCAGATGAGAAATAAAAATATCTAGTTGAGTGTACATTTTATTATTGTAGGAAATAAGAAATAGAGTAATGTCTATATAGATGAAGAGTGGGACCCTCACAATGTTGATTTCTATGTACTAGGGTCTGATGAAATGAAAGCAACTAGAACAGAGCATTTAGCGAGGTTAAAACAGACAACTAACTGTGTGAATCGGAAAACGTGGCTTCGTTTTCAACAATGTTTCGTGGGACGCTTATCTAATACCTAATGGCTATTTATCGGGATTTAGAGAGGTTAAAACAGACAACTGTGTGAATCGAAAACTCGGCTTCGTTTTCAACAATGTTTTATGGGATGCTTATCTAATACCTAATGGGTATTTATCGGGAAAACACTTCTTTACTGCAGTGTTGTGACATTTTTTGTTGTTTCTGCTAAATCTACATTGAAGTGTTGCTTTGTAAGTGTGCTGTATTAGTCTGTTTTCAAGCTGCTGATAAAAACATACCTGAGACTGGGTAATTTATACAGGAAAAAGGGTTTAATGGACTTACACAGTTCCACATGGCTGGGGAGGCCTCACAATCATGGTGCAAGGCAAGGAGGAGCAAGTCACGTCTTACCTGGATGGCAGCAGGCAAAGAGGAGAGCTTGTGCAGGGAGACTCCCATTTTTAAAACCATCAGATCTCGTGAGACTCATTCACTATCACGAAAACAGCATGGGAAAGACCCACCCCTATGATTCAATTATCTCCCACCAGGTCGCTCCCCCAACATGTGGGAATTATGGGAGCTACAAAATGAGATTTGGGTGGGGACACAGAGCCAAACCACATCATGTGCCATGAAAACTGTCCCTGTCAGTCCCCCGTGTGCAACTGAGCCACGCGAGAGTCCAAAAACAGGTGGGTGCTTGTTTGAACGTGTTTGTGTTTAGCCAATCCCTGGTGTCATGGAGCTTCTAAAATAGCATAGATTACTCGATCTGGCTTTTGGCAGAAATGGTTTTCCATATTTTCTGCATGTCGCCTGTAATATATTCTACAGAGAGCAAGGGTAGTTCTTGCATCCGTAACCCATTCCTGAAAACCAGACGTCTTGCATGAAAATGCTGTCTTTTTCATGTTAAATAGGAAAAGCCAGTAAATTATTGTGTCAGTGCAACCAGTTTCCTAAGACAAAGCATCCGTGTAACAAACACCCTTTATACAAGAAACAGGCTATTGTGTGAGGATGTTAATGTTTTAAATGCGGCTTCCTGACACTGGACAGCCGAGGTGAAGCTTTCACTGTTGCTTTTCCCAGGGTGACATTGAGAGGCCTGTTTGTGTCAGCATCATCCACGCAGCACGTGCTCTGCTCACATCCACGTGTGTGATTGTGGCGTCTTCTACTTGTATCTGAAATGCAACTTGAGGATTTTTTTTTTCTCCCCTGCACTTCATTTTGTTAAAATGTTGGTTTTGTTTCTTGATGTAAATACAAAATTTACCGTGGCAACCATTGACAGGAATACGTATTGGAAGAATCATATGGTTTGTGAACTTATAAACTGTCAAAAATAAAAAGATGCTCTACCAAGAAATGTTGACCAGGAAGACATCTGTGCGGTGTGCCTGTAATATGGTTAATGTTAACAGATGATGATTTAAGAAGTTCTTTTTTTATATTTTGAAATAGTTTTTGTGATAGAAATGAAATTTAAATTAATTCAAAAATATTTCTTTTCTTTCTTTCTTTCTTTCTTTCTTTTTTTTTTTTTTTTGAGACAGCATCTCGCTCTGTCACCCAGGCTGGAGTGCAGTGGTGCGATCTCAGCTCACTGCAACCTCCACCTCCCGGGCTCAAGTGATTCTCCTGCCTCAGCCTCCCAAGTAGCGGGGACTCAGGCATGTACCACCATGCCCGGCTAATTTTTGTATTTTTAGTAGAGGTGGAGTTTCACCATGTTGGTCAGACTGGTCTCAAACTCCTGACCTCAAGTGATCTACCTGCCTCGGCCTCCCAAAGTGTCGGGATTACAGGCGTGAGCCACCGCTCCTGGCCCGTGCCGAAGGTAATTTTTAAAAAAAGCATACTGGCTTCCAGGTAAGGGTGGCAGAGTGAAAACAAATGCAGTGTCACTCTTTCCCAAGCCTTTGCTAAGTGAACAGCAAAGTGATGTTTTAAAAAGTCAGACTCACAGGGAATGGGTGAAGTGGGAGAGAAGACAGTAGTGAAGTTCTGGAAGCTGGGAAGCAGATGGGTGAGTGATCATTTACTGAGCAGATCCGAGAAAGCCAGATTCCATGTCGGCAGTGAGGGAAGCTAAGGATTCATCCTGTTTGTGCTACAGAACACTCAAAAGTCTCGAAAATTGAGGTACTAGGGACTTAAAAAGTGAAAAAGAACATGAAGATGAGCAGAAAACAAGAGATCAGCAGGAGTGATCAGGAAGATTTGAAAGAGACCAATCAATAGGTTAAATGTCAGATTATGTACAGTTGAGAGAAACTTTGTGAACTGGAAGACATTTTTTAAGAATGCAGCCAAGAGTTAACAAGACGGGGAAAGTGACAGAGAGGTTGATTGAGACACAGAGGATAGAATGCAAAAGTTTAAGATACATTTGATTTCAGCCCCAGAAGGGGAAAATAGAATGGAGAAGAGGCAGTATTTGAAGAGCCGTTGGCTGAAGGATATTTTGTAACTGATGAAAGATTTGAGTCCCTAGGTAATGGAAACGCAGTATATTTTAAACAGGTTAAATGAAAGAAATCCATGTGGAGACACATCATAGGAAAGCTCCAAAACACCAAAGACCAAGAGAAGATTTTAAAAGCAATCAGAGGTAGGAGAGAAGTCATCCAGGGCAGTGCCAGCAGTACAGACGGCCGGCTGCCTTCTCAGCAGCAGAGAAAGCCAGAAGACTGTGGTGTTCATCTTCAATATTGAGAGAAGGAACCTATTGAGTATCCAACAAAATTATCTTTTAACATCAAAGGTGAAATGACATTTTCAGATAAAACAGAGTTTACTACCAACAGACCATCATTAAAGATGCTTCTAAAAGACAGGATTCAGGAAGAAGGAAAAATGTTTTAAAAGGAAAGAATGAGCTGGGCGTGGTGGGTCATGCCTGTTATCGCAGCACTTTGAGAGGCTGAGGAAGGAGGATTACTTGAGGCCAGGAGTTCAAGACCAGCCTAAGCAACATAGCAAGACCCCTCTCTAAAAAAAAAAAAAAGAAAGAAAAATATCCATGTGTGGGTGGCACACACCTATGGTCCCAGCTACTCAGGAGGGTCACTTGAGCCCAGGAGTTTGAGGTTGCTGTGAGGCATGATGGTGCCACTGCACTCCAGCCTGGGCAACCGAGCAAGACCGTCTAAAAAAAAAAGAGAGAGAGAGAGATGCAAAAAGAAATGGTTAGCAAAACGTAAACACATCTCTAAGTCTATAAACATTGCATGAAATAATTGTTTTTTGTTTGTTTGTTTTTTGAGACAGAGTCTCGCTCTGTTGCCAGGCTGAAGTGCAGTGGCGTGACCTTGGCTCACTGCAACCTCTGCCTCCCGGGTTGAAGCGATTTTCCTGCCTCAACCTCCTGAGTAGCTGGGATTACAGGCACCCGCCACCATGCCCAGCTAATTTTTGTATTTTTAGTAGAGACCGGGTTTCACCATGTTGGCCAGGATAATCTCAATCTCTTGACCTCATGATCCGCTCACCTCAGCCTCCCAAAGTGCTGGGATTACAGGCGTGAGCCACTGCGCCCAGCAATGAAATAATCTTTGTAGGGTTCAAAAGAAAAAAAAGACTAAACAGAAGCATGGGTTGCAAGATAAAGTTGAGAATCTCTCAGAAAATAGAGCAAAAATTTGGAGTTGGAGAATAGGAGAAAAGAATATTCAAGGACCAGTCTAGAGAGTCCAGTACCTGGATAGTAAAAGTTTTAGGAATGAGATGGAAGAAACATCAATGAGAGAAAGTCACTGAACAAAATGTCCCAGAGTCCACCAGACACCCACACACTGTGTGAAAACAGACTGGTACAAAGACACAAAGACACGGCGTCTGGAAATCCTAGACCCTGAGAACAGATTGAAGATTCGGAAAGCTTCCAGAAAGACACAGATTGCATTCCAGGATTGAGGGTCAGAATAACTTTGGACTTCTTAATAGCAGTTCTGGAGTTTGGAAGTCTGTGAAGCAGTAAGTTCAAAATTCTGATGGAAAGTGATTTCCTTTGTAGTATTCTTTACCCTTTGAAACTATCAAAGGCCTCAGGCATCTTTTTTCTGGAAGTGACTGAAATGTTCCTTACCAAAACAAGGTGGTAAATGGAGGGTGCTGAGCCTGGGGTGCGGGAGTGTCACCCCGGCGATGCTCCAAGGCTGGGAACCACCTTGGTCCTTTAAACATGTACAAGGCTAGTTTGGTTAAAGATGCAAGTGTGCAGAGCTAGCAGATGTCATGCATACTTTATCCTGCAGAAGTGAAAATGGGGTTTGGTAATGCTGTGTCTGTGTTAGCATCTGCTCTGATGTACCAGGCGTCCCGCCCTCCTGGGCATCTTCACATCGCCTGCATCGCAGGGAGGATTGGGGCTGTCGGGAGCTTGGCCTGGTGTGTAGGGTTCCTGCAGACCCCATAGTTTCTTCCTTTTGTCATCTTTTCTGTTCCTTCTGTACTCCTCCCCCTAGTCCCTCAGTAAAAACAAAACAAACTAACCCAGGCAGTTCAATTGTGAGTTTACATTTTCCTACCCCTTTCCCACTCTTAATTGCTAATCCTCCACTAACATTAGCTGAGTATTGAGTTTTAAGAAGTTTTTCTTCTGCACTCACCCCGTAAGAATCAACACAGAAGAATTATCTACCTGTGGTCACCAAGAAGGGTTTCTCCATACCAGCCACAAATCAGTCCCACAGCAGACACCAGCTGGGTGTCCTCTAAGTCGGTCCCCACACTGTCTTACCTGGCAGGAGATTCAGCCCCCCTCTAATTCAGTCCTCACACTGTCTGCCTGGTGGTAGCCTCAGATCCCACCGGGTAAGTGCTCAGCCCCCTCTAATTCAGTCCCCACACTGTCTACCTGGCGGTAGCCTCAGCCCCCCTCTAATTCAGTCCCCACACTGTCTACCTGGCGGTAGCCTCAGCCCCCCTCTAATTCAGTCCCCACACTGTCTACCTGGCGGTAGCCTCAGCCCCCCTCTAATTCAGTCCCCACACTGTCTACCTGGCGGTAGCCTCAGCCCCCCTCTAATTCAGTCCCCACACTGTCTACCTGGCGGTAGCCTCAGATCCTACTGGGTGAGTGTTCAGCCACCCTGTAAGTCAGTCCTCACACTGTCTACCTGGCGGTAGCCTCAGCCCCCCTCTAATTCAGTCTCCACACTGTCTACCTAGCGGGAGACTCAGATCCCACCGGGTAAGCGCTCAGCTCCCCAAGACCACCCCCACTTCCAGTGCCCATCACAAGCCCAGGGATAATTCACCCGAGCTCTGACCAACCAGGTACAAATCGGGGTTCCCACACCCCCTCCTTGGGTCTGACTGATTTTCAAGAGTGACTCATAGAATTTTGGGAAGCTTACATTGATGTTTATCATGGAGGATATTACAAAGGATACAGATGAAGAGAAGCGTAGGGTGAGGTGTGGGGAAAGGGCCTGGAACTTCCATGCCCTCCCTAGGTGCACTGTTCTCCAGAAACCTCCCCCCATGTGTTCAGCTCTCTGGAAGCTTCTTGAACGCTGTCCTTTTGGGGTTTTATGGAAGCGTCATTACATAGGCATGATTGCTTAAACCGTTGGTGACCAACTTAACCTTCAGCCTCTTTCGCCTCCCCCCATGGGGAGTGCAGCTGAAAATTCCACCCCTCTAATCGTGCGTTGGTCTTTCTGGTGACCTACCCCATCCTCAAGCCACCTAGGGGCTGCAGCCCTGAGTCAACTCACTAATGTACAAAACAACATAACCATGGAGATTCTAAGCATTTTAGGAGCTGCGTGCCAGGGTGGGATGAAGACCAAGCACACATTTTACAGTATCACCAGAATCCTTTGTGGGAACACCTAGATTAGGGATTCGAGAATGTTTCCCTGAGAAGTGAATGTGTGAGCTTAGTCCTGAAGGAGAGACAGAAGTTACCCAAGGCCAGAATGTGCAGGGAAGTGTTCCAGACAGGAGTGGAGACTACACCCGCACAGGGCCTGGAGTTCCCGGGAGCCGAGTGGAGACTGCGCCTGCAGAGGCCTGGAGTTCCAGACAGGAGTGGAGACTGCGCCTGCAGAGGCCTGGAGTTCCAGACAGGAGTGGAGACTGCGCCTGCAGAGGCCTGGAGTTCCAGACAGGAGTGGAGACTGCGCCTGCAGAGGCCTGGAGTTCCAGACAGGAGTGGAGACTGCGCCTGCAGAGGCCTGGAGTTCCAGACAGGAGTGGAGACTGCGCCTGCAGAGGCCTGGAGTTCCAGACAGGAGTGGAGACTGCGCCTGCAGAGGCCTGGAGTTCCAGACAGGAGTGGAGACTGCGCCTGCAGAGGCCTGGAGTTCCAGACAGGAGTGGAGACTGCGCCTGCAGAGGCCTGGAGTTCCAGACAGGAGTGGAGACTGCGCCTGCAGAGGCCTGGAGTTCCAGACAGGAGTGGAGACTGCGCCTGCAGAGGCCTGGAGTTCCAGACAGGAGTGGAGACTGCGCCTGCAGAGGCCTGGAGTTCCAGACAGGAGTGGAGACTGCGCCTGCAGAGGCCTGGAGTTCCAGACAGGAGTGGAGACTGCGCCTGCAGAGGCCTGGAGTTCCAGACAGGAGTGGAGACTGCGCCTGCAGAGGCCTGGAGTTCCAGACAGGAGTGGAGACTGCGCCTGCAGAGGCCTGGAGTTCCAGACAGGAGTGGAGACTGCGCCTGCAGAGGCCTGGAGTTCCAGACAGGAGTGGAGACTGCGCCTGCAGAGGCCTGGAGTTCTAGACTGGAGTGGAGAATGCGCCAGCAGAGGCCTGGAGTTCCCGGGAGCCCAGTGGCTCAGGGACTGAAAGGCACTGATTAGATTGCCTTCATGGGCACAGAGGGCTTCTTTCAGTCTGATGACATCTTTATATTTGGTTTGTCTTTCCCGTTAATTGGGTAAGAAGTTTTGTTTTCCTCTCTGCAGTTTGTTACAACTGACTGCAGAACTTGTATTCATGTATCTTTTTAAATCTCATGTGGAGAGGCAGCTTTTCCTGTTGTGTGCTGATTATGGATTAAATTTAAGACTCAAATATAGGTTCACCAGGCATGGTGGTACGCGCTGTAGTCCTGGCTGCTCTGGGGGCTGAGATAGGAGTGAGCCCTGGAGGTGGAGGCTGCAGGATCTGCAATCACCACTGCGCTCCAGCCTGGGTGACAGAGCAAGACTCTATCTATTAAAATTCAGTGGGGCCCAAATTTCAAATTTTTTTGTTCTCATGGTCCATGTTATGAAGGACCACTTTAAGAAAATGTAGTGTGACTTGAAAGTAAACTCCATGAAATTCATAGTTAACTACAAAGCATTTAGCTTTGAATTAGTAGCTGGGCTTTGAAATTTTGGGCATTATGGAAGATTTCTTTTCTTTTTTTGCCGACTGGACATTCCAATTTTTCTTTTCTTTTCTTTTTCTTCTTTTTTTTGAGACGGAGTCTCACTCTGTCACCAGGCTGGAGTGCAGTGGCATGATCTCAGCTCACTGCAATCTCTGCCTCCCAGGTTCAAGCGATTCTCCTGCCTCAGCCTCCCAAGTAGCTGGGATTACAGGTACATGCCACCACACCCAGCTAATTTTTCTGTGTTTTTAGTAGAGACGGGGTTTCACCATGTTGGCCAGGATGGTCCCAATCTCCTGACCTCATGATCCACCTGCCTCGGCTTCCCGAAGTGCTGGGATTATAGGCGTGAGCCACTGCGCCTGGCCTTTCTTTTAAAAACAAACAAACAAACAAACAAAAAAAAACAGGGTCTTGCTGTGTCACCCAGGCTGGAGTGCAGTGGCGGATCTCAGCTCACTGCAGCCTCCACCTCCCCAGGCTCAGGTGATCCTCCTGCCTCAGCCTCCCAGGAAGCTGGGATTACAGGCACAAGCCACCTTGCTTGGCTAATTAAAAAAAGAAATTTATAGAGATGGGGTCTCACTATGTTGCTTAGGCAGGTCTTGGCCTACTGAGCATGGCCCGGAAGATTTCTTGAGCTGGATTCATAATTCACCTCTTAAATGAAAAATAAGTAAAATATATCTTGATTGTGAAACATGATTGTTGGAGTATTTTCTCTTTGACAGCATTTTTGGAGTTTGGGTTTGTGAGAAATTAGGGTTTGGGTCTGTGAGAAATGTGCCGAGTCCCTGCCCAGCCTCAGGCTCAGGGCAATTGTCTGGGCGGTTGTGGGGCCATCACCTGATGTGCAGCGCTGCCTGGGGAGATGGCGCTTTGGAGAGTGTGTTTGGCCAGTTGGTGGCAATCCTGCTGCCCTGTCTGGGTGAGGCAACTGCCCATGAGCCCACCAGAACCCCTGGGGCAGGGGACTGACGGCCCAGGCCCAGACCCGGCTCTGCCCTGTGGTGCAGCCCACTGTACCCCTCGATTCGCCAGTTCCACCAGGCAAGCCCACCACTCATTGACACACAGTCCTCGTGCACGCTGAGGCCACCAGGCAGAGGCAGTGAGGGTTTGTCGACATGCTTTGAGGTTGATCGGTCACAGGCTGCTCCAGTGCGGCTGGAAGAGGGGCTGCAGGCTCTGGACAAGTGACGGGAGGTGGGCTCTGCAGCTCTCCTGGAGGATGACGGTGCTCTGGACAAGTGACGGGAGGTGGGCTCCACGGCTTTCCTGGAGGGTGACGGTGCCTGTTCTGTGAACTTATAGCAGTCACTGAATTGTGTACTCACAGTGCATGGATCTTAAGGTGTGCAACTTATACTGCAGTGAAACTGTTTTAGAAAAAAGTTCACCAGGATGTGACTTGCATGGAAAAAAGAAAGCAGAATCAGCACTTTGGAGGTCAGAAGCTCCAGGAGGGGCAGTGATGGTCCTGGCAGACCCAGGAGGGCAGGGCGGTGGCAAGGGGGCTCACAGGGTGAGAACCAGTGCACGTTGCACTGGCTTCACCTGAGGGCTCAGAATCATGGCCCTAGCTTTCTGAGAGGTGGCAGCTGAGATACGGAGGCCCAGTCACCGGCTGTTTGAAAAGCAGTTGGGTCCTAGACTCTTGCTCTCAGTTCTTGACACTGACAGTTGCCCTGCCCGGTGTGGAGGCCCTTTCTCTGGAAAAAGGTTACAAGAAAACAGGAGATGTTGGTACTGGGGCTCTGGCCGAGGTGAAGCTGGAAGTTCCCTGCCCAGAATGGGATGGCGGCCAGGCCTTTCCCTCTGCACAGGTTTCTTTGGGGGATCCAACTGCCAAGGGAGACCCAGAGGTGCTTACACCAGGGACCCCGACAGATGGCCCAGCTGCACTGCACTGACTTGGCCCCATCCACCTCGACAGGTTCAGAGTCAAGCTTCCAACAGGAATGACACAGACCAACTTCAACTTGCAGAAGATAGAGACTCTTCACAGAGAAGAGCATCAGATAGTGTGATTATCCTCAGGAACGAGAGGATATCACACCCGTGAAACGGGGCAGATGGCGTAAAGAAAGGGATATTCAGAGAACAGAAAAAATGCTTGGCTGTTAAAGGTGTGATGGCGGGAATGAGAACTCGAGGGTTGGAAGATGAGTGACGAGGGTGCAGCTTTCCAGAAAGAAGGGCAGAAGGACAGGCAAGAAATGGGGCCTCGTCCGTTCCTGCTGCTGCAGCTAAGTGCCCTGGACTGGTGGGATGGTTGGATATTTGCCCAAATCTCATGTTGAAATATAATCCCCGGTGTTGGAGGTGGGGTCTGGCGGGAGGTGTTTGGATCATGGGGGTGGATCCCTCATGAATGGCTTGGCCCACCCCCTTGGCGATGAGTGAGCTCTGGCTCTGGCTCATGCGAGATGGATCTGGTCATTTAAACGTGGGCAGCAGCTGCCCCCTCTTGCCCCTGCTTTGGCCATGTGAGGCACCTGCTCCTGCTGGCCTTCCGCCATGAGTCAGAGCTACCTGAGGCCTCCCCGGAAGCCAAGGGATGTTGGTGCCATGCTACCTGTACAGCCTGCAGAACCGTGAGGCAACTAAACCTCTTTTCTTTATAAATTACAGTCTCAGGTATTGCTTTATAGCAATGCAAGAATGGCCTATTACAGATGGGTAATTTATAGACAACAGAAACTTACTTCTCACAGTTCTGGAGGCTGGGAAGTCCGTGAGCAAGGCCCTGGCCGGTTGGCGTCTGAGGAGGGCCAGCTCCTCACTGGCACCTCTCACCTAGCGAAAGAGAGGGAAAGGCCAGGCCCTCAGGACGTGATCACCCCCTGGGGTGGGGTTAGTGGTGCCACCTCTTAACACTGTCACATGGGGTTCTGGGTCTAGCATCTGCATTTGGCGGGGGACATTCATTCACACCACAGCAAATAGGAAATGAAGAGGAGAGTCTAGGAAGCTCAGTGTCTCGGTCACTGGAGTTCTAGAAAAAGGACAGAGGGGACACCATGCATGTCACCAGGCACGTCGGGCTTGTGTGCTCAGCACAGTGGGTGAGACCAGACCCTTAGGAGGCTGCAGAAGCTGGGGGCCAGGGCTGGGGCGCTTCTTAGCCACCGTAGGGCTGGAGAACCAGGAAGCACTTTCAAAATTGTGACAGAATGACCCTGATGAAGCCGAATAGTTCATCTGTTGTCAAGGTAGAATGAAGACATTTCCAGACAGGCATGGTTTCAAAACTTTACCTCCCATCTAACATTTTTCAGGAAAGGGCACCTGTGCCTGGGCGAGCACATGAGTTGTGGTGGGGCAGTGAGGAGGAGCTGGACAGTGCCGGGTGGGGGCCTAGCTGGGGCTGGGGCACCAGGCCACTGCTGTTGACCAGGCCTGCCGGTTCCTGTTCGGCTCGTGTGCTCTGGGCCTCAAGCATGTTGCTGGGATGCCTGGTGTTGGCATCTGGGCTCGTCCCACACCATTGCCAGGGGCCTGTTGGGGCTGGGGTTCAGCCTTGCCTGTCTCTCAGTAAGAAGTTGCCCTTGTGGTGGTTGGGGCTAGAATCAGCCCCCAGGGCCCCCCACAGTGTCCCCTGCCCCTGCGTTGTGCTGCACCTGGACTCACAGTTGGGAGGTGCCGCCTTTGCCATCCCTCAGGATGTGCCCCCAGCAAGTCCCCCAACACTTCCCACAGGGCCGTCCTCTCTGCACACACCAACACTATTGCAGCTTAAAGTCCCCCGGCCACCACCCAGCGCCCTCCTCCTCTTCCTGTCGCAGCCCCACCCGAGTCTCGTCCTCTCCACCCTCTGCCAGCACAGGTCTGGCCCCAGGCCCCTGGGCAGAGGCGCTCATTGCTGTCAATGCCATCACCCGGTGTACCACACAAAGCTGCTACTTTTGTTGATCAAGAAAAATACAATTTCACAGGGTTGAATCTGTTTGCTGATGTCTTTCAGGTTTGTCTCCAAAGCTCAGACTTCTGAAACCACACTTGCTTTTGGGTAGCTCATGCAGGATGAGCCCCTCACACTTGGCTGTCCCCAGCCCCACTCCTGCTGGCCTTCCCCAGCCTGCTGCAGCTCTAACATCTGCCAGGGCCCATGCAGCCAAGCCCTGGAGGTCTCACAGCCGTGCTCCGCCTCAGCCCCGCTGGAGCCTGCGGGTCTGCTCTTGGAGCCCTGGAGGTCTCACGGCCGTGCTCTGCCTTCGGCCCGCTAGAGCCTGCGGGTCTGCTCTTGAGGTGTCGCCATTGGTGCAGCTCCGCCTTAGGCTGAGGCTGCCCCTAATCAGGCAGCAGGGTGAGTGGTGACTGGGAAAAGGGAAAAACCTTCCGTTACAGAAGATACCGAGAAGAGCAATGTGGCCTCAAACCTAGAGTTTGCAACTCATGTAGCTGAAGACACTCATTCTGTGCACTTTGTGAACCTACAGAAAACGTTTCCAAGTTAGTAAGATCCAGTAAAGGAGTGGACGGAGGGTGTGAGCCAACACCTTTGGGGGAGGGAGGCACTAATGGGAAGCGCGTGGCAGGTGCTGGACTTTGGTGGTGGGAGATGCATCCGCCATCACAAGAATCGCACGCGTCCTCCCGGGCGCAAAAGTGATGGGGTGCGGCAATGCGAAGCTGGATTTCGGTGGTGGGAGACACGCCTGCCATCACAAGAATCGCATGAGTCCCGCCCAGGCACAGCGGTGACAGGGTGGGGCAGTGAGAAGCTGGACCAGGATGTGGGGCATGGAATTCCTACAAACTGGTGGTGGGCTGAGCTTAGGACAGACACAAGGAATTCAGCAGCCTGGGGTAGTTCTTTGGCCCATGGGTTATTTAGAGGGTGGGTTCCCTGTTGGTTGGAGTCAGGCCAGCCTGGTTGGTTCATTGACTGTTGGGAATCTGTGTTCTTCTAGATCGGTGATCTTGTTTTGTTGTCTGCCCACCCTGTCAGTTATCGAGAGAGACGGTTTTAAATCTCCCACTGTGGTTGTGGGTTTGTCTGTTTTTCCTTTCAGTTCTGCCAGCATTTGCTTTGTAAACCTAAAGCTGGATGATGCCACGTACATTCAGGATTGCCGTTTGACTTGGCATGCCACTCCGGAATGCCCTCTGTGCTGCTGCCTCTCATCTGGCACGAGGGTTGCTGGACCAGCCCTCTCTGTGTGTGTTCTCCTGGCTATTTTTCCTGCTGTAGCTCTCATGAGTGTCCCCTGCTTGAATGACTGGGTTGCTTTTACCTGGCAAATGTTCACTGACAGCCCACACCATGCTATGCTCAAAGGGCTGGGGAGAGCAGCGGGTGATGTCTTCTGTCCACAGGTGGCACCTGGCCCCTGCCCTGCATGGTGACCACCATGGTACCCCACGCCACCCCTCTCTGAGGACGCTGTCTCTGTGTGGGGCCAACATCAGCCACCTGCAGTTTGTGTCAAAATACCCTGAGTGAGAGCCTGAGAGGCTGCTGTGCCCGATGCCAGCCATGGCTCTCCCGCAGGTGCAGGACTGGCAGTGCCAGCCTCCTGGGGAACACGGCCCCCAGCCCACTGCATTGGTCTGCATGCAGCTGGGCCAGAGTCTGAGTTGCGGCGGGCCCCCCACTGGCTCCGAGGCAGGGGCAAGGCTCCCATGCTGCTGACTCCAGAGCCAGCAGTCGGAGTGCCTGGCAGAGCACTGCTGTGACTGGGAGGGCAAGGGGTCCAGGGTGCAGGGAGGTCTCCATGAGCCAACCTGCCTCATGGCTGATGAAGTCAGCAGCTGCTTTGTTTTGTTTTGTTTTGTTTTTTTGAGACAGGGTCTTGCTCTGTTGCCCAGGCTGAAGTGCAGTGGCACCATTTCGGCTCACTGTAGCCTCAACCTCCTGGGCTCAAGTGATCCTCCCACCTCAGCCTCCCAAAGTGCTGGGACCAAGGCGTGTGTCCCGTGCCCAGTTGGCAGCAGCTGTTTGAGATCATTGTGAACCTCCTTCCTTTCTTTTTTTTTTTTTTTTTGAGATGGAGTCTCACTCTGTCTCCCAGGCTGGAGTGCAGTGGTGCGATCTCAGCTCACTGCAAGCTCCGCCTCCCAGGTTCAAGCCATTCTCCTGCCTCAGCCTCCTGAGTAGGTGGGAATACAGGTGCCCACCACCACACCCAGCTGATTTTTTCTTGTATTTTTAGTAGAGACGGGGTTTCACCGTGTTAGCCAGGATGGTCTCGATCTGACCTCGTGATCCACCTGCCTCGGCCTCCCAAAATGCTGGGATTACAGGCATGAGCCACCGCGCCCGGCCAGTGGACCCCCTTTCTTGCATTGTGGCCTGGAAGGTCAACCAGCTGAAAATGAAGGGTGACACCAGAGCCCCCTCCTGTGTCCCCCGCCTGTCCCTGGCAGCTGCAGACACTGGGATGGCGGTCGGATCCAAACAGCAGAGGCAGCTGCAGCCTTGGCCTGGCTCCTTTGTGAGGGGCTGGGTTCCAGGACAGCTGGATCCAGGTGCCAGGTGGTCTGTCTTCTTTTTCTTGTTTTTCATTTCTGCTCCCTGGTGTTTTTGCGGGGGGATCCTCTCCCCAGGGGGGACAAACATGGCCCCGACAGCTGCAAGCCACGAACCTTATCCCAGCAGGAGTTTCAGGGATGTCTTGTGGGGGCTGTTGTCCCACCTCAGTGCTGCTGCCTCCATGCTGTGCCTTTCTTGGGGCCAGACATCTGGGGAGCCCCACTCAAGTGTCAGGAGGGGGAACTGCAGAGAGAGGGGTCTCTAGCCGAGGAGGGGAGGGGAGGGAAGCTGCCCAGCAGAGCCGCGGGCGTGTCCCCGGTAGGAGGGCAGACCTTGGTCTTGGAGACGGGCCGTGGGGGTCCACCTTGTACGTGGGGAGGTCAGGACTCAGGAAGAGATGCTGGTGGTGTTGGCAGGGCTTTTGCTGGGCCTGCTGCAGTGCAGTGGGTGCTCCGTGAACGGGGCCGCCGGGACAGGGGATGCCGCAGTGTGCAGTGGGTGCTCCGTGAACGGGGCCGCCGGGACAGGGGCTGCCGCAGTGTGCAGTGAGTGCTCCGTGAACGGGGCCGCGGGGACAGGGGCTGCCGCAGTGTGCAGTGGGTGCTCCGTGAACGGGGCCGCCGGGACAGGGGCTGCCGCAGTGTGCAGTGGGTGCTCCGTGAACGGGGCCGCCGGGACAGGGGCTGCCGCAGTGTGCAGTGGGTGCTCCGTGAACGGGGCCTCCGGGACAGGGGCTGCCGCAGTGTGCAGTGAGTGCTCCGTGAACGGGGCCGCGGGGACAGGGGCTGCCGCAGTGTGCAGTGAGTGCTCCGTGAACCGGGCCGCCGGGACAGGGGATGCCGCAGTGTGCAGTGGGTGCTCCGTGAACCGGGCCGCCGGGACAGGGGATGCCGCAGTGTGCAGTGGGTGCTCCGTGAACGGGGCCGCCGGGACAGGGGCTGCCGCAGTGTGCAGTGAGTGCTCCGTGAACGGGGCCGCCGGGACAGGGGCTGCCGCAGTGTGCAGTGGGTGCTCCGTGAACGGGGCCGCCGGGACAGGGGCTGCCGCAGTGTGCAGTGGGTGCTCCGTGAACGGGGCCGCCGGGACAGGGGCTGCCGCAGTGTGCAGTGAGTGCTCCGTGAACGGGGCCGCGGGGACAGGGGCTGCCGCAGTGTGCAGTGAGTGCTCCGTGAACCGGGCCGCCGGGACAGGGGATGCCGCAGTGTGCAGTGGGTGCTCCGTGAACCGGGCCGCCGGGACAGGGGCTGCCGCAGTGTGCAGTGGGTGCTCCGTGAACGGGGCCGCCGGGACAGGGGCTGCCGCAGTGTGCAGTGAGTGCTCCGTGAACGGGGCCGCGGGGACAGGGGCTGCCGCAGTGTGCAGTGGGTGCTCCGTGAACGGGGCCGCCGGGACAGGGGCTGCCGCAGTGTGCAGTGAGTGCTCCGTGAACGGGGCCGCCGGGACAGGGGCTGCCGCAGTGTGCAGTGGGTGCTCCGTGAACCGGGCCGCCGGGACAGGGGCTGCCGCAGTGTGCAGTGGGTGCTCCGTGAACGGGGCCGCCGGGACAGGGGCTGCCGCAGTGTGCAGTGAGTGCTCCGTGAACGGGGCCGCGGGGACAGGGGATGCCGCAGTGTGCAGTGAGTGCTCCGTGAACCGGGCCGCCGGGACAGGGGCTGCCGCAGTGTGCAGTGGGTGCTCCGTGAACGGGGCCGCCGGGACAGGGGCTGCCGCAGTGTGCAGTGGGTGCTCCGTGAACGGGGCCGCCGGGACAGGGGCTGCCGCAGTGTGCAGTGGGTGCTCCGTGAACGGGGCCGCCGGGACAGGGGCTGCCGCAGTGTGCAGTGGGTGCTCCGTGAACGGGGCCGCCGGGACAGGGGCTGCCGCAGTGTGCAGTGGGTGCTCCGTGAACGGGGCCGCCGGGACAGGGGCTGCCGCAGTGTGCAGTGGGTGCTCCGTGAACGGGGCCGCCGGGACAGGGGCTGCCGCAGTGTGCAGTGGGTGCTCCGTGAACCGGGCCGCCGGGACAGGGGCTGCCGCAGTGTGCAGTGGGTGCTCCGTGAACCGGGCCGCCGGGACAGGGGATGCCGCAGTGTGCAGTGGGTGCTCCGTGAACGGGGCCGCCGGGACAGGGGCTGCCGCAGTGTGCAGTGGGTGCTCCGTGAACGGGGCCGCCGGGACAGGGGCTGCCGCAGTGTGCAGTGGGTGCTCCGTGAACCGGGCCGCCGGGACAGGGGATGCCGCAGTGTGCAGTGGGTGCTCCGTGAACGGGGCCGCCGGGACAGGGGCTGCCGCAGTGTGCAGTGGGTGCTCCGTGAACGGGGCCGCGGGGACAGGGGCTGCCGCAGTGTGCAGTGAGTGCTCCGTGAACCGGGCCGCCGGGACAGGGGCTGCCGCAGTGTGCAGTGAGTGCTCCGTGAACCGGGCCGCCGGGACAGGGGATGCCGCAGTGTGCAGTGAGTGCTCCGTGAACCGGGCCGCCGGGACAGGGGCTGCCGCAGTGTGCAGTGAGTGCTCCGTGAACCGGGCCGCCGGGACGGGGGATGCTGCGGTTTTGCTGTTCGTGCAGCCGTGTCGGTGCAGATGTGCGGGTTAGAGGCAGCCTTGCCACACAGGCGAGTCTTCACTGGTCTTCAGAAGGAGATTGGGGTGTGATTGATCAGAGAGAAATGATGTGTTCTAGTTCATTCTCAGGCCCGGTGAGTTGTGGATTTCATGCTTCCTCTTTCCTCTTTATTCATATAAAATTATTTCTTGAGACGATGATTATTTTATATATTTAATGATTCATTGTTTTGTCCAAGCCCAAAAGTGTATCCTATACTGTACGCTTTACACTTAGTGCAAAGGGCGCTCGTCATGGCTGTCGGCACGGCCAAGTCACTGGGGCTAACATGGCAGGCACAGGTGCAGGTGGGTGTGGCTTACAGGGCCGACCTCGTATGGCTCCTGGCTGATTTAGCACGAGCGTAAGGAAGCTTCTCTTCGGGAGGCCTGCGTGCTGGTGAGGTCTGGGCTCTTTCTGATGGGTGGAGGGTCCTGCTTGTTTGCAGCACGAGGCTGCTCCGTCAGCTCTCCAGGTCTTAGCTGGGACGCCCAAGGCTGCTGCTGATGCCAAGCATGGTCATGGGCCTTTGCAGTTGGTGTGCTGTTGTCACCCCAACAAGTGAGGGATGCGGGCGCAGAGCTCCTCACTCACTGCCAGTCCTTCTCTGGGAGGCTTTTTGTCTGCTCTGTGTGCTTACTTGCCCAGTGGCCTCTCTCATTCCTGATTCTGGGCGGTGCATTTGACAGAGGCCTGCCTGGGTGCTGCGGCCTCTGACATTTGCCCAGACGTTGCTTCATGCCCTGCTCTGTGGTCAGTTTCAGAGACACTCCCTGGATGGTGAATCTGTGTTTTCCGTTTCTTGGGTCGGCGTTCTGCACACCTGCAAGGTAAAGCAAGGCTTCTTGTACCATCTCCTCTGTCGCTGCAGACGTCGGGTGCCTCCTGGAACACGTCTGCCTGCTTTGTGTCTGTGCCGCGAGGCCGCCTGTCAGGTCTGGGTCGCCTCGCCAGTCGCGGAAGCCTTGTATCCACAGAGCCAGCCTCGATGGAGCCGCATCAGCTCTGTCTCTTCCATTCTTGACTTTTAGAATTTCCTGCCCTTATACTTTAGATGTGTTTGGTATAGATCTTTACCAAGATCTTTAAAATCTTGCTGACAGTCTTTGTCTTAACTAGACTATTGGTCCATTTACATTACTGTAATTATTATATTTAAATTTATTTCCACCATCTTTCCTTGTACTCTGTCATTTGAGGACCAGTTGCTTTTTCGTTTCTTGACTTCTTTTGGATTATTTTTGTTTCTTTTTCTTCTCTACTGGGTTGGAATTTGCTCACTTGGCTTCATAGTGGTTGCCTCGGATGTTCTAACATGCAGAATTAATTTGTTGAAGTCTAAAATTAGTATTTTTGCCCTCCTCCAAACGATTCAAAGATCCAGGAACATTTTATTCTGAGCACTCCGTCCACACAGGACTTGCCCTCCCCGTTGCAGCCTGCATGCAGCATATTGTGTTTCTGTGGGTCCTGACCGAGTGGGGCCAGGACTGTGATAAGAGCTTCCCCTAGGGCTGGATGGTGGCTTTCTTCCTTGTTCACCTAAACCCTCCCAGTCTCAGCCTTGGGGCGTCCCCCGGCAGTAACTGGATCAGCAACCAGGCCTGGCCCAGCCTCTCTCCCCTGACTTCTGCAAAGCTGTGAAAGGAGCGGGCGCAGGCCAGCTGCCGGCCAGGGCCCTCCTGCGCGGGGCCTTCCTTTTTCCAGGTTCCTGCTTTTACTTAGGTTTTGTTCTCTAAGGTTCTGAACGTTCTTGCCAACCCAGTGATAGATTTTTAAAGTTTTTAAAAATATATCTTACCTGGTAGTAATGCTTGTTTGTTCATTAAAGGTCTGGTCAAAGCTGCATAGTTTACTCTGACAGAACGCAAGTGTCCACTCTGAATACATTGACTCCTGTCGGTGCTGTGGGCTGGGCTCGCACCTGAGGCTGGAGTGTTTTTCTCCCACCAGAACTGGGCCTCCTCTCCTGGGAGGGCGGCTCCGGGCACAGCCGCTCTGGCCCTCGGGTCATTGTGGCAGAGCCCGGAGTATCTGGGAGGTGCCATGCCTTCTGCTGCTTGTTGTGGTTTAGCCTTGGACTTGGCTGGAGGCTTCACAGAAGGAAGCCTGTGGCGGGTGGGGCTGCTGACATGGCCATGGGGGTGTGAGGACATTGCTGAAGTTTTTCTGGAACCTACGTTAAGAAACTGGAAGTGATTCCTCCCAGAGGCAGCTCACCTCAGCCTTGGCCACTCAGCCTCCGCTCCTCTGGTGCCCCAAGGCCCCCACGCTTTGCCCGGGACCCCTCACCTTGGGCCTGTGCAGACCCCATCGAGGCAGAGGCGGTCTGCCTGTGTCCCGCTGCTGGCACGAGGCCGTGGGGGGCTCAGTCTTGTGTGTGTTTTCTGTGTCTGTCCCTTTCCTCTTTTTCTTTCCTGCTTTCTGTGGGGTAAATGAAAGTTTCTCCTCCTTTGTGTTTTTCCAGTTGATTTGATTATTTTCTTTGTCACCCTTAACATTGTGCATTCTGAGTCTTCCTACCCAAGTCGCAGTCACTCAGCTCTTCTGAGGAGTACCTGAGCGTGTGCGGCCCGCACTGAGCCGACCACATCTTGTTTGCCTGAAACTGTAGTTTTATCCCTTAGGAGAACATGAGCATGAGCTTTTGTTTTATTTTATTTCTGAGACAGGGTCTCACTCCTGTCGCCCAGGCTGCAGAGTGCAGTGGCGATATCTTGGCTCACTGCAGCCTCTACCTCAGGGCCTCAAGCCATCCTCCCACCTCAGCCTCCTGAGTAGCTGGGACTATGGATGTGCACCACCACGCCCTGCTAATTTTTGTATTTTTTCGTAGAGATGGGGTTTCACTATGTTTCGCAGGCTGGTCTTGAACTTCTGGGCTGAAGCAATCTGCCTGCCTCAGCCTCCCAACAACATGAGCTTTTAACCAGTGGTCAATTACATTCACCACTGTCTTCCTCCCACCTGCCAGGCCCTGCCCCCCAGCCCTTCCCGCCTCTTGCCTCAGAACCTCTTCTCTGGGTGGCACCTTGACTCCGGACCCTGTCGTGTTGATATGAAGCCATGGGACTGTCTCTTCCTGGGGTTTGTGGTTTTCCCACCCCTGGGAACTGGCAAGCTGCGTTTGAGGGCCTCTGTTGGCCTGGAAGCCCTGGGGGCCGTGGAAAACTTGGGAAGTGGGCGGTTTCTGTTCTAGAGCCCAGAGCCCTCATCAGGGAGACCTGGCAGGATGCAGCTTGTGCTGGCCTGGCCTGCTGCCCCTTTGCACAACTTCTGAGAGGGCACTGGTTGGCCTGCAGAGTCCAGGCTGAAGGCAGGGACTGCTCAGAGTTTATGTGATGTCATGCTAACAGGGCAGGCAGCTGCAGGCTGGGGCTTGGGCCACCCTGTGATGGGGGCTAGGACAGCACCAGCACAGCTGCCAACTGGGGCTCTGGGTGGTGAGTCTGGCCCCCTCCAACCATGTGCCTCCTGCAAAGCAGGCCTTCACAGGCTGGTGACAGCGGGGCTGCCAAGGGACGGGTCTGTGCCTGGCGTTTTCCAGTTGCTGTTCAGTTTCCCAGTTCCTTCCCGGCACCTTCACCTCGAGGGCACAGTGGCCACCTCAGGAGCTTGGCCCCAGGGATTCCTGCCGGTCCTCACGGCCCCTCTTCTGTACTCACAGTCCCTGCCTGTCCCAGCATCTTCTCACACGTAGGCGCCTGTCCTGGAGACGCAGGTGGATGGGCACAGGCGGTGCTCAGGGCAGCCCACTGGGTCAGGGGTCAGAGAGGGCGGTCTGGACCTGAATTGGGTTTGGAGCCATCACTCTTGCAAGGGATGCAAACTCGGCAGATGGCAGGGCTGCTTGAGCAGTGGGCATGCACTCACACACACGTACTCACACGCACGTGGGCACACATGCTCTCATGGACACACAAGCTCACGCACACGGGCATATATGCTCTCAGGGACACAGGCTCACACGGGCACACGTGCTCCCTTGGACACACAGGCTAACAGACACGGGCACACACGCTCCCTTGGACACACAGGCTAACAGACACGGGCACACACGCTCCCTTGGACACACAGGCTAACAGACACGGGCACACACGCTCCCTTGGACACACAGGCTAACAGACACGGGCACACACGCTCCCTTGGACACACAGGCTAACAGACACGGGCACACACGCTCCCTTGGACACACAGGCTAACAGACACGGGCACACACGCTCCCTTGGACACACAGGCTAACAGACACGGGCACACACACTTTCTCAGGGACACAGGCTCACACACGGGCACACACGCTCTCTCAGGGACACACAAGCTCACATGGGCACACGCTCTCAGGGACACACAGGCTCACACGCACACGGGCACACATGCTCAGGGACACACAGGCTCAACGCACACTCGGGCACACACAGACACGCTCTCAGGGACGCACAGGCACACAAACACCGGCACACACTGTCAGGGACGCACAGGCTCACACATGGGCACACACGCTCTCAGATGCACAGGCTCACACGCACACAGGCACACATGCTCTCAGGGACACAGGCTCACACGCACACGGGCACACACGCTCTCTCAGGGATGTACAGGCTCACTCACACGGGCTCACGCTCTCTCGGACACACAAGCTCGCACATGGGCACACACACTCTCAGGGACACAAGCTCACACACACGGGCACGCGCTCTCTCGGACACAGGCTCACACACACGGGCACACACTGAGGTACACACAGGCTCACACGCACACGGACACATATGCTTTTTCAGGGACACACAAGCTCTCATGCACACAGGCATACGTGCTCTCAGGTACACAGGCTCATGCACGGACACACGCTCTTGGACACACAGGCTCACACACGGACATGCACGCTCTCTCAGGGACACACAGTCTCACACACACACGGGTACTCACGCTGTCTCGGACACAGGCTCACGTGCACACAGGCACACACGCTTTCTCAGGGACACAGAGGCTCACACAAACGGTCTCTCAGGGACACACGAGCTCACGCGCACACGAGCATACCTGCTGTCTCAGGGACACACGGGCTCACGCACACGGGCGCACACGCACATGGGCACACACTCTCCCTCTGGGACACACAGGCCCACATGCATGCTGCGTGCCGGCCCTGGAGCGGGGATGGGGACCCGCGCTTCTCGGAGCGAGGGGCCTCTGGCACCCTGGTCTATGGCGGGCGTCGCCAGCCCAGGCAGATGCTGTTTCCGCGCTTGCTTTCCCAGCAGACCCTGTCTGGAGCTGGCACAGAGCATCCTCTGTTCCAGATTCGGCGTGGGACGTTGGAAGCAAGCGCCTGTTGCCCACTCATGACTGGAACTTTCCGGCAATGTGAGGTGGGGGTGGGAAGCCCTTGTGACGTGCCTGGGGCCTGGGCCTGTCCTGCTCTCTGGGCCTGTCCTGCTCCCTGTGTCCACTGTGGACCAGGCTGGGCTGTGGCCTTGACTGCTATGGAGACCACCACAGGCCCTGGGGGCCCCACGTCTGCAGGACGAGGATGAGGACGGAGCACACCTGCCTCATAGGGTTGTGGGAAGAACCAGACGAGGCCGCTGTCACCAGTGCGCAACTGTGCCCGCCACGGTGGCTGTGCGCCCGCGGTCCTGCTCACGCCACGCCACAGGGCCTCGGGAGGAGGTAGGCAGTGCCGGGGGCTGGGGAGGCCCCAGCAGGACTTGCTCCCAGGAAGCCCAGCACTGCGCCTCCCATGCGAGAACCGGGTACCACGTTGCAGGGAGCCGCTTCCTGCGCCCGGCCTCTTCAGGGACCTCCCTCCCAGCTGAGCAGGCGGCAGCCCCGGCAGAGGGGGAGGTGGCTGAGGCTGGCCCTGGGCCTGGGGATGGAGGGCGCATGGCTGAGGCGCGTCCTCGGGGCTCTGCCTGCCTGCTCGCGCCCACCACAACCTCTGCAGGCAGCAACCCCCACCTCAGGCAGGTCTCTGGGTACAGCATTCTGGTGGACAGCCTCAGGATAGAGTCCACGGTGACCTCCAGAAGCTTCCTCTCCCGTCACCTATTAAACTACCCACGAACACAGGCAAAAACAAAAATTCCACATCAGTAAACTGTGAAGTGGATTCTTTTTAAAAAGCTCATGTGAGATTACTGAGCAGAAAAGAAGAGGCGGGACGTGATCATGACAGACCCCTCAGCACCAGCCCTGCCCTTTCAGGACCCCATGTGGCCCCAGCCCCACACCAGGACCCCAGTCTGGGAGAGGGCGGGGACAAGGGGCACTGGGCTCGGGTGGGCTTTGCCATGCAGGCAGGCGAGGGGTTCTTGAAAGGGTGGAGCTCAGGATTTTTTGAGAAATGTTACAGTAACCACCTAATAAAAATTAAAATATTCTATTCCATTGAAAATAGAATTTTAGGCCAGGCGTGGTGGCTCATACCTGGAATCCCAGCACTTTGGGAGGCCGAGGCAGGCAGATCCCTTGAGCCAGGAAGTTCAAGGCCAGCCTGGGCAGCATAGAGAGACCCCATCTCTAGAAAAAATACAAAAATTAGCTGGGCGTGGTGGCTCGCACCTGTGGTCCCGGCTTCTCAGGAGACTGAGGCTGGAGCATCATTTGAGCCCGGGAGGTTGAGACTACAGTGACCCCTGATTGTACCACTGCAGTTCAGCCTGGGCGACAGAGCAAGACCCTGCCTCAAAAAAGGCAGAGGAAGAACAAATAGAATTTTTAAAATCAATGCAGAAGACGAAAGCAAAACATAAAACTATACAGAAAGGCAACCAACAAAGCCAGGTGAGAGGCAAGATTCCATGATTAAAAGAACAAAAACCTCACTTTAGATCACAAAACCAGACTAGAGCGGGTGCGGCTGGCAGAGTTCAGCTGCTCCTGCCTTTTTTTTTTTTTTTTGTCTTTTCAGTTTCTTATCTCCTGGGGCCAAGGCTGGGCTCTCAGCCTGAAGGCTGTGTTCCCAGGATGCCCAGCTGAGCTGGAGGGGTCTCCTGGTTTGCGGCGCTGGGTGCTCAGGTCTCCTGGTTTGCGGCGCTGGGTGCTCAGGTCTCCTGGTTTGTGGCGCTGGGTGCTCAGGTCTCCTGGTTTGCGGTGCTGGGTGCTCAGGTCTCCTGGCTCTTGCTGGTGCTGCGCCGCTTGTCCCGCCTGCCAAAGTCAGTGACAGGTGAGAAGCCCTTTGAGACGTGAGGTGCCAGGCCCTCGTACCATCACCTTTATTCAGAAGGACTTCTGAAATCACCCAATTGTGTTTTTTGTTTTTTTGGTGTTTTTTTTTTTTTACACAGAGTCTCGCTCTGTCGCCCAGGCCAGAGTACAGTGGCACAATCTCTGCTCACTGCAACCTCCGCCTCCCTAGTTCAAGTGATTCTCCTGCCTCAGCCTCCCGAGTAGCTGGGACTACAGGCCATGTGCCATCATTCCCAGTTAATTTTTGTATTTTTAGTAGAGACTAAAAATGTTGGCCAGGCTGGTCTCAAACTCCTGACCTCAAGTGATTCTCCTGCTTTGGACTCCCAAAGTGCTGCAATTCCAGGTGTGAGCCACTGCTCCCAGCATTGTTTTGTTTTAAAATAGTGTTTGTTGATTCACTGGGCAACATTGATTCACTGGGCATTGGGCATATATGGTAGTGAGCAGAAGACATTTTTATTTACCAGATTTTAAACAATCATTTTTTAAAGAGGTTTGAGTAATAAGAAAAATACCCTGCACCACAGGATGCCACTGGCACTCGCCGTCCTTCGTGGGACCCAGGTCCTCCTGCACCCGTCCTGCTGCCTGAGGCCACTGTGCCGCACCTGGATGCTGCCCCTATGGCCCTTGGGCCCCCCCTGCCCTCCCCACCTCCTGGCTGCTGCCTAGGGCGGCCTGGGGTGAGGCAGTGGCTCAGAGTCAGCAACACTCAGCCTCATCTCTTACCCTGGAGGTTGGCTTGGGGGGCTCAGCTTGGAGGGGGTCAAAGGAGTAGCTGAGCACCCTTTGACCAGGCGGCCTCCTAGGACACAAGCAGGCTCCGAGGAGGGGTCTGACCCTTGTAGTGCCTGAGCCTCTGTTTCCTGCATTTACAAAGCCCTTCCATGGGTTTTCTCATTTCTCTCTTAAAGCCAGGGGCAACCCACAGCCACACTCATTCAGAATTTATGAACAAGCCAGGACCCTTTCATGGGGGGCCTGTCCCAGGTCACAGACCAGGTCTCTCTTTTGACCATGGACACAGAGGATCCAGGAAGGGGCTGTGCTGCCAGGCAGGTCCATGCGTCCTAAAGGCACAGAGGCCCCTCCAGACTGCCTCTCTCAGGAACTTGTCACACAGACGGAGCCAGGTGTAATGCCAGCCCCAGGGCCAAGCAGCAGCTTTGCAAATGTTGCAGCAGCCACACCACAGTAAGAAATTCTTTTTCTGCGCATCCAGGTGGCTCCAACCAGCACCGTCCTTTCCGTGTGGGGTGTGCCTGACCCCCTCCTTTCCCCCTCCCAGAAAGGTGAAGAAGCCGGCCCTGACCTCCCAAGTCCATTCCATGGCTTGCTGATGGGCTGGGTCACAGCTCTAAACCCCTCAACCTGGCCTGTCCTGGAGCAGGCGGCTTTGGTGAGCACAGCTGCTGAAGGGGCGGCAAATGCCGGACGTGCCTGTCCTGCTCACTGGGGTCGTGTCTTTGCCCAGCCTGGCCCAGGCACTGGGCGGGGAGAATGGGGCCTTGTGTCTCCAGCTCACAGCCGAGCTTTCAGAGCATGAGACTGGGTTCATTGTTCAGAACCGGGAAAACTAAAAACAGCATTGAGAGTGGAACTTGGGCCTTCTGGAAATGACAGCTGAGTAAAGACTCATTTATTCTGCTTTCCTTCTTGAAACTCACTGCAGTGAACAAAGAGAATGAAAAATAGGGAACAAGATTTAATCCACAATGGGCCTAAGGAATAGCCATGGCAAAGGAGGGTGTCGGCCAGACGGGAAGCAGTGACAGCCATATCAGGTCTCCAGCAGGCTGGGTTTTTGTTTAACAAGAATGGATTTTTGGAGATAGCATTGATGAGTATTTTAAAAGAATGGGGTTGTGTCTCGGGGAGCTGAGTATAGGCAGACATCTGGCAAGATGAGGCAGAAGGCCCACGTGCTTCACTTTTCTGTAAGATACAGACTTGTTTTTTTTTTTCTAATTTTTAGAGAAGGGGGTCTCACTTTGTTGCCCAGGCTAGAGCGCAGTGCCACAGTCATAGCTCACTGTAGCATCGACCTTCTGGGGTCAGCGATCCTCTCACCTTAGCCTTTCAAGTAGCTGGGACCACAGGCGTGTGCCACCACGCCCAGCTAATCATTGTATTTTTTGGTAGAGGTGAGGTTTTGCCATCTTGCCCAGCTGGTCTCGAACTCCTGAGCTCAAGCAGTCCTCCTACCTTGGTCTCCCAAAGTGCTGGGATTATAGGCGTGAGCCTCTGCCCCCATGATCCAGACTCGTAAGGGGTGAAATGGGGAATGAAAGGATGGGCTGAGGATTCCTCTTAGTTTTTCAACATCATACTGATCATTGTGTTCATATAAGGAAACTACCAGAGAACAGGAAGGATTAGAGGGAACAGTAAGGGAACACCTGGAAGGATTAGAGGGAACAGTAAGTACTCAGAGCTCTCAAAACACTAAGAAGAGTGCCTGTTGCCAGCAGGCTGACTGAGAAACCTCATAACTCACAGGGCATGTGGTAGCGTACCCAGTGGAGAACAGTTAGCCCTAGAATAAATGCTGCTCTGCTGCTGTGTGACAATCTCAGAAGCAAGAGTCAACATTTTCAGTTTCCAAGTATCTGGATCCAAAACAAAGCTCAAGAATAGTAACGGGCCAGGCACGGTGGCTCACACCTGTAATCCCAGCACTTGTGGAGGCCAAGGTGGGCGGATCACCTGAGGCCAGGAGTTCAAGACCAGCCTGGCCAACATGGTTAAACCCCATCTCTACTGAAAATACAAAAATTAGCTGGGCGTGGTGGCATGCACCTGTAATCCCAGCTACTTGGGAGGCTGAGGCAGGGGAATCACTTGAACCCGGGAGGCGGAGGTTGCAGTGAACCGGGATTGTGCCGTTGCACTCCAGCCTGGGTGGCAGAGCGAGACTCCGTCTCAAAAAAAAAAAAAAAATAGTAACAGGAACACAAAAAATATGCAGCTTTCCAAGAGGTAACATTCATAATGTCTGGCATCCAACCAAAGATTATCAGGTGTGGAAAGAAACAGGAAAATAGAACCCATACTGGAGTGAAAAATCCATCAAAACTGACATAGATGTTAGGGTTAGCAGACAGGTTATTAAAGTAATTATTATAACTGTATTCCATATGTTCAAAGAGCAACAGGAAAGACTGAACACATTAAGTAGAGACATGGAAGTATTTTAAAAGATCCAAATTAGAGTTGAAACGAAAATGTCCAAGTACAAAATATGCTGGATGGGATTAATGGTAGATCAGAGATTGCAGATGAAGATTAGTGAACTTAAAGATGAAGCAGTAGACACTCTCCAAACTGAAACAAGGAAAAGAAATACTTTAAAACAAACAAGAGCATCATTGAGCTGTAGGACAACTTTCAGAGGCCTAACAATTATGTGATTGGAGTCCCTAAGTGGGAAGGGAGGGACAGAAGAATTGTTTGAGGACATGATAGCTGAAAAGCTTCCCAGTTTGATGGAAACTATAAGCCTAGATCTGACCATCTTTCTTTTTTCTTTGTTGACCAATGGATTCATGTCACATGATCTGACCATCTTAAGGACCCCTGAGCACAAGAAATGAAGAAAATCACACAAGGCACATCATCATCGAGTTACTCAAAACCAGTTACAAAGAGATAAATCTCAAAAGCAGCCAGAAAAAAAAAAAGCAAGGCCTTTTGTGTATGAAGGAACAAAGACACAGATGACAGCAGATTTCTCATGAGAAACAATGCAAGTGCGAAGACAATGGTGTAGTGTGTTTAAGATGCTGAAAGGGAAAAAAAAAAAAACTGTCCACCAAGAATTCTATACCTAAATATCTTTTAAGTGAAGGTGACATAAAGATGTTTCCAAACACACAACAGCTGAACTAGTTCATTACCAGCAGACCTTCACTGAAAGAAATGTTACAGATGCTTTAGGCTGAAGGAAAACAAAACCATGTGGAAGTCTGGATCTATACAGAAAATTGAAGAGTACTGGAAATGGTAACTACATGGGTAAATACATGATATTTAAATCTCTCTAAAATGTAATTGTTTAAGAATAGTAACTGTGTAACAGAGAGGAATTTATAACATATACAGAAATAAAATATTTGACAAAAATGGCAAAAATAAAAGGCCAGGAGAGAAGAAAATGGTAAATGCATATATTTGAAGTGGTAGAATAGCCGTTGAAGGCAGAGTATGACAAAGTAAAGATGTATGTTATAAACCCAAAAGCATTTACTAAAATAGCAAAGCAACAAATTACAGCTGATAAGTGAACAGTGGAGATAAAGTTGACCCACATAAAATACTTAATCCAAAGAAGGCAGAAAAGAGGAAAAGAGAACAGATAGAACAGGTAACACACAGCAAGATGGTCAGATTGCATAAAAAATCAATACTCACATATATGTGGGCTAAAATAAACCTTTTTTTTTGAGACAGGATCTCACTCTGTTGCCCCGGCTGGAGTGCAGTGGTGCAGCCGTGGCTCACTTCACTCTATCCCCCTGGCTGGAGTGCAGCGGCGCAGCCGTGGCTCACCTCACTCTGTCGCCCTGGCTGGAGTGCAGCGGCGCAGCCGTGGCTCACCTCACTCTGTCGCCCTGGCTGGAGTGCAGCGGCGCAGCCGTGGCTCACCTCACTCTGTCGCCCTGGCTGGAGTGCAGCGGCGCAGCCGTGGCTCACCTCACTCTGTCGCCCTGGCTGGTGTGCAGCGGCGCAGCCGTGGCTCACCTCACTCTGTCGCCCTGGCTGGAGTGCAGCGGCGCAGCCGTGGCTCACCTCACTCTGTCGCCCTGGCTGGAGTGCAGCGGCGCAGCCGTGGCTCACCTCACTCTGTCGCCCTGGCTGGAGTGCAGCGGCGCAGCCGTGGCTCACCTCACTCTGTCGCCCTGGCTGGTGTGCAGCGGCGCAGCCGTGGCTCACCTCACTCTGTCGCCCTGGCTGGAGTGCAGCGGCGCAGCCGTGGCTCACCTCACTCTGTCGCCCTGGCTGGAGTGCAGCGGCGCAGCCGTGGCTCACCTCACTCTGTCGCCCTGGCTGGTGTGCAGCGGCGCAGCCGTGGCTCACCTCACTCTGTCGCCCTGGCTGGAGTGCAGCGGCGCAGCCGTGGCTCACCTCACTCTGTCGCCCTGGCTGGAGTGCAGCGGCGCAGCCGTGGCTCACTTCACTCTGTTGCCCTGTCTGGAGTGCAGTGGTGCAGCCGTGGCTCACTGCAACTTTGACCTCTTGGGTTCAAGGAATCCTCTGGCCTCATCCTCCTTTTTTTTTTTTTTTTTTACATGGAGTTTTGCTCTTGTCACCCAGGTTGGAGTACAATGGTGCAATCTCGGCCCACTGCAACCTCCACCTCCCAGATTCAGGCGATTCTCCTGCCTCGTCTTCCCGAGTAGCTGGGAATACAAGTGCACCCCACCATGTCTGGCTAATTTTTTTATAGAGACAGGGTCTCGCTATGTTGCCCAGGCTGGTCTTGAACTCCTGGCCTCAAGGGATCCTCCTGCTTCAGCCTCCCAAAGTGCTGGGATTGTAGACATGAGCTACTGTGCCTTGCCACCCTCTTTAAATTTAAATAAATAAATAGGTTATAAGTAAAAGAAGGATAAATGTTACACAATTCTAACTCTGATGTAAAGCAATCCGGAGTTACTGTAATATCAAATGTACTGATTTCAGAGCAAAGGAAACAACCAGGATAAAGATACTTCATGATAAAAGAGTTCATTCATCAAGAAGACACTGTAAATGTGTATGCACCTAATAACAGAGCTATAAAATACATGAAGCAAAAACTGATAGTGCAAAGAGAAGTAGACAAATCCACAGTTGTAGTTGGGACTCTCCTGACCTGTTTCTCAGTGATGGATAGAACAAGTAGAACAGAAATTAGTATCAGCACCATCAACCAGCCTGATCCGATTGGCTTTATACGCACTTCACCCGGCAGCACGTTCTTTTCCAGTGCACACGGGACATTTACCAGGATAGACCATTTTAGGGGACCATAAAAAGCATCAATAAACTTGAACAAATTCAAATCATATAAATTATGTTCTCTGAGAAAAACATAATTAGAAACCAATAAAAAATATCTGGAAGATGATTAGTTACTGAGTATATGTTCCATTAGTCAAAGAAGAAATCAAAAGAAAGGTTAGAAAGCTTTCTGAGGCTGGGCGTGATGGCTCACGCCTGTAATCCCAGCACTTTGGGAGGCAAAGGTGGGAGGATCCCTTGATCTCAGGAGTTTGAGACCAGCCTGGCTAACATGGTGAAACCCCATCTCTACTAAAAATACAAAAAAATTAGCCAGGTGTGGTGGCATATGCCTGTAATCCCAGCTACTGGGGAGGTTGAGGCAGGAGAATCGCTTGAACCTGGGAGGTGGAGGTTGCAGCAAGCCAAGATCCCACCACTGCACTCCAGCCTGGGTGACAGAGTGAGACTCCATCTCAAAACTCTTTGAACGGGATGAAAATGAAAATACAGCATATCAAAACTTGTCGGATATCATGAAAGCTGTACTCAGAGGGGTATTTTATAATACTAAATACCTAAAAAAAAATTTTTTTTTTTTGAGACGGAGTCTCTCACTGTCGCCCAGGCTGGAGTGCAGTGGCACGATCTCAGCTCACTGCAAGCTCTGCCTCCCAGGTTCACGCCATTCCCCTGCCTCAGCCTTTCGAGTTGCTGGGACTACAGGCGCCCGCCACCACGCCTGGCTAACTTTTTTGTATTTTTAGTAGAGATGGGGTTTCACAGTATTGGCCAGGATGGTCTCAATTTCCTGATCTCGTGATCCACCCACCTCGGCCTCCCAAAGTGCTGGGATTACAGGCGTGGGCCACCACGCCCGGCCCTAAATTTTTTTTTTAAATGTACAAATCACTGAACTCTGCTTCTAGCTTAGGAAATTAGAAAAAGGAAAGCAAATTAAGTCTAAAGGATGCAAAAGAAAGGAAACAAACATCAAAGTGGAAATTAATGAAAACAGAAAAATAGAAAAAAAACGATTAAGCTGTCTTTTTGAGGCAGTCAGTAAAATCGATAAGCTTCTAGCCAGAAAAGTGAAAAAAGCAAGACATTTTTATATCAATGTCAAAAATGAAAGATGTGGCATAGCTACAGAGTCTGTTGCTCTTAAGAAGATATAAAGGAATAGTATGGTATAATAACTTATGCCAACAAATGTGATTAATTTTATATGAAATGGGCAAGTTCCTTGAAAGACAAACCATTCATACTCACGTAAGAAGAAATTTTTAGAGCCTGCTCAGCTCTGTATCTATTAAATAGATTCAATGTGTAATTGAAAACCTTCCCACAAAGAAACTACATGCCCATCTGGCTTCACTGGAATCTCTGCCACACATTTAAGGAAGAAATAATAGCAATTCTATATAAACTCGCCCAGGAATTTGAGAGGAGGGAATACTTCTCATTTTGTTATGCTGGTATTACTCTGATAGCAAAACCAAAGATGTTACAAGAAGAAAATAGATGCAAAAATGAATATGAATATGGATGTAAAAATTCTTAACAAAATTTTAGCCAATCCCATTTGAGAATATATAAAAAGGACAATATGGCCAGGCGCGGTGGCTCACGCCTGTAATCCCAACAACTTTGGGAGGCTGAGGCGGTGGATCATGAGGCCAGGAATTCAAGACCAGCCTGGCCAACATAATGAAACCCCGTCTCTACCAAATATACAAAAAAATTAGCTGGGCATAGTGGTGGGTGCCTATAATCCCACCTACTTGGGAGGCTGAGGCAGGAGAATCGCTTGAACCTGGGAGGTGGAGGTTGCAGTCAGCCGAGATCATGCCACTGCCCTCCAGCCTGGGCAACAGACTGAGACTCCGTCTCAAAAAAAAAAAAAAAAAAAAAAGGACAATACATCGTGACCAATTGGCATTTATACAAGGAATACGTAATTGGTTTAAGAATAGAAGATTAATTGATGGAATCCAGCTATTACCAAACTAAAGAGAAACCATGTGATCATTTCAATAGATACAGTAAAAGTATTTTACAAAATCCAACATCCATTCCTAATTTAAAAAATAACTTGACAAACTAAAAATACAAAAGGCATTCATGAAAAAGTTACAGTCAACATCATACTTAATGGTAAAAGACTGGATGCTTTCCCTGAGATTAGGAGGAAGGCACATATGTTCACTCTTACTAATTGTGTTCAGTAATAATACTGCAGGTTCTTCCCAGTGCAATTATGCAAGAAAAATAAAGGATCTAGTTTGGAAAGGAAGAAGTAAAACTTTTTATTCACTGTTGACATGATCATCTCTGCAGAAAACATAATAAATCTGTGAAAAACAATTAGAACTAATAAGTGAGTTTATCAAGGTTACAAGATCAAATTGTAAAAACAAATAACATTTTTTTCTGTATTAGCAACAAAAAATTGGAAATTATATTTTGTTAGTATTATAAATATGAAATGCTTAGGGTGACTTAACTAATATGTGCAAGATTTGTACACTAAAAACTACAAAATGTTGCTGAAAGTAGACCCAACTAGAGAGAGATGTTTTGCTCCCAGATCAGATTTAATGTAGGTGAGATGTTGATTTTCCTCTTACTCATCGATAGATTCAACACAACTGCAATCAAAATCCCAGCAGGCTATTTTGTAGAAATCGAGAAGCTGATCCTGAAATTCATATAGAAATGCAAAGGACCTGGAATAATTAAAACAACTTCAACAATGAAAAGCAGAGTTTGGGGACTCGCAGTGCCTGATTGCAGACCCGGTGCATTTGGACTCACTGTGGCGTGGGGTCCCAGATGGGAGGAAGCTTCCTGAGAGGTGACGCCTGAGTTGAGTCTAAGAGGACAAGGAGGTCAGTGAGCATGTTGGAACCCATGATGGAAGGATGGACTGAGGATGGAAAGCAGGTGCATAGGGGAAGGAGTTGGTCAAGGTGGCTCTCAGGCTGTGGTGGATGCTTTTTAGCTTTTTAGAACTTCACTGATACTGCTGTTTTACTTTTCAAAAAGATTGAAGCTGTACGAGCAGGTCACCTGTTTCCTCTCAAACAAGAAATTAAAAATATTTGAGTTTCATTTCTTCTTCTTTTTCCTTTTTTTTTTTTTTTTTTTTTTTTTGAGACAGAGTCTTGCTCTGTCGCCCAGGCTGGAGTACAGTGGCACGATCCCGGCTCACTGCAACCTCAGCCTCCCAGGTTCAGGTGATTCTCCTGCCTCAGCCTCCTGCGTAGCTGGGATTTCGGGCACATGCTGCCACGCCTGGCTAATTTTTGTACTTTTAGTAGAGATGGGGTTTCGCTGTGTTGGCTAGGCTGGTCTTGAACCCCCGACCTCAAATGATCCACCCGCCTCGGCCTCCCAAAGTGCTGGGATTATAGGCATGAGCCACCGCGCCCGGCCTGAGTTTCATTTTTAAAAATAGCATTCGTAGCAGTCCCAAGCATTAAAATAAATACTTGTGTGGAGATTTGAGTGGCGGAAAGCGCGTTTCCTCTAAGGAGGTGGTTACCCCGCTTGTGAGCGGCGTGAGTGTAGGTAGGATTTGTGGCCCCACAATCTGTCTGGGACTTGGAGAAAGTTTCCAATTGGCCTGCAGTGTCCCTTCCCGTCACCTGCTGTGCTCTCTTCTGGGGCTTGAGTCTTTTTTATTTCCCCTTGAATTAGCACAGCTAGTATCTATGGAATGGCCTCTCCTGGGGGGCGGGGTGGGGGCTGTACTGATACCAGCTGGGGCATCCGGGAGCAAGAAGACAGGTGCCCACCACAGCAGTGCCCACCACGGTTCGGCAGACTGTTGGAGTGTAGCGGCACATGTGAGGCCCTGTGGCTTCTATAAGCCAGTGCTACAGGCGAAGTGGCACCAAGGCTAGGAGCAGCCATACAGCCGTGGGTCCCTCCCCGTCACCACCCGGGCCGGAGGCCATGGGTTCTGATTTCTAACAGCAGAGGCTGCTTTTGCCTGACCTTGAACCTCAGGAAAGGCAACTGTACTCTGTGCATTCAGTTGTGTCTGGCTTTTTTTTTTTTTTTTTTTTTTTTGAGACAATGTCTCGCTCTGTCGCCCAGGCTGGAGCGCAGTGGCGGGATCCTCCCTCCTCTTCCTCACGTGTAGCTGGGACCATAGCCACGCTCCACCACACTCGGCTGATTTCCTTACTTATTGGTAGGAGTTTTTAATATGTCTGATGTGGCCCTTTGTCAGATTACACACACACATTACACATGTTCTCTGTAGCAAATATCTCCCACTTAGGATGTGGGTTTTTTTTTTTTTTTTGCTTAATAGTTTCTTGATAAACAGATGTTCTTAATTTTACTATAGTCCAATTTGTTAATTTTTCTTTTGTGCATTGTTTTTTGTGTGTGTCCAATTAAGATATTTGTGCCTACTGTAAGGCCACAAGGATTTTCTCCTACATTTCTTTCCAAAAGCCTTATTATTTTACTTTTAACATTTAGACCTACAGTGCATCTAGAACTAAGTTTTACGTACGAGATTGGATGAGGTAGAGGTCAAGGTTCATTTTTTTCACACTTGACCCTTGAACAACTTAGGGTTTAGGGGCACTGACCCCCACCAGGTGGTCAAAAACCCATGTCTTACTTTCCTCCTCCTCCTCCGCAGTCACCTCCTCCACCGTCACCTCCTCCTCCTCCTCCTCCTTCTCCTCCTCCTTCTCTTAACTACAAACAGCCTGCTGTTGATGGGAAGCCTTCGGATAACAACAGTCAATTCACGTGCATTTTGTATGCTATTGTAATATCTACTATACTCTTCCTATAAAGTCAGAATAGAAAATGGTAGTAAGAAAATAATAAGGAAGAGAACACATATTTACTGTCATTACGTGGAAGTGGATCATCCTAAAGATCTTCATCCTCGTCGTGTTCACATTGAGTAGGCCGAGGAGAAGGAAGAGGAAGGGGGTTGGTTGTGCTGTCTCAGGGGAGGCAGAGGAGGAAGAAAATCCATGTATATGTGGCCCTCCTGGCTCAGACCCGTGTTTTTCAAGGATGGACTGTACACCTGGTGAACACAGCATTGTTGTTGGAAGTCAGGTGGTCCGTGTGAACATGGATTGCTCCTGAGCGCCCTTGTGCTACACGTGTGGCCCCGTGTCCTTCCCCAGTGACTGCCGGCGAGTGTCGCCTGTGTGGACAGCTGGGGACACTGAGTCTCAGATGTGGGGCTGAGAGTGAGGGCGGAGCAGGTCCTGTGTCCTCCTGTTCGCCCTCCTCCCAGTCCTCCAGTCCTACGGTCCCACGGTCCCCCCATGCTTGGCTTGTGCCTGCCCCGGCCCATCGTGGAGTGGGGCTGGTGTCTCAGACTGGCATGGGGGGGATCCTGGCTGGTGGGCACAGCCTCCCTGCTGCGTGTGGGGCTGGCCAGGCTTCGCTGCAACGCAGGGCCAGGCATCAGGAGCACTGAGGAGTGGGGTTGGCTGCCCGGGGGCGGCTCACGGGTGCCGTGGAGTCCATCGTCATCCTGCCCAGCCAGTCTGCGGCGGTGGGCTGGGCCGGGTGATTGGTGTGGTGAGGCGTCTTCCATATCAGCACTGTTGCTTCTCCCCTCTTGCAGTGCGGCACCTTCCCGTCTGATGCTGGCGTTGTGCGTATGGTGCCCTGACGTCTGTCCACGTGGGCGCGGAAGCAAACAGCGATGTCCCAGACGCAGGACTACGAGTGCAGGAGCCATAATGTCGACCTGCCGGAGTCGAGGATTCCAGGGTCGAACACTCGGTAAGGAGCCGACCGACCTGCGGAGCTGCCCGGGCCTCACGAGTGGGTGGAACTGCTTTCTTCCTGCAGAGAAAGCAGTGTGCATGCAGGATTCTCCGTGGAGAATGGATTCGTCGCTGGCTGTTCCCAAGGCCTGGATGGCCGATGCCACCTGTGCACAGTGCAGCCCTCAGGGCCGTGGCCTGCGTTCCTGCAGATGCGGGTCGCCATGATTCGTCGTTTTTCTCTTTCTAATTTTTGATTTTCTAATTTATTCATTGATTTATTTCTTGAGGAGACAGGGTCTCACTCGGTTGTCCAGGCTGCAGTGCAGTGGCTCCATCATAGCTCACTGCAGCCTTGAACTCCTAGGCTAAAGCAGTCCTCCCACCTCACCTCCCAAGTAGCTGGGACTGCAGGTGTGCACCACCACGTCTAGCTGATTTTTCTAATTTTTTGTAAAGATGAGGTCTGTTGCTTGGGCTGGTCTCAAACTCCTGGGCTCAAGCGATCCTTTTGGGAGGCCGAGGCCTCCCAAAGTGCCAGGATCACAGACGTGAGCCACTGCTCTGCCCTGATTTCTAGGCTTTTATTTGGAAATAATTTCATGCTTCCAGAAAAGTTACAAGAATAAGAACAGCCCCATGAGTGCTCGAGTGCCCTTGCCCAGAGACCCTGTGGCTAGCATTGCTCCCGTCGCCTCTGAATGCTTTTGGGGGTGGCGGTGTGAGAGCGTGAGCTCCCTCAGGACGTCTTCCAGGTAGCCCAGGACGCTTGTTACCACAAGTAAATCTGGCCCTGTCCCGTCTCAGCCAGTGTCCCATGCCTCCAGGTCAGCTCTGCCCCTGACTGCCTCTCTCTCCTTGGCCTTTTTTAATCTGGAAGAATTCCACAGCTTTTCTCTGCCTGTTGTCACATTGATATTTTTAAGGTAATAGTCACCCTATTTAAAACAGATCATCCCAGCCTGGGCAACCTAGCGAGACCCCATCTCTACAAAAAATACAAAAATTAGCCAGATGTGGTGGCAGATGCCTATGGTCTCAGCTACTCGGGAGGCTGAGGTGAGGAGATCCCTTGAGCCCAAGAGGTTTAGGCTGCAGTGAGCTGAGATCACACCACTGCACTCTGGCCTGAGCGACTGCGTGAGACCCCCGTGTCACAGTAAATAAAGTAAAATAGAGAGTTCCTTGGTTTGGGTTTGTCTGACAGTTTTTCAGGAGAATGCCATACAGGTGGTGTTGGGTCCTCCCGGGCCCCGCATCTGCAGACACTGCTGTCCATCTGCCCCTCACCTGGCAACATGACCTCTGACCCCGACAGAGGCCTCGCCCGCACCCCCCGAGGTGCAGCTGCTGCCTCCCGGCCACCTCTGGGCGCTCTGGGCCCGGCTCCGTGTCTGATGCTTTGTGCCTCCCTGTGTGGTTGGTCTTTCTGGGACTCTGTGCACCTTCCACAGTTGCGATCCGCACTCTGCCTTGACCTGAGCAGGAGTCCTGCTGTCTCCTTGTTCATTCGTTTGTTCGTTCTTCATTCGTTTGTTCGCTGATGTGGGCTGTGAGCTCCGTTGGGTTTTTTCGGGGTTGATATTGCGCTTGCTCTTCACTGGCTTGGTGCATAAGCGCCCAGATAGGCCCCTAAGCGTCTCGCTGGATCCTGTGTCCCTGATGTCCTCATTCCTGCAAGTGCTAGCTTCCTCCTGGCACAGCTGCCCTGCTCAGCCTTGGAATCAGCTGTTTGTCTAGGGAGTGCTGGTTCCTTTTAGGGAATACTGGTCTTACAGAACAAGGTCTGGGTTCTTAGAACATTCAGTGCTACTGCAGTGTATTTGCTTTTTGCTTTTTGGCCTCTTTTTTTTTTTTTTTTTTGATGGAGTCTCGCTTTGTCGCCCAGGCTGGAGTGCAGTGGCGTGATCTCAGCTCAATGCAAGCTCCGCCTCCCGGGTTGAAGCATTTCTTCTGCCTCAGCCTCCTGAGTAGCTGGGATTACAGGTGCGCACCACCACGCCCGGCTAATTTTTTGTATTTTTACTAGAGATGGGGTTTCACCATGTTGGTCAGGCTGGTCTTGAACTCCTGACCTCGTGATCTGCCCGCCTCGGCCTCCCAAAGTGCTGGGATGACAGATGTGTGCTTTTTGGCCTGAGCACACAAAACTAGAAAATTATGCAGGAGTATGCACATGTACACACACAGGTTCACGAGCGTGCACACATGCCTCCACACATGCAGGTACATGCACACGCACACACACAGATACACGAGCACGCACACACACCTCCACGCACATGCACACAGGTACACGAGCACACACGCACGCCTCCAGGCACACACACAGGTACATGAGCACACACACGCCTCCACGCACACACACAGGTACATGAGCTCGCACACACACCTCCACGCACATGCACACAGGTACACCAGCACACACACGCCTCCACGCACACAGATACATGAGCTCGCGCACACACCTCCACGCACGCACACAGGTACACGAGCTCACACACACGCCTCCACGCACGCACACAGATACATGAGCTCGCACACACACCTCCACGCACATGCACACAGGTACACGAGCTCGCACGCACGCCTCCATGCACACACACAGGTACACGAGCACACACACGCCTCCACGCACACACACACAGGTACATGAGCTCTCACACACACCACACACATGCACACAGGTACACGAGCTCACACGCACGCCTCCATGCACACAGGTACACGAGCACACACGCCTCCATGCACATGCACACACACGCCTCCATGCACATACACACAGGTACACGAGCTCACACACACGCCTCCATGCACACACACAGGTACACGAGCGCACACAACTCCACGCACATGCACACAGGTACACGAGCTCGCACGCACGCCTCCATGCACACAGGTACACGAGCACACACACGCCTCCACGCACACACAGGTACATGAGCTCGCACACACACCTCCACACACATGCACACAGGTACACGAGCTCGCACGCACGCCTCCATGCACACACAGGTACACGAGCACACATGCACGCCTCCATGTACACAGATACATGAGCTCGCGCACACACCACGCACATGCACAGGTACACGAGCTCGCACGCACAACTCCATGCACACACACAGGTACACAAGCACACACACGCCTCCACGCACACACACAGGTACATGAGCTCGCACACACACCTCCATGCACATGCATACAGGTACACGAGCTCGCACGCACGCCTCCATGCACACACACAGGTACACGAGCACACACGCCTCCACGCACACACACAGGTACATGAGCTCACACACACACCTCCACGCACATGCACACAGGTACACGAGCTCGCACGCACGCCTCCATGCACACACAGGTACACGAGCACACACGCCTCCACGCACACACACACAGGTACATGAGCTCGCACACACACCTCCATGCACATGCACACAGGTACACGAGCACACACGCCTCCACACACAGGTACATGAGCACGCACGCATGCCTCCACGCACACACACAGGTTCACGAGCACACACACGCCTCCATGCACACACACAGGTACATGAGCTCGCACACGCACCTCCACGCACATGAACACAGGTACACGAGCTCGCACGCACGCCTCCATGCACACACACAGGTACACGAGCACATGCACGCCTCCATGGACACACACAGGTACGTGAGCTCGCACACACACCTCTACGCACATGCACACAGGTACACGAGCACACACGCCTCCACACACACACACAGGTACATTAGCACACACGCATGCCTCCACGCACACACACAGGTTCACGAGCACACACGCCTCCACGCACACACACAGGTACATGAGCTCACACACACACCACACACATGCACACAGGTACATGAGCTCGCACGCACGCATCCATGCACACACAGGTACACGAGCACACATGCACGCCTCCATGCACACACAGATACATGAGCTCGCACACACACCTCCACGCACATGCACACAGGTACACGAGCTCGCACGCACGCCTCCATGCACACACACAGGTACATGAGCACACACATGCCTCCACGCACACACACACAGGTACATGAGCTCGCACACACACCTCCACGCACATGCACACAGGTACACGAGCTCGCACGCACGCACGCCTCCATGCACGCAGGTAGACGAGCACACACGCCTCAACGCACACACAGGTACATGAGCTCGCACACGCACACAGGTACACGAGCACACACACGCCTCCACACACACACACAGGTACATGAGCACGCACGCATGCCTCCATGCACACACACAGGTTCACGAGCACACACGCCTCCATGCACACAGGTACATGAGCTTGCACACGCACCTCCACGCACATGCACACAGGTACACGAGCTTGCACGCACGCCTCCATGCACACACACAGGTACACGAGCACACATGCACGCCTCCATGCACACACAGGTACATGAGGTCACACACACCTCCACGCACATGCACACAGGTACACGAGCTCGCACGCACGCCTCCATGTGCACACACAGGTACACGAGCACACGCCTCCACGCACACACACAGGTACATGAGCTCGCACACACACCTCCACGCACATGCACACAGGTATACGAGCACACACATGCCTCCACACACACACAGGTACATGAGCTTGCACACACCACGCACACGCACAGGTACACGAGCACGCACGCACGCTTCCATGCACACACACAGGTACACGAGCACACACACGCCTCCACGCACACACACGCGCAGGTAGGTAGATGAGCTCACGCGCATGCCTCCATGCACACGCAGGTAGGTACACAAGTGCGCACGCACGCCTTGAACACGCACACTCAGGTACACAAGTGCACACGCACGTCTCCACGCACACGCACACGCAGGTACACAAGTGTGCACGCACACCTCCATGCACACGCAGGTAGGTACCCAAGTGCGCACGCACGCCTCCACGAACACGCACACTCAGGTATACAAGTGCACATGCACGCCTCCACGCACACGCACACTCAGGTACACAAGTGCACACGCACGCCTCCACGCACACGCAGGTAGGTACCCAAGTGTGCACACACGCCTCGATGCACACGCAGGTAGGTACCCAAGTGCACATGCACGCCTCCACGAACACGCACACTCAGGTACACAAGTGCACACACACGCCTCCACACACGCAGGTAGGTACCCAAGTGTGCACGCATGCCTCCACGCACATGCACACTCAGGTACACAAGTGCACACGCACGCCTCCATGCACACGCACACGCAGGTGGGTACAGGAGCACACAGACACCCCCACGCACACGCACACGCAGGTAGGTACACGAGCTTGCACACATGCCCCCCACACACACGCACACGCAGGTAGGTACACAAGTGCGCACACACGCCTCCACGCACACACACAGGTAGGTACATGAGCTCGCACACTCGTCTCTACGCACACATAGGTACACAAGTGCGCACACATGCCTCCATGCACACGCACACAGGTACATGAACATGCATGCATGCCTCCACGCGCACAAACGCCTCCTAGAAATGCTGAGCACACACGGTGCCCCAGTCCCGTCCCTCCCACAGAGAGTTGCTCTGTGGTCCCCTCTTCCATCACATCTCTTCTTCCCTGGCTCCCAAGAACACCAGTGTGTTTACTCACTTGCTCATCTGATAATTCATCTAAAATTGGTTCAGAATTGCTTCACCCATTCCACTACAAAAATATATGCACTAAAAAAAGCCAGGGTTCATTTGCATTCCCTCATGTGCACGTGTCTCCCAGGAATGCGACACTGGCTCATCCTGTGTTCCTAAGTTGTTTGGATTAGCTCTTTCTCTTTTCTTCATTATGGTTCTGGCATCCGTTGGTTCATTACTTTCAGTTAGAGATTTTTTTGTCCCCCTTTTTATTCTTCCTGATATAATTTTGTCTTTTAAACATATAGACCATTCGCACGTTCCCAAAGCCCCAACCGTACACAGGCACATTCAGCCAGGCCTCTTCCCCGTGCCCTTTCTGCACCTGCCTACCTGCTGCAGGCAGAAACTCTCTTGTTTTCTGTTTATCTCCTGGGTTTCTATTGTGAAGAATAAACAGATGTTAGTATGTTTTCTTATTTCCCCTTCATTCTTACACTAATGGTATCATGATTTATGTGTTCTTTGCACAATTTGCTTTTTCCACTTAAAACATCCCCTAGACATCACTGCCTCCCAGACCATCGAGATTGTCGTCCTTTTTCAAAGCTTCCTGGGCCTCTATTGTGTGTGTGCCTCAGTCTTGTGTTGGCCATATGGGTAATTTCGCATATTCTGCAATTACAAGGACTGCTGCAGTCTGCTTGTATAATTCTGGGTTTTGGGAGGTGCATCTGCAGGTGAATTTCTGACGAGGGACTGCTAGGTCCAAGGATGCCTTTGGATGTGCTGTCCTTGGGGCTTCTGTGAGCAGCACCAACCCCGGGCCATCGGGGCCGTCAACAGCTGCCTGCTGTCAGATGTGTGGGCAGGTGCCTGGGGTCTCCATGCAGCCTGGGCTTTGGGGCTCTGATGATCACTGAAGTAGTTACCCTCCGTGTATTACTGTTCACTTTGTGAATTGCATGCTCTTATCTTTTGCTCTTTTTCTATAGTATTTTTTATCTTTTCATGCTCAAATTTATATATTAAAGACATGAGCTCTTATTGTAAATGTTCCACTAAATGTGTCTGAAAAGCCAAAATCTGTTTTATTTGTAGTGGCTTTTGCATGTGAAAGGTTTTGAATCTTTGTGTAGTCAGGTTGGCCATCCTTTCTTCAGTGCCTCTGTGTTTTAGTCACCTCCATCCAGGTGACTGGAGAAAGAGCACGTGGCACCTGCTCATGGGCTGACATACTTTTGTTTTTGCCTTTGGGTCTCAGATCCGCCTTGGTTCTTGTGTGTGGTGTGAGGTGTGATCTGACCTGTTTGTTTTCCACATGCATCCGGCTGTCCCCGTGCCATTTGTTAGAGGCTGAGGCTGCCTGTGCTCTGTGAGGGGCACTGTGCCTTCTCTCATGCCCCGGGCTCTGTAAGGAGCTGGGGCTGCTTCTGCCCGTCTGTCTGGTCCTGCTGGCCTCCTGTCCTGTGCCCAGCCACACCTGACTCATCGAGAGTCTCTTCTGCTCCTTCCCAGCCTCCCTGGGGCTCATGTGTCCTCATGTGGCACCTTGGTATCCCTCCACTGACACCCACAGCTGAGTTCCGAGTTTCCCCTTTACACACAACGTGGAAAAGCCCACGGCTGGGTTCCGAGTTTCCCCTTTACACGCAACGTGGAAAGGCCCACGGCTGGGTTCCGAGTTTCCCCTTTACACTCAACGCGGAAAGGCCCACGGCTGGGTTCCGAATTTCCCCTTTACACGCAATGCGGAAAGGGCCCCGCAGGTGTCCAGCCTTCGAGGCCATGCCGGGCGCCCTCTGGACTTCCCCGGGCTGCTCCTTCCCCACCACGGAGCTCCTACTCTGGCCGGACTCTCCTTCCCTGCTGGCGGGTGGGTCTGCGTGGCTTCCTACCTGGTGGGTTTGAGCATCTCCGTGTGTTCTTAGCCCTCAGGTTTCCACCTCTGGGAATCTCCTCCGGCCTTTTCTTCCATTTAATCATCTTTTTTAGCCTTTGTGGTGTGGACGCATCCCTGTCTGTTCCGGGTACCGTTGCATGTTGACTGAGCCTGGATTATGGTCTCCATCTGTGCTCACGCCTTTGTGTCAGTGCTGGTGGCTTTTGATGAGCCAACGTGTTGAGCTCCAGCGTTCTCTGTCCACCTGCCTTTTCTCTTCCTGTCTTACTCAGGAAGCCCTTTCCTAACTGAGCTCCTGAAATTCTTCACGTATTTTCTTCTAAAAGTCTTAAAGTTTTGCCTTTCCCATTTGATCAGACTTTTTCATATCAACCCAAGTCAGCAATCCCGGCCCCATTGATTACAGTCTTGACCCCCTGATCCTGGGTTCCCCCCGCCCCCTGCCCCCATCCTCAAGGGCGTCGCGTAGATCTGCAAGGGGCAGCGAGGGGCTCTCTGTCCACGCCTCAGTGTGCTGGGGTTCCAGCCTGGGCACGTGGCTTCCTTGGCTTCCTGGCAGCTCGCTGTCTGTGTCCTGTGTTCCTCCCCAGCTGCAGTCCTTTGATTCAAAGATGCCTCCGCCCTCCCTCCACGTGCTCTTCTAGATGGAGACAGGACCAGTCGGCCCCACCCAGAGAAGACGTTGGGCTTTGGACTGGAGGCGTAGGGCGGTGTGGCTGCTGGTGCAGAGTGTCCTGGGATTTGATGAGGTGGTTGCTGCATCGGGTGGAGCTGCCTCCCCACGTCCTCACAGAGCAAACGCATCTCCTGCTGGCTTCACCTTGCTGTTGTGAGCCCTCGTTACAGCCCTAAGGCTGTTAGGGTTCTGGTCGCCCTCCTCCCAGGCTCCACAGGCAGTCAGCCAGGTCCCTCCTCTGTCTCCTTGGGCACAGATTAACCAGGGATGTCAAGGCCCAGAGGGAGTTCCCGCAGCTCCTCCCTCACCACGTCTGGTGTGAGAAGCCATGGCCTCTGCTGTTGGGACTCCATCTCATGGCGTTAGACCTGCCTTGCCCTTCTGGTGGTCTCAGGAGAGCACGATGTGCCTGGACACACGCCCTGGGCCTGGAGGGAGAGTTGGGAAGGTGGGGCTGGCCGGCAGAGCCTGCGCCCTCCGGTGCTTAGGGGTGTGGTACCCTTGCGGGTCTGGAGGACGATCTATCATGGTGGCCGCTCCTGCAGCACGTGCCAGGTCCTGCGGCACCAGTGGGTCCTCTGTCTGTGTGCTGTTTCTTATCTTCGCCGAGGACCCCGGCAGTGCGCGCCACCCGGGGCCTGCAGCACTGGATGCTTACCTGGTAAAGAGCAGCGCCTGGCTGTGTGCAGGAGGCCCAAGAGGCCACTCCTCCCCCACGTGCTCACCGTTGCAGGGCTTCCTCTGCCCCCGCGCAGCACCCCCTCCATGCAGCCCTCATGGCCAGTCTGGATTCACCCCACGAGTGAATGTCCTTCAATGCTAGGCCTTGATTTAGGAGACCAGGAGGGAGTGGAAGGGCTTAACTTTTGAGTCACTTGTCAGGAACAAAGTCTTGAGGCCAGACAGGAGCAGTGGTGGAGCACTGAGCGGTGATGGACAGCGCCGGGGTGGCGAGGCCTCAGCCGTCCCCTCTGCCCACTGAGGGGTGGTGGACAGCGCCGGGGTGGCAAGGCCTCAGCTGTCCCCTCTGCCCACTGAGGGGTGGTGGAGAGTGCCGGGGTGGCGAGGCCTCAGCCGTCCCCCTCTGCCCACTGAGGGGTGGTGGAGAGTGCCGGGGTGGCGAGGCCTTAGCCATCCCCTCTGCCCACTGAGGGGTGGTGGACAGCGCCGGGGTGGCCAGGCCTCAGCCGTCCCCTCTGCTGCCAGGGCCCGTTGGGTTCCGGTCATGTGGGTTTGCTGCGGGGCCTCTGTCTCCTTTGTGTGTCATGTGCAGTTGTGAGCAGCCTGTTGGGTGAGGAGGGGATTTGGTGTCTGCTGCTTGGTCTGGGTGTCCTCTGCGGGTATCTGTGGTGATTGGTGTGGGGCTGGCCACACCTGCCGCCTGGCAGAACTATAAGGATAGAAAGAGGAGCAGCGTGGCAAAGAGGACAACATCTGGGAACAAAGAGCAGATCAGGGAGGGGTGATGGGAAGATGGCGGCGCGGCGGGAGGGACACTGGCGCCCCTGGCAGAGGCTGTACAGCCAGGAGCTGTGCTGGGGGCTGCATGCCTTGGGGAGTGGTCCCACTGGACCCACCAAGAGGGTCTGCTCGGGGCCAGCTGTGGCGGCTGGAGCTCAGCATTGCCATGGCCATCGTGGACCCTGGTGGCCCCGTTCAGCCTCTGCACCCTCCACATGTTCCCAGATACCTGCCTGCCTCTTGGGACCTCTTGGCTGAGGGCAGCCCGATGGGGCCTTCCCAGCGAGAGCCCAGCCCAGCTGCCCCTCACCTGCCAGACTCCCTTTTTTTTATATAATTCACATGCCACAAAGCTCACCCTGTAAGGTGCACAATCCAGTGGCTCTTAGAACAGTCAGAGTTGTGCAGCTGCTGCCACCATCCACCTCCCACAGAGAAGCCCCACTCCCAGCAGCAGCCTCTCCCCAGCCTCGGGCACGGCGGGCCGGCTTTGTGTCCTGTGGGATTCACCTGCTCCAGACGATTGAAGTACGTGGAATCATACGAGTGGTCCTTCGCTCACGTCGACATGCCCCAGGTCCATCCACACCATAGCTTGGGTCTGGGCTGCATCCCTGTTACTGCTGAACAATATTCCCGTGTAGGGATGGGCCACATTTTGCTTCTTCATGCATCAGTTGAAGGACGTTTGCTCTGTTGCCACTTTTTGGCTATTATGAATCATGCTGCCATGAACATTTGTGTGCAGATTTCTGTGTGAAGACGTTTTCGTTTCTCTTGGGTGTGTATACCTAGTTGTGGAATTGCTGGGTCAGGTGGTAACTCTGTGGGGTTTTATTATTTTTGAGAAAGGTTGGTACTTGTCAGGCTGGAGTGCGAAGGTGCAATCACAGCTCACTGCAACCTGCAACTCCCAGGCTGAAGCGATCCTCCCACTTCGGCCTCCCAAAGTGCCGAGATTACAGCCACCACACCCAGCCTGTTTAACTTTCTTTTTCAGACAGAGCCTCACTCTGTCACATAGATTGGAGTGCAGTGGCACCATCTTGGCTCACTGCAACCTCTGCTTCCCGGATCCAAGTGATTCTCATGCCTCAGCCTCCCAAGTAGCAGGGACTACACATGTTTGCCACCACCACACCTGGCTAATTTTTGTATATTATATTTAACCTTTTTTTTTTTTTTTTGAGGTGGCGTTTCGCTTTTGTTGCCCAGGCTGGAGTGCAGTGGCACAATCTCAGCTCACCGCAACATCCGCCTCCCGGGTTCGAGCGATTCTCCTTCCTCAGCCTCCCGAGTAGCTAGGATTACAGGCGCCCACCATCATACCTGACTAATTTTGTATTTTTAGTAGAGACGGGGTTTCACCATGTTGGTGAGGCTGGTCTCGAACTCCTGACCTCAGGTGATCTGCCCACCTCGGCCTCCCAAAGTGCTGGGATTACAGGCATGAGCCACTGCGCCTGGCCGGTATGTTTGATTTTTTGAGGAACCACCAAACTCTTCCACAGTGGCCACACCAGTTAATGTTCCCACTTCCCACCAGCAGTGTATAAAGGTTCCAGTTTCTCCACATCCTTAGCAACACTTATTATGGCTTTTACCTCCAGTGGGTTTGAGATGGTGTCTCTTGTGGTTTTGATTTTTTGATTTGCATTTCTCCTATGGCTAATGATCACGAGCGTCTTTTAATGTAGATTGGCCATCTGCATATCTTCTTTGGAGATGTGTCTGTCCAGATATTTTGCCCATCTTTAAACTGGGGTATTTATCTTTTTTTTTTTTTTTTTTTTGAGACGGAGTCTCACTTTGTCGCCCACGCTGGAGTGCAGTGCTGTGATCTCGGCTCATTGCAACCTCTGCCTCCCGGGTTCAAGCAATTCTCCTGCCTCAGCCTGCCGAGTAGCTGGGACTACGGGCATGAGCCACCACACTCAGCTAATTTTTATATTTTTAGTAGAGATGGGGTTTCACCATGTTGGCCAAACTGGTCTTGAACTCCTGACTTAGGTGATCCACCTGCCTTGGCCTCTCAAAGTGCTGAGATTCCAGGCGTTAGCCACGGCACCCAGCCTGTCTTTTTTTTCTTTTCGAGACAGGATCTCACTCTGTTGCGCAGACGGGAGTGCAGTAGATCAGGGCTCACTGCAGTCTCCACCTCCCAGCCTCCTACCCTGTTGTTACTGAATTAGGAGAGTCCTTTGTGAACCTCATCAGATGGATGATTTGCAGGTGTTTTCTCCCATCCTGTGGCTGTGTTTTCACTCTCTCGGGTGGCCACAAAAGTTTTAATTTTGATGAAGTCTGTTTTTCCATTGTTTGTCTTATTGCATGTGCTTTTGGTGTCATAGCTCAGAATCCATTGCCAAATCCGAGGTCATGCAGAGCCGCCCCGTCTATTCTAAGAGTTTTGTCAGTTTAGCTCTTACATTGAGACCTTTCGTCTACTTTGGATTAATGTTTGTGTGTGGCATGAGGTAGGGTCTGACTGCATTTGTTTGCAGGTAGACGTCCACCTGCACGTTTGTTGAAGAGACTCTCCTTTCCCGATGGAGTGGTCTCGACACCCTTGTCTACGTCTCCAGGGCAGGGCACATTCTTGTTCACTCTTGTGTCCCTAGCACCTGGCAAATTGTCTGGCATGCACGTGGCACTCATTACATTCATCAGAAAAGGCTTATGTGGGCTGATCGCTGTGTGCAAACAGACATCTCCAAGAAACAGGGGCTGCAGGAAGGTTGTTCCGCCTTGACAGCAGCTTCTGGGAAGAGGCCCATCCCGCCGGGTACCCTGAGTCCCCTGGGGATCGTAGACATCTTGCATCCTTCCACCTTTGTCACCAAATGGCTTATTTCTCTTCCCACTTCATTTTAAATACTGTTGCCAAATGAATATTCCTCAAACACACCTCAGATTGCATCTGTGAGTTGATGCTGACCCTCTGTGGTGGAGGGCCGAGGCGCGAGTTCCCCAGCCCACACAATGTCCTCCCCACCTCGCCCTGTGCAGAGCCAGCCTGCGGGGCCAGCAGCTGTACGCCTCCGTCCTTGAGGTCCAGCTCCAGCCAGTCTGTGGGACCCCTGAGGCCAGGTCGCCCTCTGTGGTCTGAAGCCTGTGCCTTTCTCTGAGCAGCAGCTCCCCAAGGCCCAGCATCCCCATGCTGTGGTCTGCCCTCAGGTTTCCCGAGGGTCTGGGCTCAATGCTGTCCCCCAGGAGGTGCCCTCAGGTTTCCCGAGGGTCTGGGCTCAGTGCTGTCCCCCAGGAGGTGCCCTCAGGTTTCCCGAGGGTCTGGGCTCAGTGCTGTCCCCCAGGAGGTACCCTCAGGTTTCCTAGGGTCTGGGCTCAGTGCTGTCCCCCAGGAGGTGCCCTCAGGTTTCCTAGGGTCTGGGCTCAGTGCTGTCCCCCAGGAGGTGCCCTCAGGTTTCCCGAGGGTCTGGGCTCAGTGCTGTCCCCCAGGAGGTGCCCTCAGGTTCCCCGAGGGTCTGGGCTCAGTGCTGTCCCCCAGGAGGTGCCCTCAGGTTTCCCGAGGGTCTGGGCTCAGTGCTGTCCCCCAGGAGGTGCCCTCAGGTTTCCCGAGGGTCTGGGCTCAGTGCTGTCCCCCAGGAGGTGCCCTCAGGTTTCCCGAGGGTCTGGGCTCAATGCTGTCCCCCAGGAGGTGCCCACAGTGTTCTTAGGAGGCTGGTGTTCTGCCCACACGCGCGCAGGAGTGCACTGAAAAGGGAACAAAATGCTATTCTTTGTTGAGAGAATTATCCCATTACATTCATTTGAAAGTGCATTTTAAACAAAAATAACAATTGGTATTACTTCTTTTAGGGCATAGAATGTTCGATTCTCTGCTGTCTGAGCTTCTCTGTACTCAGAAAAACTATTTTGGGAGTATCTCAACTTTGTTCTGCTAAAATCTAACAGAAGTGACGCGAGAACAGGAGATCAGGCACCACTCCCTGCAGGCACCACTCCCCACAGGCACCACTCCCCACAGGCAGCACTCCCCGCAGGCACGAGGCGACGAGGCGACGCCGCCATCCAGGGGAAGCCGCCCTGGCACACGGGGCCTGTTCCTTCCAGGCAGGGAGGCTGTGCTGTTGCCGAGGGCACCTCACTGCTCACCGCGTTTGACCTGCGTCCATGTGGTCCTGTCCTTGGTGTGCGTCCTGAGTTCTGACCCCAGACCTGACACAGCCCCGCCCTCCAGGTGCTCAGGCCGAAAACCTTGCCCTTCCTCGCCTCTGCTCCCCCACCCCTCGCCTCTCTTCTGGCACGCACCCTGTCCCCCAGCACCACTGGCCTCCCGGAGCCTTCATCCTGCTCCCTGTGGACCAGCCAGGAGGTTCCGCATGGCTGGGGCGCCCAGGGAACAATCATGGTGGAAGGGGATGCAAACAAGTCCTTCTTCAGGGTCCGTTCACCTGAATTAGGTCAGGTCAGCCCAGGCCTCAGGCCCTTCACGGTGGCCCTGCTACCTTTGGTCCCCCCAGGCCTCAAGACAAGTTTCCTGCAGATGTCTGCTTGCAGGTGCCTTCTTGGGGTTTCCTTGGGTGCCCTGAGGCTGCTGCATCTGCCGTTGTCCTTTTCAATGTCCCAGCAGGTGCTCCTCACACGCGCCACCCTCCCCTGCAGGTCTGTGCTCACGGGAGCACAGAGCAGCTGTCCATTGGGGTCCAGGCTCCGGCTGGGGAGAGGAGGTGTATGGACAGGGAAGGCACCTGCTGGGGGACCGTGAGCCTCTGGCCTTGCACCCCAGGCCTGCGCAGCCACCCGGCTCCAGGAGGTCATGGAAGCAAAGGTGACAGAGACCGGCCAGGCTGAGGAGTGGACCAGGGGGATGGGGGCTTTGCCAGGAATTGCCCCACTCCAGGGTCAGTGCCAGCTGTGGAAGGTGTCAAGGGTATAATGACCAGGTCCCAGTTTTGGGAGTTTCTTCCATCTTCAGCGTGGAGAATGGCCTGGACGGGGCAGGGGTGAGGGCTGGGGTTCAGGGCGACCTCACCCTCTGGCTGGACCCCAGGGCGGTCGACAAGGCTCATGGCCAGGGACCAGGAGGAGACAAGCCTCTGGCCTGGCTGGGGTCTCCATGCTGGCTCTGTTCCCAGGCAGGGCTAGGGCAGCAGGTTGGGTTGTGGGGGGGTAGGGGTGTCTCTGGAGCTGACAAAGACCCCTTCAGTGCACACTGAGATGTCACATGGTGACCGCTGCCCCCCCAGCCTTCTGCAGGCTGGCCTTGCAGTCACTCGTGTCAGGCCGTTCTCACATTGCTGTAAACACCTGATGCTGGGTATTTTATAAAGAAAAGACGTTTAATTGGCTGGTGGTTCTGCAGGCTGTGGAGGAAGCATGGCGCCAGCATCTGCTCAGCTTCTGGGGAGGCCTCAGGAAGCTTCTGATCATGGCAAAGCAGGAGCACGGGGCAGGGGAGGCACCACACACTTTAAACAACCTGATCTCACAAGAACTCACTCACAGTCGAGAAGACGGCACTGAGCCATGAGGGGTCTGCCCCGACCCAGGCACCTCCCACCAGGCCCCACCTCCAACACTGGGGATCACATCTCAACGTGAGGTTTGGGGACAAGCGTCCAAACTGTCATCACCAGTGGTCAGAAAACACAAGTGACCTGTCAGTGCCACTATACAAGGTCACCAGAGATGGCCCTGCCCCGAGCACAGTGTCAATGGCATCTTCCGGAGATGGCCCTGCCCCAACCGCAGTGTCGATGGCATCTTCTGTCAGGCCCTGTCGGGAAGGCTTCTCTGGCCTCTGTCCCACGTGCCATGTGGTGTCCCTGGTGAGCCCACCAAGCTGGCCTTGTGTTCTGCAGGATGACAGGCGAGAGACCCTTGTTGGCCTAATGTCAGCTGGGAGCATGGAGGGCTAGCAGTTGGCACCAGGGTCAGGGCGTCGTGGGCCCCGAGGCAGCAGTGACGTGTTGTTCCCTCTTGTGGGCGGGGCTCCCACGCATCTCAGCCTCTGTAGGTTCCTCACGCCCCTCTGTGCCCCTCAGCCCACAGCCCTTGTCCTAAGGCTTCTGGAGGAGGCGGGGCCTGGCCTGAGCCCCCACCTCACAGGCGCCTGGGCTGTGCCCAGGGCTGCTGATTCACACCAGAGGCAGAGTCGTGGGAGGCCTCCGAGCTCGTCTTGGGTGTCTCTGCCACAGGCTGCAGAGATGGACCTAGCTTCAGGTCCCTGAGTACGATGGCGGCGTTTGCCAGCACATGTGGGGGCCACCCTCTGCCCTGCACACTAGCCCCTCCCGGAACCTGGTTGTCCCTGGATTATGGGGTCACGGGAGTCCCTAGGGCAGAGGGCCTCGTTTGGGAGCTGGAGAGGTCTCCTGTGTTTTGGTAAAGCTGCCTCGTGGTCACCAAGTCGGTGTCCTCAGGAAGAGGAACTGGGGACTTCATTCCACCCTGTTAGTGTCAGAGGAGTTCGTCCTCCCAGGAGGGGCTTCCCGCTGCCCTGCTCTGGGCGCTCCTGTCCCCTGAGCCCCTCTGGGCCATGACTCCCTGCCCCAGGGTAGGCCCTGCCGGGACACGCCTGCATGGAGGAGCAGCTGCTGGCTCCGAAATGAGGCCGACTGTGCTACTTATATAATTTATAGAGTATAAAATTAACATTTTAAAATATGGAGACTACTTACTTTTTTTAAGCAAACTTTTTATTTTAGAACAATCTTAGATTTACGTGGAAATGGCACAGGCAGCGCAGAGCCTCTGTGTCCACTGCACCAGGGTCCTCCGGCCACCGATACCCTCGCCGTCATGCCGCCGGTGCCTTTCTGCAGTTGATGAGCCCCTGCCGGGAATTGTTACTAACGGAATCCACACCTTATGCAGACGCTTGGGTTTGCACCTGATTTCCTTTTTCTGTCCCCGGGTCCCACGTGACATTGATCCTGATGTCCCTGGGCTCCTGTGGACTTACCCTCTTCTGGCATTTGGTGACCTGCACGGCCTGGAGGAGGGCGGGCCCGGCGTTGCGTGACACGCCCCTCGCCTGGACGTGCCTGATCTTCACCACGATTCACTGGGAGGAGGACCACAGAGGCGGCGTGCTGCTCTCATGTCACGGCGCGGTGAGCACGCACAAGAGTCCTGCCCACGTTGGCCATGGTGGCCCAGCTGAGGCTGCTGAGGCTTTGCTGTGTTCCCCCGTGCCGCCGTGCTGCCTCCGGCTGTGAGTCTGACCCTCGCTGGGTTTGACGGAGACAGGCCGTGGGCTTCAGGTGGCCAGCTGGGTCCCCAGCCCTACTGGGTCTTACCTTCCCCTTCGGGCCCTGGGCCGAGTTTCTCCAGATGGCTTGGCGAGAGCCCCGCCTCCCGCACCCAGTCTGCCGCTCTCCGCGGTCCCCACAGTTCTGTCCCTGCTGCATACGGCTGCTCTTCCTGGCTGCTGAGGGAGGCTTAGGGCCACCTCCCCATAGGGTGAGGCACATTTCTCTTCCTCTGAAAACATGTTAGCTAACATACGTGTGTGCAGAGAAGTGTTCGAGGAGGTGCAGGCTCATGATGTGCCCCACCGGGCAGTCAGCCTCTGGCATCACCGTTGGTTTTGTGCCTCCATGAGCCTCAATGCAGCGCACAGCCTGCAGGCCCCTGCCTGGTTCCCTCACGCAGGATGCGTGCTCAGGAGCCCTCGGGGCGGCCCTGCTCTGTCTTGCTGGGTCTGTATGCCCTCACTCCTGCCAGGTCTTAAGCTGCAGGCCCAGGGCAACGAGTCCCCACAGTGCTGTCAACCGGCACCTGGCACACATGGCCAACCCGTGTCCCTGCCAGCAGCGTCACTGGCTCTGTCTACCCCAGCTGTTTCCGTGGGGCTGGGACCATCACCCTTGCTGGTTTTCCTCGGTGTCTCGAGCTCTGCATTTCCCTGATGGTGATGGGTGCTGCCTTCCACCTTCAGAGACTGGAGGCTGATCTGTGTAAAAATGTTTCTTCTGGCCGGGCGCGGTGGCTCACGCCTGTAATCCCAACACTTTGGGAGGCCAAAGCGGGCAGATCAGTAGTTCGAGACCAGCCTGGCCAATGTGGTGAAACCCCATCTCTACTAAAAACAAGAGTTAGCCAGGCGTGGTGGCACGTGCCTGTAATCCCAGCTACTTGGGAGGCTGAGGCAGGAAAATCACTTGAACCTGGGAGGCAGAAGTCGCAGCGAGCCGAGATCGCGCCACCGCACTCCAGCCTGGATGACGGAGCGAGACTCCGTCTCAAAAAAAAAAAAAAAAAAGTCTCTCTGCCCCTCACTCTTCCTCGTGGGGACCCAGCAGGCCTTTCCCTGCCCGCTCCCGTGTGCTCCCTCCCCAGGCCCCGTCCCATGCTGCCGGGCTTTGTCCTCTGACTATCCTGTGCTCCGTCCCTCTATCCTTCAGCATTAGTTTCTTCTTAAACCTGTATAACACGTGAATTTCAGGGATTTATTTTGACATTTTAGATTTTCCACTCAATTCTTTATACACCCTCTACATTTTCCTTCCTCTGTAGAAACTCATCTTGTCGTGAATGCCAGTCACAGCAGTGTGCATTCCACGCGTTCTGGCTCCGAACCCAGATCCCCTGAGGAGCTGCTGTAGCCTCTTTCCTTCTCTTGGTTTTGAGTTGGTTCTTCCTTGTGCTTACCTGGCTGTCACTTCTTATTTGATGCCTGTATTAGCCTGTTCTCATGCTGCAACTAAAGGCATGCCTGAGACTGGACAACTTATAAAGAAAAGAGGTTTAATTGACTTACAGTTCCGCATGGCTGCGGGCACCCAGGGAACAATCATGGTGGAAGGGGATGAAACAAGTCCTTCTTCACATGGTGGCAGGAGACAGAAGAATGAGAGCCCAGGGAAGGGGAGGCCCCTTGTAAAACCATCAGATCTCATGAGAACTCACTATCACGAGAACAGGATGGGGGAGGCCACCCCCATGATTCAGTTACCTCCACTTGTTCCCTCCCACTACACTTGGGGGTTGTGGGAACTACAACTCAGGAGGAGATTTGGGTGGGGACACAGCCAAACCATATCATTGCCCATCCTGGTGTATGAGATGGGCGTGCAGCCATGTAGGGTTGCTGATGGCTGCTGTCCTGCAGAGCAGACCGACAGCAGCCCAGGCCAGCCAGTGCCAGTGGGAACCATCCTGGGGACACTTCTGCTTCTGGGCTGTCATCCAGGCCCCCTTCCCTGGGCAGGCTCTGAGCCCTGTGTCAGCATGGGACCCGGTGCCTGGAAGTGGGTGTGGTACCTGCATCAGCCAGTTTTCTGGCCACTGCCCCAGATTGAAGCCCAGTGTCTGTGAAGGAGTCACACTCCGAGGCTGCTCCTGAGGCTGTCACTAATGGCTCAGGGGAGCCTGGGACTGCCACATGGGATCTGGCATCCTGGAGAGAGAACTGTCCCCCACACTGCGGCCATGGGAGGGATAAGACTGGAAGACACTGGGGGTGTCCTCGGCACACCCTGTGGGGCAGAGGAGAGAGGAGCCCGTCACCAAGGTGTAGCCCAGAGCCGGGAGTGATTCTGGGCAGAGGGCTGAGCTGATTGCACTTCCAGCAGTGTGAGAAACGTCATGGAAGGAAGTCCTGTTGTGGCCACTGCTGGCTGAGAATCAGCCCTGAGGCCGGGCACGGTGGCTCACTCCTGTAATCCCAACACTTTGGGAAGCCAAGGCGGGCAGATCACTTGAGGTCAGGAGTTCGAGACCAGCCTGGGCAACATGGTGAAACCCCATCCCTACTAAAAATACAAAAAAAATAGCCAGCTGTGGTGGCATACACCTGTAATCCCAGCTACTTGGGGGACTGAGGCAGGAGAACTGCTTAAACCTGGGAGGTGGAGGTTGCAGTGAGCTGAGATCACACCACTGCACTCCAGCCTGGGTGACAGAGCAAGACTCTGTCTCCAAAACTAAAAAACTACCCTGAGTCACGGGGGTCAGGTAACAAGAGTGGAGAGCCTGGCTGAGCCATGGGGGTGCAGGGATGCCCCATCTGTCCCTCGGGGAGAGCCGGCTCCAGGGGGAAGGCAGGGCACCCGTCCAGCCCCTTTCAACAGTTGCCATTTTTATTTGTGTGATCCTTGGATTCTCTTTCTCATTTAAATTATGGGCCCTGCAGGGGCCCATGAGGGTTGAGATTTAAGAGCATGGTGTGTACAGCCGACTGCCACAACCAGCGACATCCTCGGGAGGCCCAGGCTGCAGCGCGTGGCACCATGGGCGGGAGGTCCTGGCCCCGCCAAGCCTGAATCCTCTCTCCCTAGAGTGCTGAGCTGTGGGGGTTCGAGGTGCACCATGTTGGTGTCCCTGTGTTTCTAACGATGGGAGTCATTGACACTTTGTATCATGGGCTGAGGCCAAGGGTTGTCTCCAGGGAGAGTTGCCCTGGAGCTAAGGGCAAGAGAGTGCACGAGGGGAAGCCAGTGCTGGGAACCCTTGGCTGGCCCCTCCAGGTTCTCGGTGAGCCGGTGCTGGGTACCCCTGGCTGGCCCCTCCAGGTTCTCGGTGAGCCGGTGCTGGGAACCCTTGGCTGGCCCCTCCAGGTTCTCGGTGAGCTGGTGCTGGGAACCCCTGGCTGGCCCCTCAGGTTCTCTGTGGTGATTTGGGATGTCCATGGAGAGAAGGAAGGGAGACAGGTGAGGCCCTTGGGAAGAAGAGTGAGTCTGCCATTGCATCTGGAGCTGGGACCGGCAGAGGCTTCTGGGGGGTCCCAGTTCTCCCTGCTGTGGGGTTTCCCTTAATGGTCCTGTGAAAGCAGAGAGGGACACAGGGCCAATCGGGAGAGGGCGTCTAAGCCCTTCAGACACCTGGACGAGTGGAGGGAGACACCTTGGCTCTGGGTGGAGACCAAAGTTCCACTGAGATGCCTGGTTCTCCTTAAATCCATCCACAGGCTCCTTGCAGAGCCAACAAAGAGGTGATTCTCAGTTTCACAGAGAAGAACCAAGGGTCAAGAATGGCTTTGACATATGCCTGAAGCATGCCTGAGGGAGAGGAGTGTGTGGCTTTGGACCAACTTTACAAAGCCACGTAACTAAGACACCGCTCAGGCAGACAGAGATGGATGGATCAGCAAAGCCAGCTGGGAGCTCAGACACACTTACAGAAACTCGATTTATTCTATTTATTTATTTATTTAGAGACAGAGTCTCGCTCTGTCACCCAGGCCTGAGTGCAGTGGCGTGATCTCAGCTGCCTGCAACCTCTGCCTCCCGGGTTCAAGGGATTCTCCTGCCTTGGCCTCCCGAGTAGCTGAGATTACAGGTGCACGCCACCACACCTGGCTAATTTTTGTATTTTTAGTAGAGACGGGGTTTCACCATGTTGACCAGGCTGATCTCAAACTCCTGACCTCAGGTGATCCACCTGCCTGGGACTCCCAAAGTGCTGGGATTACAGGCCTGAGCCACCGCACCTGGCCAGAAACTCAATTTAAGATAGAGCTCCCATTGTCCATCACTGAGGAAACAAAGCTATTTAACAAGCTATCCTAAGATCCCTTTCTATCCATATGGGAAAATGAAATTTCACACAGTAAACAAAAATCAGTGCAGGCAGATTAATGACTTCAGTGTGAAAAGCAACTGAAGTGCACCCACCATGCCCGGCTAATTTTTGTGTTTTTTGTAGAGATGGGGTTTCACCACGTTGCCCAGGCTGGTCTCAAACTCCTGAGCTCAAGTGATCCGCCTGCCTTGGCTTCCCAAATTGCTGGGATTACAGGCATGAGCCACCGCACTTGGCCAGTTAATCTCTTTTAATATTTGGCTTTAGACTTCCAGTAATTTTCTAGACAACTATATACATGTAAACACATATGCCACTTTTAAAAATAAAGCTATATAACTTTATCTCATTATAAACTGTGACAGTCCTTCCTTGTCATTAAGTTTGCATTTGAATTAAAACACCCCTGCGGGGAGATACCGTTTATCCCCTTGAGTGATGTGCTGGACAGGCCAATATAAGAGTGCAGATGCTTCAGGGAAACATTGCCCACTAAATCCTTAACACTTTAAAACTGGACACTTGGAAAGATTCATTGCATGTCATACATGGAATATGCACCATTTTATAGGAAGATAATATGTGGGTTTTTTTTCCAATGACAGTAGTAATCTTGTGAATATTGTGGAACACTTGGAAAATACAGAAAAATAGAAACCTCTGTAACCTGCCACCCCCACAACAGCACCGCCAACATGACAAATTCTTGATCGTGTGACTCTCAGAATAGAATTCCAGCCAGCAAGGGTGACGGTGTGCTGGCCAGCTCAGTGGAGCACGCAGGCAGGAAGCATCCATGGTGCTCAAAGTCGTGGGTTAAAGTGGAGGAGAAACAGGATGTCAGGGGCCTTACGGGATCCCCACGAGATCCTCGTAGCTGGGGAGACGGCACAGGATGCTACGGTGGGGAACCTTAGTGGGCACCCAGTCCCGCCCGGGCCGTGGGCAGACCCCGTCTGTGCCTCCACGTGCCGAGCAGTTGTCTCCTGAGCTGCTCACCCCACAATGCGTGCGCCACTTCCTGTTGCGGTTTCAGGGAGGTGACACGCGGTGAATCTGGGTGAAGGCTGTTAACCTTTTTGAAAATATGAAATTATAAAACAAAAAGTTAAAACTTTAAAAATAAAAGGAAGAGAACATGATCAGTGGTATCAAAAGTGGCACAGCTCCCTCGGGACTGAAAGGTGCTGCCTAGATTTGTTCGTCAGGAGCGACTGGGGGACCCACTGTGGGCTGGGAGGGAGGGGCTGGGCAGCTATTGGTGCCTGGCGAGACCCCGGGCTGAGAAGGGAAAGCACGGACCAGAGCGGGGGTGGCCCCTGTTGCGTGTGGTTTGCTGGACGGTGGACGGTGGAGTGGGTGTGTACGCCAAGGGTGTGGCGAGACATGCAGGTGGAAGTTCAGAGTCTGGGGCCTGTGGAGGGTCTGAGCCGAGCAAGCCGAGGCATTTGTTTGGGGGGAGTTGTTGGCAGATGTACTCAAGCTGAGCAAAACAACAGGACCCCCACCACCTCGCCTTCCCACGGGGATGACGGTGAAACATCCACAGGCGGGCCTCAGGAGTTCTCATCTGCCTTCCCCTGCAGCCCTCCACCACCAGCCCATCCCCAGGGTGCCCCTTCTCTCACTGGCCCTCCTTCATTGGACTTCTGAGTGCACCACTGTGGTGTCTGCACTCAGGCCCAGTCCCACCCGCCTCATCCTCCTCCTGCAGCCAGACCCCTGAGCCAGCTCCTTCCCCACGTAAGGCCCTGAGCACGCCCACCTCATGGCCCCACGTGGACTGTCCCTCGGTGCCTTCTGCCTGTGGCATCCAAACACAGAGGAGCAAACAGTGCCCAGTGGCCAGGGCCTGAAGGAGGGCTTGGGTGGCAAGGCCTGTTTCTCAGCTGCTCATCTGCATCAGCAAGAAACAGACCCAGAACCCCCAGGGCTGCTGCTGGGGCCGCCGCCACTGTGTGAGGGCCCGGCTTCCCCAGCTGGCCTCTGGGGGTGGCGGGGACAGACTCCGCCTGGATCCTTGGTGTCCTACGAGCAGGTGTGGTGCGCATCACAGCCTGTTTTCAGAGCCGCCGTGTCCCTGGCCTGGTTTCAAAGGGTGGGACGTGGGATGAAGGTCGCCCCCGCAGCCAGTCTGCGCCGGCCGCCAGGGGGGCTCTTTCTGTCCTTGACCTGGGGGAGCCGCAGGCAGCCCCCACTAGCCCGTGTCTGGGCCTGGTGTCCGCTGGCCCTTCTGCCCTCACCACTTGCCTCCCCTTCTGTTGAGCCCCTGGGATTAGTGCATTTTCCCTGGAAACGAGACCCCTCACCAGCCCGGTGATGGCGAGGACCAGGCCTGTCGCAGGGCTAACGAGACACCTCACCAGCCCGGTGATGGCGAGGACCAGGCCTGTCGCAGGGTTAAGAGACGGATGCATGGGTCCATGGGAACGCCTCCTGGCAGCATCTTTGCTGAGAGGCTCTTGGTGCCTCTAAGGGTTTTTGTTTCCGTGTAGAAACATGGAAGAGGCCTCAGAAACGTTACTGAGCTGGAGGCTGTGCCCCCAGCGGGGGTCTGAGGGCCGGGTGGAGACTCTGCCCCCCATCGGGGGTCTGAGAGCCAGCTGGGCCCTTGGCCTTGCTGATCTGGGGGATCCTTGGGAGAACACAGCTTGGGAGTCCAGCAGCACTTAGCTGGGCCTGAGGCCCCTCCAGACCCCGACCCAGTGTGGAGGTGGCGGTCCAGTTGCAGCGGAGGGGCTACTGAGCAGGTGTGCAGTGATGACTCGCAGGCCTGTGCCACGATCCTGCAGGACGGAGCAGTGGGCAGTGAGGTTGTGGCCTGGGTGCCTGTGAGGACAGGAGCCTGCAACCACAGCCAGTATGTCCCTACCCCACGTGGGGCCCAGGACCCCCCAAAGGGCTGCACCACCCTGAGGCGCTGGCGGCTCCGGGGGCTTCCCCGGTTGCGGGTGCTCAGGAGCACAGCAGTCAGGGGCGGACTGGGCTTGGGTTTGCTTTCCTCTATGACAGGATTTCTGGGTTTCGCAGCTGGGGCTGGAGCCGGGGTCTGCAGGGGTGGGAGGCGCGGGCCCAGGCCGCCGTGGCTCCAGCCGCCTTAACCCTGTCTCTCCCCAGGTTGGAGTGGGTGGAGATCATCGAACCGCGCACCCGCGAGCGCATGTACGCCAACCTGGTCACCGGTGAGTGCGTGTGGGACCCGCCGGCCGGCGTCCGCATCAAGCGCACCAGCGAGAACCAGTGGTGGGAGCTGTTCGACCCCAACACGTCCCGCTTCTACTACTACAATGCCAGCACGCAGCGCACGGTGTGGCACCGGCCGCAGGGCTGCGACATCATCCCGCTGGCCAAGCTGCAGACGCTGAAGCAGAACACGGAGTCCCCGCGCGCCTCGGCGGAGAGCAGCCCCGGGCGCGGCAGCAGCGTCAGCCGTGAGGGCAGCACCAGCTCCTCCCTGGAGCCCGAGCCCGACACTGAGAAAGCGCAGGAGTTGCCAGCGAGGGCCGGGCGGCCCGCGGCGTTTGGGACAGTGAAGGAGGACAGCGGCAGGTGAGGGCGGGGGCAGCTGCTATGGGCGGGGCCAGGTGAATGGAGTGGGCGGGGCCAGGTGAGGCAGGTAGGGGGTGGTGGGCGGGGCCAGGTGAGAGCGGGACTGGTGAAGGTGGTGGGCGGGGCCAGGTTAGGAGTAGGTCGGGTATGGTGGGCGGGGCCAGGTGAGTGGAATGGGCGGGGCCACGTGAGAGCGGGACTGGTGACGGTGGTGGGCGGGGCCAGGTGAGGAGTAGGTCAGGTATGGTGGGCAGGGCCAGGTGAGGGCGGTGGGCGGGGACCCAGGGGACTCAGTGTCCCCGCGAGTGGCCAGAGCCTCGTCCTTGGCTGTAGCAGCCACCGCTGCTGTCCCCAGTGAGCACTTTCTTGTCTCTCTGGGCAGCAGAGCCTGGCGCTCAGCCTCAGAGGGTTCTGGGTCCTCCAACCCTGCCCCTCACTGGCCCAGCCCCTGGCAGGTGGTGGTTCCTGAGAGCAGTGTCTGAGGGGCTCGCCCAGCTCTCTCTGCTGATGGGAGATGCAGATGTGGGGATTTGCGTGCGGGCGTGGGGTGTGTGGACCTAGGGGGACCCAGGTGGAGGGTGTAGATCAGTGTGGACACAGCTGAGGGGTCTGAGCAGGCTTGGAGGTGGTCCTCTGGAGTCACAGTGGCTCCGAAGGAGCACAGCCTGTGTTGGTGGGAGCCCAGGAGACCCCTGCCCTCAGAAACAGGGAGAGGTCAGGGTAGAGCGCAAGGGCCTCGAGGTGAGTGCACCGTGGGAAGCGAGTCCAGAGAGGACGGTGGGGAAGAGCCGAGGCAGGCGGGCAGGACAGTGGGGAAGGGCTGAGGCAGGCGGCAGGCCAGCAGGACAGTGGGGAAGAGCCGAGGCAGGGACAGGAGGCTGGGGCTTCCCAGAGCCCAGGCTGTGGCCCAGGGCAGACAGGCCTGGCCACTGCAGGGGCGGATGGAGGCCACTCTGGAGAGGATGGAGGAGAGGCTGGACCCCAGGGAGAGAAAGGCAGGGGATTGGTCTCCCCCAGTACCAGATTTTCGGTGCTTGGCTGAGGTTGCCAGGGGAGCTGAGGCCCAGGGGCTTTCTGCAGAGGTGGGAAGGAGCGTGTTGGACTGCCGGGCTCATCTGAGGCTTCAGAAGAGGGATTCAGAGTGAACCACAGAGCTCAGAGGACAGCAGGCTTCCGTCCCACCGTGCCGAGGTGCAGGCACAGAGGGAGGCGGGCAGCAGGTTCATCCCGTGGACCCGGTCTGGCAGGATGAAAGGGAGGCCAGGGATGGGGCCTGCTGCAGAGTGGGCAGGAGGTGGGGCAAATCAGGTGTGGAGGAGCCACTGGAGCACACCGGGAAGACGGTGTTGGTGTCGGTATTCAGGGCAGGGTGAGCAGCGGAGGCTCGGGCGTGGCGTGGGTGAGCGAGCGGTGCAGAAGGCGGGCACAAAGAGGACCAGGGCCTACATTTCACATCCCACCAGCAAATATGAGGGTTCAAAGTTATCCACGGCCTTGCCAACACTACTTGCTTTCCTTTTTAGATTTCTTTTAGCTATTGTAGCCACTGTGAAATGTCTCATTGTAGTTTTGGTTTGCATTTCCTTAATGACTAATGACTTTGAGCCTTTTTTCACTTTCTTTTTTTTTTTTTTTTTTTTTTTTGAGACAGAGTCTCGCTCTGTCGCCCAGGCTGGAGTGCAGTGGCACGATTGCTGCTCACTGCAAGTTCCGCCTCCCGGGTTCACACCACTCTCCTGCCTCAGCCTCCCGAGTAGCTGGGACTACAGGCACCTGCCACCACGCCCAGCTAATTTTTTGTGTTTTTAGTAGAAACAGGGTTTCACCATGTTAGCCAGGATGGTCTTGATCTCCTGACCTCGTGATCCACCCACCTCCCAAAGTGCTGGGATTACAGGCATGAGCCACCACGCCTGGCCCCTTTTTTCACTTTCTTGATGGTATCATTTGAAAAACAAAGGTTTTTGTTGTTTTTGTTTTGTTTGTTTGTTTGTTTGTTTTTGAGACAGGGTCTCTCTTTGTCTCTGGGGCTGGAGTGCAGTGGTGCAATCTCACTGCAGCCCTCACCTCCCGGGCCCAGTGACCTCCCACCTCAGACCCCCAAGTATCTGGGACTGCAGGCACGTGCCACCACACCAGGCTAATTTTTGTATTTTTTTTGTAGAGATTGGGGTTTCACTATGTTGCCCAGGCTGGTCTCCAACTCCTGAGCCCAGGCAGTATGCCCACCTATGCCTACCAAAGCACTGGGATTACAGACATGAGCCAAAGTACATGAGCCAAAGTGTGCATGGCCAAAGTACAAAGTTTTTAATTTTGGCCAAGAAAAGTGGCACACGCCTGTAATCCCAGCACTTTTCAAGGCCAAGGAAGGCAGGAGTTTGAGGCCAGGAGTTTGAGACCAGCTTGTCCAACGTGGCAGAACCCTGTCTCTACTAAAAGTACCAAAATTAGCTGGGAGTGGTTGTTCACACCTGTAATCCCAGCTACTCGGGTGGCTGAGGCAGGAGAATCACTTGAAGCCAGGAGGTGGAGGTTGCAGTGAGCCGAGATCGCACCACTGTACCCCAGCCTGGGTGACAGAGCAAGACTTTGTCTCAAAAACAAACAAACAAAAATTGACCTGTCATAGATTTGGGTTCATTTCTGGCCTCTCAATTGATTTGCATTGATCCATATCCCAGTACCACATTGTTTTGATCACTGTAGCTTTGTAATAAGTTTTGAAACTGGAAAGTGTGAGTCTTCCAGCTTTATTCTAATTTTTCAAGGTTGTTTTGGCTATTTGGAGCACCTTGCAATTCCACAAGAATTTGGGGATTGGCTTTTTCATTTCTTTTAACAACAACAAAAAAAAAGCTTTTGGAATTTTGGATCTGTGTGGGGGATTGTGTTGGATCTGTAAGCTGATATTTCATCCAAGCAATATTAATTTTCTAATCCATGAACAGAGGATGTCTTTTCATTTGCTTATGTCTGATTTTTCTTAGCAGTGTTTTATATTTTCTAGTTTACAGTCCTTTCACCTCCCTGGTAAAGTTTCTTCCTAGATATGTTATTCTTTTTGATGCTGTTGTAAGTGGAATTTTTTGTTTGTTTGTTTCTGGATTGTCCATTGTGGTGTATGGAAACATAACTGATTGTGTGTTGATCTTGTATTGTGCAACTTTGCTGAATTTCTGTATTAGCTGTAGTAACCTTCGTTTATAATCTCTGGGATTTTCTATATATAGGACTATGTCATCTGTGGTTAGTGATAGTCTAACATCTTCCTTTCCAATTTGGATGCCTTTTTCTTCTCCTTAACTGATTGCCCTGCATAGGATTTCCAGTGCAGTGTTGAATGGCAGTGGTGAAGGGGCATCCTTGTTCTGCTCCTGATCTCGGGGAAAGCTTCCAGTCTTTTCTATTGAGCAAGTTCCTTGATACTCCTTGTGTTCCCAGTGGTTTTATCATGTGGATTTTGTCAATGCCTTTTCTGTATCAGTTAAGATGATCACGTGGTTTCTCTCCTTCAGTCTATCTGTCAGTGTGGTGTTTTACACTGGTTGGTCTCATGTTGAACCGGCCCTGAGCGTGTATTCCGGTTGTCACAGCAGCATCTGTGTGCTTTTGAAAAACAGAGGAACCTCCCTGTGGGCTTTCATATGATCCATGAAACCCACGTGAGCAATCTCATGCCTGCAGTTAAACACACACCAGAGCAGGCCAGGAGTCCTTGGCCCTCCAGCGGCATTTCCCAAAGGAGATGATACTGAAAGGTACAGAATTTAGACTGTTGTAGAGGTTAAGGAATAAAAGACATTCGTGGCGTGTACAGGTGGAGCTCCGTGGAAAGGTGACTGCAGCATCTGGTTTATGGTTTAAATGGCATAAGTGAAAAACAAACCTGTTGGTTTGCTGTAAATACTGACTGCAGTTAAATCCTATGGTCCCTCTGGAGAACAACTTCTCCCAGCCAGAGACGGGCAGGAGCTCATCTTGCACAAGTCGAAGCCAGATTTTGAGAATCGTGAATCATTTTAAGAAACAAGCGGACGAGCGGACTTGGCGTTAACATTTTAAAAATAACTCTCCCTCAAGAGCCTGTGCTGTGCTGCTGCGCTGGAACCTCCGGCTTCCTCTCACTGAACAGAATGGACGGCTTCGGGCCTGCGCAGAACTTCTCAGAGAATTGGTATTGGATTATCATAATTTTGAATTTGTTATTCGTTTTGACTCGTCTCTGCAATTAGGTGGAGGAATTGGTTTCTTTTTGTGATTCTCTTTTCAAAATGTGTCAGTCACCCACACTTGCGGGGCTGTTCTTCCCCAGAGAGGCCGTGGGTCTGGCCTTAGCCCTGCCCTGTCACCCATGGCTCAGGGCCCACTCTCTGGGGACTGGAGTGTCCATCTCTTCTCAAAAATGTCTCAGGAATGCTGGGGTGATGTGGGGCTATTGGGGCCAGGACTTCCATGAGAAGCTCTGTGGGAGGTTTTTTTTCGTTCTTTTTTTTTTTTTTTTTTTTTTTTTGAGACGGAGTCTCACTCTGTCGCCCAGGCTGGAGTGCAGTGGTGCAATCTCGGCTCACTGCAACCTCCGCCTCCCAGGTTCAAGCAATTTTCCTGCCTCAGCCTCCCGAGTAGCTGGGACTTCAGGCGCCCACCACCACACCTGGCTAATTTTTGTATTTTTAGTAGAGACACGGTTTCACCATGTTGGTGGCTGGGCTGGTCTCGATCTCTTAACCTCATGATCTGCCCACCTCACCCTCCCAAAGTGCTGGATTACAGGCGTGAGCCACCATGCCCGGCCACTCTGTTGGGATTTTGACTAGAATTGCGTTGAATTATGGATTAGTTTGGGTAGATAGATGTCTTTATAATACAGTCACGTGCCACGTAACATTTCCATCAGCAGCACACTGCATATATGAGAGTGGTCTCATAGATTATAATGGAGCTGAAAAGGTTCTATGACCTACCATGGTTGTGTGCAACACCGTACTCGCAAGTCTGTGGTGATGCTGGCGTAGACAGACCTGCTGCACTGCGGTCCTACAGAGGAGCAGCACGTGTGGTTATGAACCGTGCATAGTGCTTGACCATGATGATGATACGTGACTATGTCGCTGGTTTGTGTATTCACTATACCATAGTTTTTATCATTTAGCGTGCACTTAAAAAAAAAATGTTAGCTGGAAACACCCTCAGGTGGGTCCTTCTGGAGGTGTCCAGAAGGCGGCGCTGTTGTCTCAGGAGGTGATGGCTCCACGTGTGTTGCTTTCTCCCAGGACACCATGTGGCAATGGGAAGACGGTGGTGTTGATGATCCTGAGCATGGGTAGGCCTAGGCTAGTGTGTGTGTTTGTGTCGTAGTTTGTAACAAAAAGTCAGTTTAAGAAATTTTAAATTAAAAAAGCTTATAGAATAAGAATGTAAAGAAAGAAAATATTTTGTATAGTTGTACAATGTGTATGTTAAGCAAAGTGTTCTAAAAGACTCAAAAAGTTTAAAGAAACTAAAAAGGTTATAAAGTAAAAAAGTTACAGTAAACTAAATTTATTACTGATGAAAGAAGAAGTTTTAAATGAATTGAGTGTGGCCGAAGTGTACAGGGTTGTCAAGTTAGGAGTTGTGTGCAGTGATATCCAGGGCTCACTCACCGACACGCACGGCAACTGCCAGTCCTGCAAGCTCTGTTCCTGGTAAGTGCCCAGTACAGGTGTGCCATTTTTTATCTTTTATACCATATTTTTACTGTACCTGTTCTATGTCTAAATATGTTTAGGCACACAAATACTCACCATTGTCTTACAATGGCATTTAGCATTCGGCACAGTAATGCTGAGGTGTGTAGCCTGGGGGCAATAGGCTACACCATATAGCCTGGGTGTGTAGCAGGCCTTACAGCCTGCATGTGTATAACTGTACTCTTGGATGTTCACACAGTGACAAAATTGCCTGATGACGTGTTTCTCAGAACACATCTGTGTTATTAAGTGATGCCTGACTGTAAAATCTCCTGCACATGTGAAGACGGTATGAAATGGCATAATCATGGCTCACTGCAGCCTTCAACTCCCAGGCTCAAGCAATCCTACCTCAGCCTCTTGAGTAGCTGAGACTACAGGTGTACACCACCACACCAAACTAATTTTTTTATTTTTTATTATTATTATTTTTTGTTTTTGAGACGGAGTCTCGCTCTGTCGCCCAGGCTGGAATGCAGTGCCGCAATCTCAGCTTACTGCAAGCTCCGCCTCCTGGGTTCACGCCATTCTCCTGCCTCAGCCTCCCGAGTAGCTGGGACTACAGGTGCCCGCCACCACACCCAGCTAATTTTGTTTTTGTATTTTTAGTAGAGATGGGGTTGCACCGTGTTAGCCAGGATGGTCTCGATCTGCTGACCTGGTGATCTGCCCGCCTCGGCCTCCCAAAGTGCTGGGATTACAGGCATGAGCCACCACACCCAGCCTAATTTTTTTATTTTTTATAGAAATAGGCTAATGCCATGTTGCCCAGTCTGGTCTGGAACTCCTGGCCTCAAGTGATCCTCCCACCTCGGCCTCCTAAAATGCTGGGATTATACGTGTGAGACACTGCACCTAGCCCAGCCCACTTTTAAATATTTTCAGTTTTTAATTATGATTTCTTCTTCCCCCTCCTCCTCCTCCTCCTCATCTTCATCTTCTTCCCTTTTTTTTTTTTTTTTTTCTGTCACCCAGGCTGCAGTACAGTGGTGCAATCTCAGCTTCCTTCACCTCCTGGGTTCAAGCAATTCTCGTGCATCAGCCTCCTGAGTAGCTGGGATTACAGGGGGGCGCCACCATGCCTGGCTGATTTTTGTATTTTTAGTAGAGACGAGGTTTTGCCATGTTGGCCAGGCTGGTCTCAAACTCTTGGTCTCAAGTGATCTGCCTGCCTCAGCCTCCCAAAGTGCTGGGATTATAGGCATGAGCCACCACTCCCAGCCTAATTATGATTTATTCTTTGACTCATTTGTAATTTATAAATATCTTCATTTCCAAAACTACAGTTTATTTTTCGTTTTCGTTCTTGATTGCCAACTTAAGGAAAGCATAATTTTTTTATTTTTTTGAGACTTGCTTTGTGGGCTAATTCATAAATTTTTGTAAATGATTTTATGACTCCTTCAAAAGGATAATTTCTGTTTTCTTTTTGTTGTGCCCAGAGTTCTGCATATGTTAATTAAATGAAATCTATTATGTAAATCAAGTTTCATCCTTTTTTTATTTTTATTTTACTTTAAGTTCTAGGGTACATGTGCACAACGTGCAGGTTTGTTACATAGGTATACATGTGCCATGTTGGTTTGCTGCACCCATTAACTTGTCATTTACATTAGGTATTTCTCCTAACGCTGTCCCTCCCCCAGCCCCCCACCCCCCAACAGGCCGTGGTGTGTGATGTTCCCCGCCCTGTGTCCAAGTGTTCTCATTGTTCATTTCCCACCTATGAATGAGAACATGTGGTGTTTGGTTTTCTGTCCTTGTGATAGTTTGCTCAGAATGATGGTTTCCAGCTTCATCCATGTCCCTGCAAAGGACATGAACTCATCCTTTTTATGGCTGCATAGTATTCCATGGTGTATATGTGCCACATTTTCTTAATCCAGTCTATCATTCATTGTTGGACATTTGGGTTGGTTCCAAGTCTTTGCTATTGTGACTAGTGCTTCAATAAACACACATGTGCATGTGTCTTTTTTAGTAGCAAGATTTATAATCCTTTGGGTATATACCCAGTAATGAGATGGCTGGGTCAAATGGTATTTCTAGTTCTAAATCCTTGACGAATTGCCACACTGTCTTCCACAATGGTTGAACTAGTTTACAGTCCCACCAACAGTGGGACATCCTCTCCAGCACCTGTTGTTTCCTGACTTTTTAATGATCGCCATTCTAACTGGTGTGAGATGGTATCTCATTGTGGTTTTGATTTGCGTTTCTCTGATGGCCAGTGATGAGCATATTTTCATGTGTCTGTTGGCTGCATAAATGTCTTCTTTTGAGAAATGTCTGTTTATATCCTTTGCCCACTTTTTGATGGGGTTGTTTTTTTCTTGTAAATTTGTGTAAGTTCTTTGTAGATTCTGGATATTAGCCCTTTGTCAGATGGGTAGATTGCAAAAATTTTCTCCCATTCTGTAGGTTGCCTGTTCACTCTGATGGTAGTTTCTTTTGCTGTGCAGAAGCTCTTTAGTTTAATTAGATCCCATTTATCTATTTTGGCTTTTGTTGCCATTGTTTTTGGTGTTTTAGTTATGATGTGCTTGCCCATGCCTGTGTCCTGAATGGTAATGCCTAGGTTTTCTTCTAGGGTTTTTATGGTTTTAGGTCTAATATGTAAGTCTTTAATCCATCTTGAATTAATTTTTGTATAAGGTGTAAGGAAGGGATCCAGTTTCAGCTTTCTACATATGGCTAGCCAGTTTTCCCAGTACCATTTATTAAATAGGGAATCCTTTCCCCATTTCTTGTTTTTGTAAGGTTTGTCAAAGGTCAGATGGTTGTAAATGTGTGGTGTTATTTCTGAGGCCTCTGTTCTGTTCCATTGATCTATAGCTCTGTTCTGGTACCAGTACCATGCTCTTTTGGTTACTGTAGCCTTGTAGTATAGTTTGAAGTCAGGCAGCATGATGCCTCCAGCTTTGTTATTTTTGCTTAGGATTGTCTTGGCAATGTGGGCTCTTTTTTGGTTCCATCTGAACTTTAAAGTAATTTTTTCCAATTCTGTGAAGAAAGTCATTGGTAGCTTGATGGGGCATTGAATCTATAAATAACCTTGGGCAGTATGGCCATTTTAATGATATTGATTCTTCCTATCCATGAGCATGGAATGTTCTTCCATTTGTTTGTGTCCTCTTATTTCGTTGTGCAGTGGTTTGTAGTTCTCCTTGAAGGGGTCCTTCACATCCCTTGTAAGTTGGATTCCTAGGTATTTTATTCTCTTTGTAGTAATTGTGAATGGGAGTTCACTCATGATTTGGCTGTCTGTTATTGGTGTATAGGAATGCTTGTGATTTTTTCACATTGATTTTGTATTCTGAGACTTTGCTGAAGTTGCTTATCAGCTTAAGGAGATTTGGGGCTGAGACAGTGTGTTTTTCTAAATATACAATCATGTCATCTGCAAACAGGGACAATTTGACTTCCTCTTTTCCTAATTGAATACCCTTTATTTCTTTGTCTTGTCTGATTTCCATGGCCAGAACTTCCAACACTATGTTGAATAGGAGTGGTGAGAGAGGGCATCCTTGTCTTGGGCCAGTTTTCAAAGGGAATGCTTCCAGTTTTTGCCCATTCAGTATGATATTGGCTGTGGGTTTGTCATTATTTATGGCTCTTATTATTTTGAGATACGTCCCATCAATACCTAGTTTATTGCGAGGTTTTATCATGAAGCGCTGTCGAATTTTGTTGAAGGCCTTTTCTGCATCTATTGAGATAATCGTGGTTTTTAGGTTTTGTCGATTGTTCTGTTTATGTGATGGATTACATTTGTTGATTTGCGTATGTTGAACCAGCCTTGCATCCCAGGGATGAAGCTGACTTGATCGTGGTGGATAAGCTTTTTGATGGTGGTGGATTCGGTTTGCCAGTATTTTATTGAGGATTTTCGCATCGATGTTCACCAGGGATATTGGTATAAAATTCTCTTTTTTTTGTTGTGTCTCTGCCAGCCTTTGGTATCAGGATGATGGTGGCCTTATAAAATGAGTTAGGGAGGATTCCCTCTTTTTCTGTTGATTGGAATAGTTTCAGAAGGACTGGTACCAGCTCCTCTCTGTACCTCTGGTAGAATTCGGCTGTGAATCCGTCTGGTCCTGGACTTTTTTTGGTTGGTAGGCTATTAATTATTGCCTTAATTTCAGAGCCTGTTATTCGTCTATTCAGAGATTCAACTTATTCCTGGTTTAGTCTTGGGAGGGTGTATGTGTCCAGGAATTTATCAATTTCTTCTAGATTTTCTATTTTATTTGTGTAGAGGTGTTTATAGTATTCTCTGATGGTAGTTTGTATTTCTGTGGGATCGGTGCTGGTATCTCCTTTATCATTTTTTATTGCGTATATTTGATTATTCTCTCTTTTCTTCTTTATTAGTCTTGCTAGCAGTGTACCAATTTTGTTGATCTTTTCAACCTATTTTTTTCTACCTGCTGTCTCCATTCTGAGAGTTAAAGTCTCCTCCTAGAATAGCAGAATTTGTTCATTTCTCCTTTAAAATCTGTCAATTTCCACTTCTTATATATTGAAGCAGTGAGTTGGTCACTCGTAAGTTTGGAATCGTTTTCCTGCTAGACTTTTCCTATTGTCGTTGCGTCTAATCCTCTTTACCCCTCACAGTCTTCTTGCCTTGAAGTCAACTTTTAGAGTTTGTGGTGCCATTGTTTCTCTTTGGTTAGAATTTGCCTCCTTTTTCCATCCAGTCTATTTCTTGTAAATGATGTATAGCTGTTTGGTTTATTTTTAAATCTAGTCCAAACACCCGTCTTTTGTTTGGCAGGATTGTTCCAGTCATTGACGAGATTGCTGATGCAACAAGAGGATTTAGTTCATCATCTCACGTTCTGCTCGGCTTATAAGCTTTTGTTTGTTTGTTTCTTTGTTTGTTTGTTTTTGAGACAGAATTTCACTCTTGTCACTCGGGCTGGGGTGCAATGGCACCATCTCGGCTCACTGCAACCTCTGCCTCCCCGGGTGAAGTAATTCTCCTGCCTCAGCCTCCTGAGTAGCTGGGATTACAGGCATGAGCCACCACGCCTGGTTAATTTTTGTATTTTTAGTAGAGACGGGGTTTTACCATGTTGGCCAGGCTGGCCTTGAACTCTTGACCTCAAGTGATCTGCCCGCCCCAGCTTCCCAAAGTGCTGGGATTACAGGCCTGAGCCACCGCGCCCAGCCTCAGCATATACGCTTTTCTGTTGCTCTCTCTGTCCTCATTTTCCCCACACCCACTACTCTGTGTGTTTTTGTTAACATTTGGATGGATGTCTTCCTGCCCTTGTTCTGATGTTTCTGTCTCTTCAAGTGTGTCAACTTTATGGAAGGAAAATTGAAAGGCAATAAACCACACACATTTAAAGCATACATTTTGATAAGTCTTGATGTATGTACACACCCATGACCATCACCACAATTAAGGTAGTGCACTTTCCACTGGTGCCAGAAGTCTCCTTGCCCTCCTGTTCCCCTCCCACCTGTCTCTGCACAATCCCCCACATTCCTAAGGAACCATTCGTCTACCTGCTTCACTATAGATTAATTTGTGTTTTGTAGAATTTTACATAAAAGGACTCAAGCAGTATGCACTCTTTTTTGTCTGTCATCTTTCACTCCATGTAATTGTTTTGACATGTTGTTACATGTATCCGTAGTTTATTCCTTTTTCACTGCTTAGTAGTATACCATTGTATGGATGTACCGCCTTCTGTTGGGCATTTGGGTTGTTTGCAGGTTTGGGCTATTACAAATAAAACTGCTATGAACATTCATGTACAAGTCTTTGTTTGGACATACATTTTTATTTCTCTCAGAAAATACCCAGGAGTATTTTGAGGCTCTGTAGTTAGGTACATAAACATTTAGGATTATGTGCTCCTGATGAATCAGTCCCTTCATCATTGACCCTCTTTGTTCCTAGAAATATTCTTTGCTCCAAAATCTACTTACATTAATCTTGGCACTCCAATATTAATTTGATTCATGTTAGCATGGTATCTCTCATTTCAACCTTTTACTTTTTACCTATTCTTTTGTCTTTATTGTGAGTTTTCCTGTAGGCATCATATTATTAGGTCACATGTTTTTATTCAGTCTGAACGTCTCTGCCTGTTTATGGGGGGATTAGACCATTAACACAGTGTGATGATTTGCATGGCTAGGGTCAGGCTTAGGCGTAAATCTGTCGTCTCGCTGTTTGATTTGTTGTCTCTTTTGTTCTCAATCCCTTTTTCCTCTTTTTTTTTTCCTTCTGCACTAATCGAGCATTTTAAAATTCACCTTTATCTCCCCTTGTTGGATTCTTAATTATGGCTCTTTGCTACTTTTTAGTGATTGTTTTAGGGTTTATGTATTATCTTATATTAACTTACCATAGTTGACTTTCAAATGATATTATCCCGCTTCATAAATGGTGTAAGAACCTAACAGCATTTATTAGGCTCCATTTCTCTCTAATTTTGTCCTGTTGCTGTCAAGTATGTTACTTTTCTACATGTTATCAATGTCTTAATACATTGTTATCATTTGTACTTTAAACAGTCAGTTATCATTTAAAGAGATTTTAATACTAAGCAAACATTTCTACATCACCCCACACAGTTCCTGTTTCCTGTGCTCTTGATTGCTTGTGTAGATCCAGATTTGTGTCCATCTGGTGGCATTTCTTTCTGCTTCAAGGACTTCATGTAACATTTACTGAAGTGCAAGTCTGCTGGTAATGACTTCTTTTAGCTTTTGTGTTTTTGAAAAAGTCTTCCATCTTTTTTTTTTTTTTTTTTTTTTTTTGAGACAGAGTCTCACTCTGTCACCCAGGCTGGAGTGCAGTGGTGTGATCTCGGCTCACTGCATCCTCCACCTGCCAGGTTCATGTGATTCTCCTGCCTTAGCCTCCCAAGTAGCTGGGACTACAGGCGTGTGCCACCACACCCAGCTAATTTTTGTATTTTTTTGGCAAAGACGAGAGTTCACCATGTTGGCCAGGCTGATCTCAAACTCCTGACCTCAGGTGATCTGCCCACCTCAGCCTCCCAAGGTGCTGGGATTACAGGCATCAGCCTGTAGGGTCCAGCCCCACAGGGTCAGTGGGTTTTCTCCCCATGTGCGGAGACGAGATTGTAGAAATAAAGACACAAGACAAAGAGATAAAAGAAAAGACAGCTGGGCCCAGGGGACCACTACCACCAAGACATGGAGACCGGTAGTGGCCCTGAATGCCAGGCTGCGCTGATATTTATTGGATACAAGACAAAGGGGCAGGATAAGGAGAGTGAGCCATCTCCAATGATAGGTAAAGCCACGTGGGTCACATGTCCACTGGCCAGGGGGCCCTTCCCTGCCTGGCAGCCGAGGCAGAGAGAGAGGAGAGAGAGAGAGAAACAACTTACGCCATTATTTCTGCATATCAGAGACTTTTAGTACTTTCACTAATTTTCTACTGCTATCTAGAAGGCAGAGCCAGGTGTACAGGATGGAACATGAAGGTGGACTAGGAACGTGACCACTGAAGCACAGCATCACAGGGAGATGGTTAGGCCTCTGGATAACTGCAGGCGAGCCTGACTGATGTCAGGCCCTCCACAAGAGGTGGAGGAGTAGAGTCTTCTCTAAACTCCCCCCGGGAAAGGGAGACTCCCTTTCCTGGTCCGCTAAGTAGCGGGTGTTTTCCCTTGATACTGACGCTACTGCTAGACCACGGTCCGCTTGGCAACGGGTGTCTTCCCAGACGCTGGCGTTACCGCTAGACCAAGGAGCCCTCTGGTGGCCCTGTCTGGGCATAACAGAAGGCTCGCACTCTTGTCTTCTGGTCACTCCTCACTATGTCCCCTCAGTTCCTATCTCTGTATGGCCTGGTTTTTCCTAGGTTATGATTGTAGAGCAAGGATTATTATAATATTGGAATAAAGAGTAATTGCTACAAACTATTGATCAATGATATTCATATATAATCATATCTAAGATCTATATCTGGTATAACTATTCTTATTTTATATATTTTATCATACTGGAACAGCTCGTGCCTTCAGTCTCTTGCCTCAGCACCTGGGTGGCTTGCCGCCCACATCAGCCACCACACCTGGCCTCATTTTCATTTTTGAAAGCTACTTTTGCTGGGTGTAGGTTAAGATTTATTCCTTTTTGCCACTTCATTGTCTTCTGGCTTGCATCATTTCTAACAAGAAATCAGCTGTCATTCTTTGTATTTCTTTACATAATGTGTCTTTTAACTCTAGCTCCTTTATTTCTTTTTTTTTTTTTTCTTTTTTTGAGATGGAGTCTCACTATGTCACCTAGGCTGGAGCGCAGTGGCACGATCTCGGCTCACTGCAACCTCCACCTCCTGGCTTCCAGCAATTCTCCTGCCCCAGTCTCCCAAGTATCTGGGATTACAGGCGCACACCACCATGCCCAGCTAATTTTGTATTTTTAGTAGAGCCGGCGTTTCACCATGTTGGCCAGGCTGGCCTCGAACTCCTGACCTCAAGTGATCTGCCCACCTTGGCCTCCCAAAGTGCCGGGATTACAGGCATGAGCTACCATACCCAGCCAATTTCATTCTATTTTTTTGAGGCAGGGTCTGGCTCTTTCACCCAGGCTGGAGTGGAATGGCGTGATCTCTGCTCATTGCACACTTTGCCTCCCAATCTCAAACTGTCCTCCCACCTCAGCACCTGGGACCACAGGTGCACACCACCACACCCAGCTTATTTTTGTATTTTTGGTAGAGATGGGGTTTTACCATGTTGCCCAGGGTGGTCTCAAACTCTTGGACTCAAGCGATCCACCTGCCTCGGCCCCCAAAGCACTGGATTTGCAGGAGTGAGCCACCACACCTGGCTCTAGCTCCTTTATTTTCTCTATTTTGCTCATTTTAAGCAATTTGATTAAGATAGGGGTTTATGTCATTTTCTTCGTGTTCCTTGTGCTGGGGTTCGTGTAGCTTCTTGGACCTCTCAGTTTATGGTCTTCATCACGTTTGAGAAATTTTCAGTCATTTTTTCTCCCAAAACAAAACTTTTTTTGTTGTTGAGACAGGGTCTCGCTCTGTAGCCCAGGCTGAAGTGCAATGGCGCAATCACAGATGATGGCGGCGTCAACCTCCTGGGCTCAAGCGATCCTCCCACCTCTGCTTCCTGAGTAGCTGGGACCACAAGCTTGCTGACTTCCGTACCCAGCCTTTTTTTTTTTTTTTTGTAGAGTTGGGGTCTCTCTGTTTTTCCCAGGCTGGTCTCAAACTCCTGGGCTCAAGCGATCCTCCCGCCTCAGCCTCCCGTAGTGCGACAAGTGTGAGCCACTGTGCCTGGCCTTTTCTTTAGACTGTGTTTGTGCTCACACCCCCACCCAGCACTGCAGTTATGTGTCAGGTCACTTGAAGTCATCCTGCAGCTCTCTGACTCTGTGGGATAATTTCCATTTTCTTTTCTTTTGTTTTTTAAGATGGAATCTCGCTCTGTCACCCAGGCTGGAGTGCAGTGGTGCAATCTCAGCTCACTGCACCTCTACCTCCTGGGTTCAAGCAATTCTCCTGCCTCAGCCTCCCGAGTGGCTGGGACTACAGACACCTGCCACCGCGCCTGGCTAATTTTTGTATTTTTAGTAGAGACGGGGTTTCGCCACATTGCCCAGTCTGGCCTTGAACTCCTGACCTCAAGTGATCCACCCGCCTTGACCTCCCACCATGCTGGAATTACGGGCATGAACCACTGCACTCAGTCCCACTTTCTCTTTTTTCTTTATTTTTCCTCTGTTTTTTGTAGCTTTAATTTTGGATCATTTCTGTTGTTGTGCTTTCAAATTCACGAAGCGTTTTTTCTTTCTAGTGGTGGGTTTGGTTTGGTTTGGTTTTGAGGCAAGGCCTTGCCGTTGCCCAGGCTGGAGTGCAGTGATGCAGGCTCGGCTCACTGCAGCCTCAACCTCCTGGCCCAGACAGTCCTCTCAGCCTCCCAAGTAGCTGAGACAACAGGCACACATTACCACACCTAGCTAATTTATATGTATATAATTTTTTTTTTGAGATGGAATTCACTCTTGTTGCCCAGGCTGGAGTGCAATGGCGCAATCTCGGCTCACGGCAACCTCTGCCTCCCGGGTTCAAGCGAGTCTCCTGTCTCAGCCTCCCGAGTAGCTAGGATTACATGCACATGCTTCCACGCCTGGCTAATTTTTGTGTGTTTTAGGAGAGACAGGGCTTCATCATATTGGTCAGGTTGGTCTCGAACTCCTGACCTCAGATGACTCGCCCCCATCTTGGCCTCCCAAAGTGCTGGGATTACAGGCTGAGTCACCATGCCTGGCCTTTTTTTTTTTTTTTAGAGATCTCACTATGTTGCCCAGGCTGGTCTCAGACTCCTGGCCTCAAGTGGTCCTCCTGCCTCAGCCTCTCAAAGTGCTAGGATTATAGGCGTGAGTCTCCATGCCCAGCCCCAGTGTATTTTTCCTCTCAGACATCATAATGCTTATCTCTAGAACTTTGATTGGGTTCTTTTTTGTATATTCTACGTCTCTACTTAACATGTTCAGTCATTTCTCTAGCTTTTTGAACATATGGAATACAACTTTAGTAACTGTTAATGTCTTTCTCAACTACTTTCATTTGTGTCAGTTTGGGGTTAGGTTCAACTGGTTGAGTTTTCTTGTAATAGTTCCCTTTTTTTCCCCTTCTCCAAGTTATTGGTAGAGATTCAGTGCATTCTGAGGAGCAAGAACTTCCATCTTGTGAGCAAAAGTTGTTGATATATGAGGGGAAGCCATCCCAGCAGGGGAAGCACCAAGTGGCACGTCCCGAGACGGAAGAGCATTTGGTGTGCTCAGGGGACAACGGGGGCCAGTGCTGCTGCTCAGAGAAACCAAAAGGAGTTGGCATTCCTGACTATCAGAACCAATTGCAGATGTTCATCTCTTGTTATTTGTGATGACATTTTACATGCTTCATCTGCAAAAATGTCTTTTTACACAGAGAGCTACTGCCAAATACTGGTGTCAGTCCATGAGCATATGATTTGGAAGGCATTTATCAAATTCTGCTGGATCTATATTTTGAGCTCAGAAAATATATCTGCTGCAAATTTGTGTGGGAATGGAAATCTCACTTTCTGTTTTAATTTTAGACACCATGGGAAGTAGATAAAGCAGCTTGACATTACTTATGATTCAGACATTAGTTGACATCGAAATAACTTTACTGCAATATAAGTTTCACACATATGCACTGTTTGATTTGTAATGTTAGGTTGAATTCATTAAGAAATGTTGTCAAGCCTACAACAAAAATTAATTTCCAAAGTCATTAATTGTGCACTTATTTATTTATTTATTTTATTATTATTTTTTTTAGATACAAGGTCTCGCTGTTACCCATGCTAGAATGCAGTGGTGTGATCACAGCTCACTGCAGCCTTGAACTCCTGGGCTCCAGTGATTCTCCTCCAGAGCAGCTAGGACTATAGGCATATGCCACTGTGCCCAGCTAATTTTCTTTTATTATTATTATTTTTTTTTTATAGAGATAAGGTCTCACTATCTTTCCAGGCTGGTCTTGAACTCCTCGTCTCAAGTGATCCTCCTAACTCAGCCCCCTAAAGCATTGGGATTTTAGGGCTGAGCCCTAAAATTTTAGGGTGCCAAGCCCTTTTCAGTGTTTAATAGTGGTTGAGGGAGGTTTTTCTCATGCAGAGACTTTTAGTCTTGGCCCAGAGTTTTCTAAAAAATGACAATAAAACTTTGCCACTGCGAAGCTGTTGAATTTTGTGTGGTCGGAAAGTGAGAATATTTATCATTGATTTCTGACAAAAATTCATGGAACTAATGATGGCTGAGTCATGAGAGTGCATGAAGTTCGTGTTGATGCCACTGTTTCAGTAACTCCTAATAGATTCAAATACTTTTCACAAAGTAGCTGCTAATGAAAAACACAATAAACATAGGCTTATATTTTCACATTATCTTCAGTTTTCATAAGCTTTGTAAGTTTGTCTAAGTAAGCCTTTTCTGATCCACATATATTCTTAGCATGATCAGTTGTAGTTCATCTTAGTAGATTCCACTTCAGGTCATACAAAATTAGTATTTTCACAACTTATTTGAAAATACTGTGTGTTCTAGTTGTTCCACATAGAGCAAGTGATAGAGGCTAATTCTTTGGTCACTTCAAGCTCAATATTGACTCCTTCAAACATAGCAGTACCAGTAACGTCTGTCAGCTCATCAAGAGCCAAGGAAACCACTGGAGTCCGATGGAAACCACTGGAGTTAGTCTGTGGAAACCACTGGAGTGAGTCCGATGGAAACCACTGGAGTGTGATGGAAACCACTGGAGTCCGATGGAAACCACTGGAGTGAGTCCGATGGAAACCACTGGAGTCCAATGGAAACCACTGGGGTGCGATGGAAACCACTGGAGTGAGTCCGATGGAAACCACTGGAGTCCGATGGAAACCACTGGAGTGAGTCCGATGGAAACCACTGGAGTCCGATGGTAACCACTGGGGTCCGATGGAAACCACTGGAGTGAGTCCGATGGAAACCACTGGAGTGTAATGGAAACCACTGGAGTGTGATGGAAACCACTGGAGTGTGATGGAAACCACTGGAGTCCGATGGAAACCACTGGAGTGAGTCCGATGGAAACCACTGGAGTGCGATGGAAACCACTGGAGTGCGATGGAAACCACTGGAGTCCGATGGAAACCACTGGGGTCCGATGGAAACCACTGGAGCGCGATGGAAACCACTGGAGCGCGATGGAAACCACTGGGGTCCGATGGAAACCACTGGAGCGTGATGGAAACCACTGGAGCGTGATGGAAACCACTGGAGCCCGATGGAAACCACTGGAGCACGATGGAAACCACTGGAGCACGATGGAAACCACTGGAGTGTGATGGAAACCACTGGGGTGAGTCCAATGGAAACCACTGGAGCCCGATGGAAACCACTGGGATGTGATGGAAAGCACTGGGGTCTGATGGAAACCACTGGAGTAAGTCCGATGGAAACCACTGGAGTAAGTCCGATGGAAACCACTGGAGTAAGTCCGATGGAAACCACTGGAGTAAGTCCGATGGAAACCACTGGAGTAAGTCCGATGGAAACCACTGGAGTGTGATGGAAACCACTGGAGTGTGATGGAAACCACTGGGGTCCGATGGAAACCACTGGAGTCCGATGGAAACCACTGGAGTGTGATGGAAACCACTGGAGTGTGATGGAAACCACTGGAGTGCGATGGAAACCACTGGAGTGTGATGGAAACCACTGGGGTGAGTCCAATGGAAACCACTGGAGCCCGATGGAAACCACTGGGATGTGATGGAAAGCACTGGGGTCCGATGGAAACCACTGGAGTAAGTCCGATGGAAACCACTGGATTAAGTCCGATGGAAACCACTGGATTAAGTCCGATGGAAACCACTGGAGTGTGATGGAAACCACTGGAGCGCGATGGAAACCACTGGAGCGCGATGGAAACCACTGGAGCGCGATGGAAACCACTGGGGTCCGATGGAAACCACTGGAGCGCGATGGAAACCACTGGGGTCCGATGGAAACCACTGGGGTCCGATCGAAACCACTGGAGTGTGATGGAAACCACTGGGGTCTGATGGAAACCACTGGAGTCTGATGGAAACCACTGGAGTGTGATGGAAACCACTGGAGTGTGATGGAAACCACTGGAGTGTGATGGACACCACTGGAGTGTGATGGAAACCACTGGAGTGTGATGGACACCACTGGGGTGAGTCCGATGGAAACCACTGGGGCCCGATGGAAACCACTGGGATGTGATGGAAAGCACTGGGGTCTGATGGAAACCACTGGAATGTGATGGAAACCACTGGAGTGTGATGGAAACCACTGGGGTCTGATGGACACCACTGGAGTGTGATGGAAACCACTGGAGTGTGATGGAAACCACTGGGGTGAGTCCGATGGAAACTGCTGGGGTGCGATGGAAACCACTGGGGTGTGATGGAAACCGCTGGGGTGCAATGGAAACCACTGGGGTCCTAGGGCTGTTGTGTTGCTCTCACTGTCCTCAACTCCTCAAGCAGCTGCTCTTGCCAAAAGGCTAATAGTCTTAAGCAAGTTTATCATCTCTCGACACAGTTTTAGATGCCATAATCAACACAATGTAATTAATTTCCCATCAGTGAACAGTTTTCCTTGCTTGGCTAACAAGTGAGCCACATTAGAACATACGTTAGTGTAAGGGTCATTTTTATTTTTGTAAAGTAATTCTGCCGTGATGAAATACTCCACTTGAGAGTTTCTGTTTCTGTTTAAAATGTTTCTGACAGTTGTGTAAGTTGAGTCTGTTGTGACGAGTACTTGCTCTAGTAGTGTTGACGTCATGCTCCTTTAGCACAGCCATAGCATCACCGCCTCAGGAACATGATATTCATCTAACTCAGTAACAGAGTAACCCGCGCACCGCTGGTCCTCGAGAGCATAACATTGAAGGCCCACTTGCAGGACCCCAGTCATCTTTTGGTGACGAGTCAGAAATGGTAGGAGGGTTAGATACAGATACAGCAATCTTATAGATGTCTTTGCCTATATGGTTTTCCATCTCGGCATATTCCATATTTCTAGCTTTTTGTTCTGTACCGTAATTATGTGTTTGAAGATATTGACCACCAGCCAACTTTAACGTTTGCCATTTGTTTTTTTATTTTGTTTTGTTTTTTTGAGACGGAGTCTCGTTTTGTTGCCCAGGCTGGAGTGCAATGGCAAGATCCCAGCTCACTGCAACCTCTGCCTCTTGGGTTCAAGCGATTCTCCTGCCTCAGCCTCCCAAGTAGCTGGGATTATAGGCACGCGCCACCACACCCGGCTACTTATTGTATTTTTAGTAGAGACGGGGGTTTCACCATGTTGGCCAGGCTGGTCTCAAACTCCTGACCTCAAGTGATCCACTCACCTTGGCCTCCCAAAGTGTTGGAATTACAGGCGTGAGTCACTGTGCCCGGCAAGTTTGCCATTTGTTGATACAACTGATTTTAAAACATTTTTAAAATGACCTTTTTATTTGAGAAGCAATGTACATTAGTCATAGAAGATATGTATAATTACATAAAAGAAAATAAACACTTGTAATAGATATTAGTGCTGTCTACCACAGGCCAAGCACACAAAATTCAAAGTGCTCCATGATCTGGAACGTTTTGAGTGTCAACGTGATGCCACAAGTGGAAACTTCCACGTCTGACCTCAGGTGATAGGTTGCCATTAAAACACAGTCAAAACTTTGTTTCATGCACAGAATTATTAAACATATTCTATAAAATTGCCTTCAGGCTATGTGGATAAGGTATATATGAAACATAAATGAATTTTGTATTTAGACTTGGGTCCTACTCCCAAGATACCTCATTATGTATATGTATATGTAGATATTCCAAAATCCTAAAAAATCCAAAATCCAAAACTCTTCCGATCCCAAGCATTTTAGATAAGGGATCATCAACTTGCCTTAATTTTCTGGCATATATCCTTGAGGTTTTTAAAATATTTTACCACAACCGTATTTCAGCAGCCATGTCATATTTCTCAGTAGGAGCAATGTGCTTACTTAGTCCCTGTCCTCAGACACACGATTGGTCTCCAGCCTACTTGCTGTGTACAAAAATTTTAATCCCTGTCTCCTGAATTATTTTATATATTTGGGTCAATACTTGCGCTTTCTGTTGCATTCCAGAATCCATCCATCTACTAGTACTACACTGCTTTAATTATGTAGCTTTTTTTTTTTTTTTTTTTTTTTTTTTTGGAGACAAAGTCACTCTGTCACCCGGGCTTGCACGATCTCGGCTCACTGCAAGCTCCACCTCCCAGGTTCAAACAATTCTCCTGATACTGTGACCACAGGCATGTGTCACCCTTCCGGCTAGTTTTTGTTTTTTTGTTTTTTGTTTTGAGACAGAGTCTCGCTCTGTCGCCCAGGCTGGAGTGTAGTGGTGCAATCTTGGCTCACTGTAAGCTCTGCCCCCTGGGTTCACGCCATTCTCCTGCCTCAGCCTCCCGAGTAGCTGGGACTACAGGTGCCCACCACCACACCTGGCTAATTTTTTATATTTTTAATAGAGACAGGGTTTCACCATATTGGCCAGGCTGGTCTCAAACTCTTGACCTTGTGATCCGCCCACCTTGGCCTCCCAAAGTGCTGGGATTACAGTGTAAGCTACCGTGCCCGGCCCTAGTTTTTGTATTTTTAGTAGAGACGAGGTTTTGCTATGTTGGCCAGGCTGGTCTCGAACTCCTGACCTCAAGTGATCCACCCACCTCAGCCTCCCAAAGTGCTGGGATTACAGGCATGAGCCACCGTGCCCAGCCTAATTATGTAGCTTTATATTACTGTTTATATCATCCTTTCTGTATTACTTCTCAGCTATTTTTATATGGGGCTTTTTGCAGGGAGCAGAGTAGGGGGTGAACATACTGAACATTCTTAAGTTCTGAAAGTACTCCCGCTGAACATTTTTCTTTAGCTCCCTACTGTTGCCACTGAATGAAATTATTACTAGAATTTATGGCCAGGCGCGGTGACTCACGCCTGTAATGCCAGCACTTTGGGAGGCCAAGGCAGGTGGATCACCTGATGTCAGGAGTTCGAGACTAGCCTGACCAACATGGCAAAACCCCGTCTCTAATAAAAATACAAAAATTAGCCAGGCGTGGTGGCAGGTGCCTATAGTCCCAGCTACTTGGGAGGCTGAGGCAGGAGAATTGCTTGAACCTGGGAGATGGAGGTTGCAGTGAGCTGAAATCAAGATCACACCACTGCATTCAAGCCAGGGTGAGAGAGAGAGACTCCATCCCCCAGCCAAACAAAAAAAAAGACATTAAACATATTAACTAATTTAAAAAGAAGTCATATCTTTATATTTATTGAATTTTCCCATCCGGGAGTGTGTGTTTCTCTGTTATGTATTCAAGTCTTCTTTTATATGTCTCAACAAGACTTTACAGTATTATTCATATTGATACAGCACATTCCTCACTAACCTGTGCCTAGTATTTTGTTGTTACTGTTGCTTTAATAAAGGTGAGCTTGGTTTCCAGCCAGTCACCACCACACAGCACAGCCTCTGATGGCAGGTGGTACGTAAGTGAGGTCTCTCCGCACTGCTGAAGTTTCTCATTCGATTGTTTTAATTTCTCTAGGCTGACAATTGATGATCATTTTTATGTCTTCCTTTCAAATATTTGAATCTTTTGTGGTTTTTTTTCTTGTCCAGTTGCATTGCCTAGCACTTCCAAAAACTGTATTAAACAATGGTGGTAAGGATAAATAATTCTTGCCCTGACTTTCATGGGTATGCTTTCAGCCTTTTGCCACTGAATACTACGAAGGTTCAGCCTTTTGCCACTGAATACTACGAAGGTTCAGCCTTTTGCCGCTGAATACTATGAAGGTTCAGCCTTTGCCTCTGAATACTATGAAGGTTCAGGCTTTGCCTCTGAATACTACGAAGGTTCAGCCTTTGCCTCTGAATACTACGAAGGTTCAGCCTTTGCCTCTGAATACTACGAAGGTTCAGCCTTTTGCCGCTGAATACTATGAAGGTTCAGCCTTTGCCTCTGAATACGATGAAGGTTCAGCCTTTTGCCGCTGAATACTACGAAGGTTCAGCCTTTTGCCACTGAATACTACGAAGGTTCAGCCTTTGCCTCTGAATACTACGAAGGTTCAGCCTTTTGCCGCTGAATACTACGAAGGTTCAGCCTTTTGCCACTGAATACTATGAAGGTTCAGCCTTTGCCTCTGAATACTACGAAGGTTCAGCCTTTGCCTCTGAATACTACGAAGGTTCAGCCTTTTGCCGCTGAATACTACGAAGGTTCAGCCTTTGCCACTGAATACTACGAAGGTTCAGCCTTTGCCTCTGAATACTACGAAGGTTCAGCCTTTGCCTCTGAATACTACGAAGGTTCAGCCTTTGCCTCTGAATACTACGAAGGTTCAGCCTTTTGCCTCTGAATACTATGAAGGTTCAGCCTTTGCCTCTGAATACTATGAAGGTTCAGCCTTTGCCTCTGAGTACTATGAAGGTTCAGGCTTTTGCCGCTGAATACTATGAAGGTTCAGCCTTTGCCACTGAATACTATGAAGGTTCAGCCTTTGCCTCTGAATACTATGAAGGTTCAGGCTTTTGCCACTGAATACTATGAAGGTTCAGCCTTTTGCCTCTGAATACTATGAAGGTTCAGCCTTTTGCCTCTGAATACTATGAAGGTTCAGCCTTTTGCCTCTGAATACTATGAAGGTTCAGCCTTTGCCTCTGAATACTATGAAGGTTCAGCCTTTTGCCTCTGAATACTATGAAGGTTCAGCCTTTTGCCTCTGAATACTATGAAGGTTCAGCCTTTGCCTCTGAATACTATGAAGGTTCAGCCTTTTGCCTCTGAATACTATGAAGGTTCAGCCTTTTGCCTCTGAATACTATGAAGGTTCAGCCTTTGCCTCTGAATACTATGAAGGTTCAGGCTTTGCCTCTGAATACTATGAAGGTTCAGCCTTTGCCTCTGAATACTATGAAGGTTCAGCCTTTGCCTCTGAATACTATGAAGGTTCAGGCTTTTGCCGCTGAATACTATGAAGGCCTTGAGTTTAATTTGGATATTCTTAATCAGATTAAGTAAATTTTCTTCTACTTCTGGACTACTGAGAGTTGTTTTAGATCATAAATACTTATCGGTTTGATCACATACCTGGGAATATCTGTCGGGATAATCGCCTACTCAGCCATTCATTTCATAGATATTTGTTATGTTCCAGGCCCTGACCTTCAGCAGTCACAGTCTCCAAGGGTATTTCTTTTTTTTTTTTTTTTTTTTTTAGATGGAGTCTTGCTCTGTCACCCAGGCTGGAGTGCAGTGGCGCCATCTCGGCTCACTGCACGCTCCGCCTCCCGGGTTCACGCCATTCTCCTGCCTCAGCCTCCCAAGTAGCTGGGACTACAGGCGCCCGCCACCACGCCTGGCTAATTTTTTGTATTTTTAGTAGAGACGGGGTTTCACCATGTTAGCCAGGATGGTCTCGATCTCCTGACCTCGTGATCCGCCCGCCTCAGCCTCCCCCAGTGCTGGGATTCCAGGCGTGAGCCACCGTGCCTGGTCTCCAAGGCTATTTCTAGCCATGCTTCCTTCCCAGGTCATCTTTTTATGTCTGGCTGAAGCTGTGATTCTCAGTAACCCCATCTCTATGCCCTTAGAACAGTAGCCCCAGCTCCAATGGTTCAAGCTTCTGAAATCCAGGTGTCCCAGCCACTCCCTGGCCTCTGGATGGGCCACAGTGGTGTGTACCTGCTGGAAGAAGGTGGACTCAGGGCAGAAGATGAAGAATACAGCCTGGGGGCAGGAGCCAGGTTATTTCCAGGAAATTGAGGTGGCAGTGCCACATTCTTAAGTCAGGGAGTGGCTGGTTATGGTAAACGATTGCACTTATATTCATATTTCTTTCATTTTACTGTGTTTCAGCTCTTCACCACCAGGAGTGTTCCTTGAGAAGGACTATGAGATTTACCGGGATTACAGTGCGGACGGCCAGCTTCTTCACTACAGGTAGAACCCATCTCTCAGGCGTGGCCGTTTGTGATGGAGGGCGGCTTCCTCAGTGAGCCAGGCTAACTGCAAGTGGGAGGTGCCTGGCGCGTAGCAGCAACACCACAGACCCAGAGCTGGAAAGGCCGTGGAGGCCACAGGGCCAGGGGCCTGGACAGGAGCCCCTTAGAGCTGCCCCAGGCCCATTGGCAGCCCCTGTCTAGGAACTTTGTCTCTGCCTGGCTTAGGCAGCCTGGAGCCTGCGGTGCTTCCCTCAGCCCCTGGTGGAGCAGCAGAGTGCTGGAGGGTCCTCAGTTAGGTCCACCCCTGGCATCTCAGGCCACACGTGCCAAAGCACTTGCCAGGCCCGTCTGGAAGGTTGGCGCTAATCACAGTGGAGGGGTGGGCTTTGGCTTCCAGTAGCCCTGGGTCAGCCTCACAGACTGCTGGAAGGTTCTGGAGACCACCCTCAAGACCCTACTGCCTTCACGCTGGGCGGGCAGGACGCTCCCTCCACCTCCCAGGATATCCAGGCAGAGGCAGGCACCTGGATTTCTCCTCCTTGGCCAGGTGGTGACCAGTTTGCTGTGGGAGATGCAGGGCCAGGGCCAGCTGCTGTTTCTGTAGGGGGGTGGGTGTCCGCAGCATGGGCCACCCAGGGGCACTGTGGTGCTGGGGAGGAACTGGAGGACCCGAGGGGGCTCTGGCGTTCTGCACAGACGATTGAACAGCTGGAGCTTGGAAGTGGTAACGGTTTGTTTCTTACATTCGTATTTGTTGAACATTAGGGTTGTGGCAGGGAATTAGAGCCTGCCCTGGTCCCAGCAGTGTGGCTGTTTGATAGAGGACAGGTTTTATAGCCTTCCCGAGCTTCCGTTTCCTCATCAGTGGGATGGATCTGGGCAGCTGACTCAGTGGTCACTGCAGAGTGACAGAGCTCGTAGTGGAAGGGCCACCCCCACTGTGGCAGATCAGGTCCTGGCTCTGGTCACCAGCCTTGGGGCTTCCTGTGGACCCAGCATGTGCTTAGTGGACCAACGCGACTGCATCCTTCGTGGTGGACGTGCCCACCTGGTCTTTGTTTGCCAAGCACTGCCTCAGCTCTGCCATCCCCAGGATGCCATTCTCCCCCAGGATCAAGGGCCCGACTCACTGGCATTATCCCTGAGCTCATCTGTGGCACCCACAGAGCTTTCAGGAAAGCCAGTGTCCCAGGTGAGGTGAGGAGGACCTTCTGGCCTCTCTGGGGATGTCAGGAGTAGGGGGTGGGTCGCTGAGCTAAGCCCGCCCCAGCGTCCTGCCCCTCACACCTACCAGGCCACTCTGGTGGCTCGGCCTCCTTCAGCCCCATGGAGCCGCCTCTGGCCCCACGAGCTGACACACCAGGTCCTGGTCTCCACGAAGGTCCAAGGATCCTCCTGGAGGTCCGCAGCCCCCGCAACCCTCCACTGGCGCACTTCCTGTGGCCTCTGCCTCTGTTGTGCCTTTGGCCCCTCTCAGAGGCTGGCACCTTTCACCTGGCTGACGATTCAGCCTGCTGAAGATCCCTGTTCAGACCACGAGTACATCCATGTGCTGGCCAGGCCCCCCGACACAGGGCCAGCAGCTGCACCTCTGGGCCGTAAACTAATGGCTGGGAGGCGACAGCCCACATCGAGCTCTGTGTGGGGCATTGGGCTCCCTCTGGACCTGGCGGGGAGAAGAGGCCTTGCCACTGCATTGGGCGGGGAGAAGAGGCCTTGCCGCTGCGTTGGGCGGCCCAGCCCAGTGTTTGCTGTCAGTAGTGCCGTGCATCCCTGAGGGTGATCCCTGGCCCTTGGCCAGTGTGGTGATGGCAGCCTGGCCTCCTTCAGTGACCTGGTTGGGGGCTGCTCCACACCAGGCAGCTTGGCCACCTCCTCATGCCCCTCCCCTGTCACTGTCATCCTGTCGCTGAGACCTTGGGACAGAGGTCCAGTGGTGTCTGGAAGAAGAGGCTGGGTCGACGGGAGTATGAGGGAGGCCTGCCAGTGTGCAGCAGCAGAGTACTGCCTCGGGGGGCTTGTGGCCTGGGGTGATGCATGCATGTTTAGCTGGGAAGGTGGAGCAGGGTGGGGAAGTGGATAGCCAGACCCTGTCCTGAGACGTTCTCAGTCCTTTTTGCTGAAACGCGCGTGCTCTGTGTGTTCTCATGATACGTGGAGGTGGGACTCACGCTCGCCAGAGTTGCACTTGTAGACTGGTTGAGAGCAGGCACCCAGCTGAATCTGCCAAGCCAGTTCTTGCTATGATCTAGGGCTTCTGGAAAGCGGGAACTTACCTTCCTTGGGGAGTCAGTGAGAGGGCCTGCCACGGCAAGCTGGGCACAATTACAGCGGTGCTAACATCTCCTGGGGTGGAGTGCAGAGTGTGCCAGGGTCCCATTGTGGCCGCTCGTGGGAGATCCCATCCTCAGCTAACCTGGACTCCCACCAGGAGTGAAGCTTTCCTCTGGACATGCTGGAGGCCTAGGTGTGAGCTGCCACAGCCATGCGGGTGCTTCTGGGAAGAGGGAGGAGAGCTGGTGTCCAGCCCCATGCCAGCCCCACAGGGGCTGAGAGCAGAACAGTTGAGAGCCAGCCAGGCCCGCTGGGCTCGGAAGGCCTTGGAAGCCCCACTCTGCCCCCAGAGCATGCCTGGTGCTTCCTTTCACAAGTTGCCATCAGCATAATGGACCAGTGTGATGCCATGTGAGATGGCAAGAAATAAAGTCCCTGTGAAATAAATTATATGGATGCAGTTCGCTCAGGGAAAAAAAAAAAAGAAATTATAAACAAAAGCCAGGGAGCTGGCCCAGCCCTGAGTACAGTGAAGGCGTGCTACTACCTCAGCCTGGCCAAAGCACATTGCTTCTGGTGTTCTCTGCATATTGAGATAGAAAAAAAAATCTCACCAGCTTGATACCAGCACTCAGGGTATCAAGAGACCACACCTAGAACAGCAGGGATAGCAGTGGGGTCGCCCTGGCAGGCAGCCTGGCAGGGTCAGGCCTAGAGGAAACACAGGCGAATGTGAAGTCACAGGGCCTGGAGAGTGAAGTTGTTTTTCAAGCATAATTTCAGACGTATGGTTTCTTGTTCTGTGTGAGTATAACTGTGTCTGTATTTAGGGACTCTGGCGGAGCGTTTTCCTCGGAAACCTGCGGCATTGGGTTGGGAGCCTGTCGGCTGCTGCCGCCGCGCGCTTCTCCCAGCTCCGTCCAGGCTCTGCAGGGACAGCAGCCGCTTCTCAGGAGCGACAGCAGCAGGGACGCGCTTCTGGCTGTGGTTTTGTTTTGCTTTGGTTTTGTGCAGCGCTTCCAATTCTTCCTCCGAAAATAGGCTCTGGGAGAAGCAGCCCTCAGGGCCCTTATTGTCGTCCCATCCTCTGTCACCAAATCTGCCCTGCCTGCCTGACTTCAGCATTTTCAGAGGCCACGACCGCTCTTAAGGCTTTCCAACTTCCCTTGCAGTTTGGAAGTGTCCCCTGAACAGCCTGTGTTGTGATGTTTGATTTCTGTTAATTTACTGAGATGGGGGAGATGGTCTCTCTGCTCTGGTGCCCCTGCCCTACAGAGAGGTGTGGGAATTTGGGAGGGTGAGGAGGAGATGGACAGGTTAGAGAAGGGTGAGGAGAGAGGCCTGGGATTCCACTTGCCCTGGAGAGATGGGAACGAGCTGGGCTCGGGAAGAGGGGCTATGAAGGCCCATCGGGGAGGCCGGACTGGCTGAAAGGACAGACATGGCCCAGGAGGAAGCCCAGCAGGGGCAGCTGAGCCATGGGTGCTTGCTCCCGGGGGCCGGGGCAAGCTCAGCCAACTAGGGGTGAGAATGACAGTCGGTGGGGCCTGGAGACTGGATGTGATTTGGGGGAGCTGAGGAGAAGGGCCAGGTGATGGGGTTGGGGGAATGCAGGCTCAGGAGCTGCCCCAGGGAAAGAGCAGAGCTGCCTACATGGCGGAAGGGTGGGTGGGGCAGGGCAAGAGACCCCTCAAGAGACACTCTGGGCGCCGTGGGGCGTGGTCCTCACCTAGCTGCCACTGTATCTGTGCTGCGTGGCCTGGGGAGAGTGTCTGGGCCTCTCGGGGCTTCCCCATCTGTGACTCGGGTGCCCAGCACAGGCCTCGGCCTGCATTGAGGAGGTGCTTGGCACACACACGTGGCAGTGCCAGCCTCCTCCCCTGGCCAGGCGGGATCATCGGCATGTGGGCAGGTCCTCTGGCCTTCTTACCTTTCTTCATCTCTGCCCCAACTGGGCAGAACCCATGTCCGTTCCTGAGATAGAGCGTGGCATCTGACCAGCAAGCCTTTCACGTGCCCTCACCTCTCCTCATACTCACCCCACCCTCCCGGCCGCCTGCCAGCCCCCCATCCTCCCCCAGCAACCCTAGACGGACAGCAGAAAGGCGCCTCCCTGGGGCCACGACAGGGCACCCTGTGCTGGGACCGTCTGCCAGTCCTTCCCTAGGCCTGGCCCAGGCCTAAGGCAGTATCTGTTAAGTGGTAAAAAGAGTCACAGATATGCAAAACTAATGGTTCGCATTGACCGAGGGTTTTCTGTGTCAGTGCTGAACTCAGGGCCTTACTACATGCACGTTGTTTTGTTGAATCTTCGTCATAACTGAGGAGGAAACTGAGGCAGAAGGATGTTAAGTGAAATCCAAGCCTTGCAGCCACAGAGCAACAGACTGGAGTTCAACCCCCGATCTCCCGAACTCCGGAGCCCTTCACCCCTCAGTGTCCCCAGGCCATGGAGGGGTTGACCCCACAGCTGGCCCTCAGGGTTTGATGGCCCCTGCCACACTGGCTGCCACCATCCACTCTGCCTGGCTAGCCCCTGTTGTCAGGCTGGGAGCAGTCTCCAGCAGCCACGAGCAGAAATCCCAGGAACAGGCACCTGCACTCTGCCCCTGGCTGCTGCCCTGACTTCTCGCCTGGGTGGTGTGGCCGTGCTGAGAGGGCCCACAGCCCAGTGTTCTGGAGCAGGTTGTCCCTGGTCAGGGGGTGCCATGTCTTCCTGGCCTTGCCTCACCAACCCCCCAGGCAATGGGGAATGTGGCCTTGTCCAGAAAGACCCCACATCAATCAGAGGGACACAACTGGCTTATAAAATGTGTGGGGTTTCTACTTTTTTTGTTGTTGTTTGTTTTAGAGATGGGGTCTCACTGTGTTCCCCAGGCTGGTCTCAAACTCCTGGCTTCAAGTGATCCTCCCACCTCAGCCTCCCCAAGTGCTGGGATTACAGATGTGAGCCACCACACCTGGCCAAATTCCTGGGGTTCTTTTTATTTTTATTTATTTACTTTTTTTTAGACAGGGTCTCACTCTGTCACCCAGGCTGGAGAGCAGTGGTGCGATCATGGCTCACTGCAGCTTCGACCTCCCTGAGCTTAAGCGATCCTCCCACCCCAGCTTCCTGAGTAGCTGGGACTACAGGAGCACACCACCATGTTCGGCTAATTGGTTTATGTTTTTGTAGAGATGAGGTCTTGCTCTGTTGCCCAGGCTGGTCTTGAAGCCCTGGGCTCAAGTGATCCTCCTGCCTCAGCCTCCCAATGTCTTTGGATTACAGACGTGAGCCACCATGCCTGGCCATTCCCTATTTTTAAGCTACCTCGTTTGTAGTATTTTGTTATAGAAGCCTGAATGGACTAAGACAATGCGTTTAAAAGCAGATTAAACATAGCTGAATAGAAAAGTAGTAAACTGGAAGGCAGTTGAGAAGAAAATATTCTGAAGTGTGGAGCTGCCAAGCAATGGGAACTGCAGAACACAGCATGAAAACCACGTGGGGCTGGGCGCGGTGGCTCACACCTGTAATCCCAGCACTTTGGGAGGCCGAGGCAGGCGGATCAGGAGGTCAGGAGTTCGGGACCAGCCTGGCCAACACGGTGAAACCCCATCTCTCTAGTAAAAATACAAAAATTAGCTGGGCCTGGTGGCGTGTGCCTGTAATCCCAGCTACTCGGGAGGCTGAGGCAGGAGAATCGCTTGAACTTGGGAGGCAGAGGTTACAGTGAGGCAAGACCGTGCCGCTATACTCCAGCCTGGCGACAGAGCAAGACTCCGTCTCAAAAAAACAAAACAAAACCACGTGGTGTACAGTAAGAAAGACTGCAATTAGATTTCCAGAAGAGAAGAGAGAGGAAACAGGGTAAAAGTAACATTTGGAAATTGTAGAAGACGTCAGGCCGCGGATGTGCAAAGTGCTATGCGTCCCAAATAGCCATACCCGAGTGGCCTCCAGGAGACAGAAGGTGGTGGAGGGGCCCCTCGTCTCTCCCTGGCAGCGTCCTGGGTCCAGCGCCCTGCACAGCAGGCATGGCTGTGGACACAGGACCAGTGCCCACCTTGGGCCGCCAGGGGCAGAGCACGTGTGGGCATTGCGTCTGCATATCTGCCCCGCAGTGCTGCCCAGAGCAGGGTCTCCCTCGTTGCGGATGAGTGAGTGGGACTCATGCACTGAGTTGGGAGGACTGGTGAGGACGCAGACAGCGTGACTCCGGGGACTCTGGTGCCCTTGGCCAGGTGCGGTGTTAGTGGGACACCTGCAGCTGTTGGAGTGAGCGTGGTGACTGGGGCAGGGTCAGAGGAGGACAGTCAGTCTTTCTGGAGCTCACAGGAGCTCCCAGTCGGAGAATGGGGCCGTGGGATTCTGGTGGTGTGCCTTCCTCCTGCTGGGCTCACCTGGACCACTGGGACGGGTCCAACGCCACTGCTCAGCAGGAACACAGGGCCCAGGAGCCTGCCCGGCGGCTCAGGCAGCTCTGGAGACACCCGCACAGCACCCACATTAAGGGCCCTGGTAACGCCGCCCCCGGTTCTAGTTACAGAAGCAGCCCTGTGCCCGGTCAGGAGCTGGGATCAGAGCAGACAGACACCTGGTCGTGGGCGGCAGCTCCAGGAGAGCCCCAGAGGGAGGGCTGGGGGTGCTGGGGCAAGGCAGGTGTGAGGGGCGCCAGGCCACAGGGCCCCAGCGAGGAAGGTGTACAACAGAGGGTTCGCGGGAGCCGCTGCCTACAGCCCCCGAGGGGGTGGGGCGTGCCCAGAAGCAGCAGGCAGGCAGTCACCTGTGCCCGTCCACCCCCCACGCAGGACCTCCTCGCTGCGGTGGAACTCGGGCGCCAAAGAGCGCATGCTCATCAAGGTCGCTGATCGGGAGCCCAGCTTCCTCGCCGCCCAGGGCAATGGCTACGCCCCAGACGGCCCACCTGGGGTCCGCTCCCGCAGACCCTCCGGCAGCCAGCACTCACCCAGCCTGCAGACCTTCGCCCCGGAGGCTGACGGCACCATCTTCTTCCCAGAGAGGAGGCCGTCACCCTTCCTGAAGAGGGCCGAGCTCCCAGGGAGCAGCTCCCCGCTGCTGGCCCAGCCCCGAAAGCCCTCCGGGGACTCGCAGCCCTCCTCCCCGCGCTATGGCTATGAACCCCCGCTCTACGAGGAGCCCCCAGTGGAGTACCAGGCCCCCATCTACGATGAGCCCCCCATGGACGTGCAATTCGAGGCTGGCGGGGGCTACCAGGCCGGCTCTCCCCAGCGGTCGCCGGGCCGTAAGCCCCGGCCGTTCCTCCAGCCCAACAAGCAGGGCCCCCCCTCGCCCTGCCAGCAGCTGGTGCTCACCAAGCAGAAGTGTCCCGAGCGCTTCCTGAGCCTGGAGTACAGTCCCGCCGGCAAGGAGTACGTGCGGCAGCTGGTCTACGTGGAGCAGGCGGGCTCCAGCCCCAAGCTGCGCGCCGGCCCGCGGCACAAGTACGCGCCCAACCCCGGCGGTGGTTCGTACTCCTTGCAGCCCAGCCCCTGCCTGCTGAGGGACCAGCGCCTGGGCGTCAAGTCCGGAGACTACAGCACCATGGAGGGACCTGAGCTGCGGCACAGCCAGCCGCCCACGCCGCTGCCACAGGCCCAGGAGGATGCCATGTCCTGGTCCAGCCAGCAGGACACCCTGTCCTCCACAGGCTACTCCCCGGGCACGCGCAAGCGGAAGAGCAGAAAGCCCTCTTTGTGCCAAGCCACCAGCGCCACCCCCACTGAGGGCCCCGGGGACCTGCTTGTGGAGCAGCCCCTGGCCGAGGAACAGCCCCCGTGCGGGACCAGCCTCGCCCCCGTGAAGCGAGCGGAAGGTGAGGCCGAAGGGGCGCGGGGCGCGGCCGAGCCCTTCCTGGCGCAGGCTCGGCTGGCCTGGGAGGCGCAGCAGGCCCACTTCCACATGAAGCAGAGGAGCAGCTGGGACTCCCAGCAGGACGGCTCTGGCTACGAGAGCGACGGCGCCCTGCCACTGCCCATGCCCGGGCCGGTGGTGCGGGCCTTCAGCGAGGACGAGGCGCTGGCCCAGCAGGAGAACAGGCACTGGAGGAGGGGCACCTTCGAGAAGCTAGGCTTCCCCCAGATCCTGCTGGAGAAGAGCGTCTCCGTGCAGACCAACCTGGCCTCACCAGAGCCCTACCTCCACCCCTCACAGGTGAGGGCCCAATGGGCGCGGCTGAGCTTGAGAGCCTGGGGCCAGCCCAGTCAGAGTGGACCCCGTGGGCCAGGCACAGGAGACCTGGCGTCCAGGGCGTGCACGCAGCACGCAGAGTTCTGAAGCCCCGTGTCTCCGGGGCCCTGGGCACTCCAGCGGGCTGTCAGGGCTCAGCTGGGAGTCCACGAGGAGGCCCCGTGGGGTGTGGGCTGCTGGGCGTTCCCTGGCAGTGCCTTCCTCATCCTGGGGGCACCTGGGAGCTGGAGGCCACACCCTGACTCCAGACACAGAACAGAGAAGGCCTCAGCAGCCTGGGAGGGTGGTGGCCACCGGAGCCGTGGCCTGGGCCCCTGAGGAGCAGGCAGCCAAGGTGTCGGGGGTTCCCTGGTGGTTCTCAAAGCCAGTCCCCGAGGCTCCCTCGGGTAGGAAGAACTGCCGGGAGGACAGAGGCCGCAGGAATTCCGGGATGTTGCGCCCAGCCTGGGGCCTCTGGCACGTTCCCCATCTGGCTCCTGGAGCTGATGGAGGCTAGATCCCGTGGAGGCCACGTGCACCTCTGTCCAGCATCTCCATCCTTGTTCTCACCTCCTTGTTCTCACAGGGTGAGGCAGAGGGCAGGCCTAGCGTCTGAGGACCCGGGAGGGTGGAGGAGGAACACAGGGAGCTTCCTTGGGTGGGGAGACCTCGAGGGCCTGGGTGGCCTTCGTGGTCTCCAGGGTGGAGAACTCAGAGCAGCTTCCGGTCCGTGATTCTGTCCACTTCTCAAGATGCAGGACAAGAGGGCAGAGAGGCCCAGGGTGCATGGACCAGGTTCTCTCAGAGCAGCAGGCAGGGAGGGGCCTCCTGGAGGTCGGCCTGGGGTGAAGGCTGGAGGGAAGGGCCTGGGGTCCCAGCAGTGAAGGGATTGGGAACCAGACAGCACTTTTACCTGGTGTGAACTGCAGCCTTCCGTGCCTGAACAAGGGCACTGACACTTCCTCAGGGGGCGGCAGAATGAGGTCAGCCCCCTGGGGGTGCCAGCGGATGCTCCCCTTCCTCCCGCCTCACCCTCAGCCAGGTCACCTGGGTCACCCATCAGCAGGCTGCCCTGCCACACCCTGGGAGTACAGGGCTCCGGCGTCCCAGCTGCATCTGTGGACGGGCTGGGCTCCCCTGGGCCTCCCACCTCAGACAGCTTTGTGGTGAGCAGGGCAGGGCTCTCACCTGGCTGGCTCTGGTGGGGCCCCAGCTCACACTTCTGGGGACTGTGGCCCAGTGGGCCCACCTGCCTGGCCCTCCCCCACCCCCAACAGCCCAGCCGCATTTGTCCTTCTCAGTCTGAGGACCTCGCTGCCTGTGCCCAGTTCGAGAGCAGCCGGCAGAGCCGCAGCGGCGTTCCCAGCTCCAGCTGCGTCTTCCCCACTTTCACGCTGCGCAAGCCCTCCTCGGAGACGGACATCGAGAACTGGGCCTCCAAGCACTTCAACAAGCACACGCAGGGCCTCTTCCGGCGGAAGGTGTCCATCGCCAACATGCTGGCCTGGAGCAGCGAGTCCATCAAGAAGCCCATGATCGTGACAAGCGACCGGCACGTGAAGAAGGAGGCCTGCGAGCTCTTCAAGCTGATCCAGATGTACATGGGTGACCGGCGGGCCAAGGCCGACCCACTGCACGTGGCCCTGGAGGTGGCCACCAAGGGCTGGAGCGTGCAGGGCCTGCGGGACGAGCTCTACATCCAGCTGTGCCGGCAGACCACCGAGAACTTCCGCCTGGAGAGCCTGGCCCGCGGCTGGGAGCTCATGGCCATCTGCCTGGCCTTTTTCCCGCCCACCCCCAAGTTCCACTCCTACCTGGAAGGCTACATCTACCGGCACATGGACCCCGTCAATGACACTAAAGGTAAGGCCATGCACGGGCTTTGCCACCAGCTCAGGTAAGGGCAGTGGAGAGGGCTCCTGCTGTGCTGGGCGGCAGCTGGTGAAGTCCCTGGCGGCCCTCCACACAGGGCCATGGTTCGACACACACCTCCCAAAACGCCCCACACTCTGGGCCTCTGCTGGATGTGGCCTCTTCCTGGAGCCCCACCTGGGCACTGAGGTGAAGAGCCCCGGAGCCCTGGCAGACACGAGGGCTTGGGGCCTCAATGGCCGCATCCACTCTGCTCCAAGCCCACCATGGCCAGTCCCGCTCCCTGACAAGGGCAGGCACGAAGACGCCGAGGGCGGAGCAGCCGTAGTCAGGCACCTGTGTGCCTGCCGCACTTGCCTTCTGCCATCCGTGACCTAGAGGGCTACCACCCTGGCAAGATCCGGGTTGTCTCTTCTGGGCATGGTCCTGGCAGAAGGCTCCTGTGAGCAGGCAGGAGCTTGATGACTGGCTCACATGCAGGTCACGCAGCACCTGAGCTGCCCCAAAGCTGCCCCATGGGGTCGCACGTCGGAGCCATCATCACATCCTGATGGCTGCCTGGGGCAGCGTGGGAGGCCAGAGTCTGCCCAGGGCTCTCCAAGACGATGCTTCAGGTGTGCTGGGCCCAGGCCATGGTGCCATCCGCCAGACAGCCCCGTGTCTGCAGCAAGCAGCTCTCCACCTCACATCATGGGTATCTACAGGGCACAGCCACAGAACTGATATCCAGAAATGCACGCGCACACACACACACATGCACGCACGCACACACACCCTCCAGGTCAGACATGCCATAGACTGTTCTGTGGCAGTGAGAGCCCACCCTGGTCTGGCCTTTGCCTCTGCAGAGATTGAGCCCCTGGTCAGGGCCTTGCTGGGCCTTACCCCTATTACCCCCAGCCCAGGTGTGGAGGAGGTGGCTCCCAAGCTGCTGTGGGCACACAGAGGCAGGGTGGAGGCCACAGGGCAGTGGGAGGTTCCTGGGGACAGTGTTGGGTATAGGCACCACCCAGCCCATCAGCTGTTTGTGGGGAGATTTTGGAAGCCATGCAGTTTCACCCGACTTTTCAACACAAGATCACAGCAGAGGCAGAGTTTGGCAGGTGGCCGGGGCTCCAGGTGTGCAGAGGAGGACCAGAGCAGGGTGCCAGGCAGACTGGGCTGGCCTGTGAAGCCCAGTCCCTGGTCTTGGGCCCTTCAAGAAGCAGGTGGAATTCTAGGGGCTGTGTTCCTCTTGGCATCATAGTTCACCTCCTCTTCCTCTTCCAGAGGGGCCTGGGAATGTCGTGCCTGAGCTGGAGGCTATGGAGCTGAGCCCCCACTGCTCAGCACAGCATGCAGCCCACAGTGGGTACCCCCGAGAGTAGGCAAGTGAGGGCCAGAAGACAGCCAGACAAAGGCCTGAGGTTTCTTGGGCCCATCTTGGGCCAGCTGCCTAGCCAATGTGTGGCTGGGCTGTTTCTGCTGTATGTAAGTAGAGGCTGTGGCTTCCTAGGGGAGTGTGTGCTCCAGGCTGCTGCCCTTCACACTTAGGCTCGTGTGCCTTTGTCCTTGTGCCTTACACCTGTGGGGTCCTGGCCTGCATGGAAAAAGGAATCAGGCTTCAGCCTGGGCGGCCGTGGCTTCAGAGCTCTGCCAAAGAAGGCCCATGAAGGCCAACAGCACCGTCTGGGTTGGAGTGACAGCGGGGCTGGGGCTCTGTGCAGTCCCACTGGCAGGTAGCCTGCATCTTGGCTGTGGTACTGTGGCCACCCTCACAGCCAGAACCTCATCTCCAGCCCCAGGATCCACTCCTAGGTTCGTCTGTCAGGGTCCCTGATTGGCCCTGAGCCCAGAAGAGAGGCCTCTACATACACAGTGGCCATTCCTTCCCAAATGAGCCTCACACCCCCTCCAGCCAGCCTCCTGTGCCTAGGAGGTGTCCCTTTCACATGCAGGTGCTGGCTGCTGCTCAGAAAGACAGGCCCAGCCAGGCACAGTGGCTCACACCTGGAATCCCAGCACTCTGGGCCAAGGCAAGAGGATCCCTTGAGCCTGGGAGTTTGAGACCAGCCTGGGCAACAAAGTGAGACCCTGTCTTTATGAAAAATTTTAAAAAGGAAATTAGCCAAGCATGGTGGTGTATGCTTGTGGTCCCAACTACTTGGGAGGCTGAGGCAGGAGGATTGCTTGAGCCCAGGAGGTTAAGTCTGCAGTGAGTCATGATCGTACCACTGCACTCCTGCACTCCAGCCTGGGCAACAGAGCAAGACCCCCAGCCTGGGCAACAGAGCAAGACCCCCCTTTTTTTTTGGAGTTAGAGTCTCGCTCTGTTGCCCAGGCTGGAGTTCAGGAGTGCAGTGGTGCAATCATGACTCACTGCAACCTCTGCCTCCTGGGTTCAAGCGATTGTCCTGCCTCAGCCTCCCGTGTAGCAGGGACCACAGGTGCGCGCCACCATACCCAGCTAGTTTTTGTATTTTTAGTAGAGACGGGGTTTCACCACGTTGGCCAGGATGGTCTCAAACTGCTGACCTGAGTTGATCCACCCACCTGAGTTTCCCAAAGTGCTGGGATTAGAGGCGTGAGCCATTGTGCCCGGCCAAGACTCCGTCGAAGTGGGGGTGGGGGGGCGGGTAGGAAAAAGAAAGAAAGAAAAGCAGGAAGGAAGAGAAGAGAAAGGAAAGAAAGACAGGCCCTATCAGCCGAGGAGGATGTCGGATATAGCCTGTACTGTGGAGGGCCAGCTAGGCTGCAGCACAGTTCTTAGAAAAAGGAAACTGTAGCCTAGGGACCCTCGGTGAGGAGCAGAGCTGAGCCTGGTGCGTCGCCCTGAGCACCCTGCCTGCCTCAGCCTCAGGAGCCTTTGACTCATCGGCCAGCACCTGCGTGACCTGCACTGTGTGGTCACCACCCTCGGGGACTGAGGCCCCACGAGGTGATGCCCCCAGCTTAGCCTTGTCTCATGGGTGCTCACACCTTTCACACCAGCAGGGGGTCTCCTGGCTGGTCCCCAGGACCTCCCTCAACAGGTTCTCGACACAGACATCGAGGAGCACCTGGCAGTGGGTATGGTAGCCTCCAGCTCTCCCACCTGCTCCACTTCTGTGTATTTTGGAAGGCTGGAGACTCCTAAAGGTTTCATTCACTGCTCGCTTCTTCATGCATCCAACAAGGTCTCCCGGCTTCCAGCTCAAGATGGCGGATTGAACATGGGCATTTGCTTCACCTTTGCCTTGAACTCACTAAAACAGCAGTGAAGCCATTTTTTAAAGGCAAAAAAAAAAAACCCAGAAAGGAATGTAAAATGGTACAGCCACTGTGGAAACTGGTAGGCAGTTCCTCAAATAATTAAAAATATAATTCCCATATCATCTAGCATTTCCACTTCCAGAATGACCCAGAAGAGCTGGGAGCCAGGACTGTAATGGTGATTTGTACACCTCGTTCACAGCAGCTCTTATAACTAAAAGGTGGGAACATGACAAGGATCCATCAGCAGCTGAATGGAGAAACAGAACGTGTCCAGCCACAAAATGGAAAATTATTTCCAGCCTTAAAAAGGAAGGAAATGTTGATAGACGCGCATGGATGAACCTTGAGGGCATCATGCTAAAGGCAAGAAGCCAGTCAGGATAGAGATTGTAGGATTCTCCCTCCGTGAGGCCCTAGAGCAGTCAGATTCCCAGAGACAGAAACTAGAATGGTGGGTGCCACGGCTGAGGGAGGGAGAAGCGGGGAGTGAGGTCTGCTTTGGAAAGATGAAAAAGTTCTGGAGATGGCCAGTGGTGATAGTTGTACAACAATGTAAATGTACTTAATGTCACAGAACTGTCTGTTTTTAAATGGTTAAAGTGGTAAATTTTATGTGTATTTTACCAAACTTTTAAAAACACAAAGAAAAAGAAAATGGAAAAGGAAGAACAGCTGTTTTAGAAGGTGGAGCATGTGGACCACAAACGGTAAATCCTGGGCCGATGGTGGGAAACGGAAAAGCTGAAGCAGGCAGCAAACCCTTAGAAGCTCACAAATGCTTCTAGCAAAGGGGGAAGAGGGTGACCCTGAAGCTGGAAACAAAGGATTGGTTAAAACTGCTTAAGAAGCAAAGGAGTCCAGGCGCGGTGGCTCACGCCTGTCATCCCAGCACTTTGGGAGGCGGAGGCCGGTGGATCACTGAGGCCAAGAGTTCGAGACCAGCCTGGCCAACATGGTGAAACCCCATCTTTACTAAAAATACAAAAATTAGTCAGGCATGGTGGCGGGCGCCTGTAATCCCAGGCACTCAGGAGGCTGAGGCAGGAGAATCACTTGAACCCAGGAGGCGGAGGTTGCAGTGAGCCGAGATCTTGCCATTGCACTCTAGCCTGGGCAACAGAGCAAGACTGTTTCAAATTAATTAATTATGTCTTTTATTTATCCCCAGACAGGGACTTCGTTTCAAATAAATATTTCTTTTTTTTTTCCAGACAGGTTCTCACTGTATTGCCCAGGGAAGTGCAGTGGTGACGTCACTGCTCACTGTAGCCTCCACCTCTCAGGCTCGTGGGATCCTCCCACCTCAGCCTCCCGAGTAGCTGGGGCCACAGGCACTACCAAGCCCAGCTAATTTTTTTCTTAAGTTTTGTAGAGACAGGGTTTCACCATGTTGGCCAGGCTGATCTCGAACTCCTAGGCTCAAGTGATTCTCCCACCTTAGCCTCCCAAAGTGCTGGGATCACAGATGTAAGCCACCAAGCCTGGCCTCATATTTCTATATACTAGCAACAAATTATTAGAAGCTGATATTTTAAAATAATCATTTGCAGTTGCATGTATTTATTTATTTAGAGACAGGGTCTCCAGGGTGGAGTACAGTCGCATGTATTTATTTATTCTGAGACTCTGTGGCCCAGGGTGGTGCACAGTGCTGTGATAGCTCACTGTAGCCTCCAACTCTTGGGCTCAAGCTATGATCCCCCTGCCTCAACATCTCGAGTAGCTAGGACAACAGGCCTGAACCACCGCACCTGGCTAATGTAATTTTTTTGGAGAGATGAAGTTTTGCAATGTTGCCCCATCTCATCTTTAACTCCTTGCCTCAAGTGATCCTTCTGCCTCAGCTTCTCTGTGCCTGCCTGCAGTAGCATTTTAAAATATGACATACTTAGAGATAGATCTGACAAAGGACATGTAAGACCTGTACAGTAAAAACTGCAAACCATTGCTGAAAGTAAAGCAGTAAAGTAGACGGAGAGGTCTGCTGTGCTTATGAATCAGAAGGCAATACTGTTAGGCCATCAGTTCTACCAAATCGACGCATAGATTAAATCTGAATGCAAATTGTACCACTTTTTTTTGTTTTAGAAATTGACAGGCTGATTCTAAAATGCATAGGAACTACAAAGGACCTAGAATAGCCAAAACCCCTTTGAAAAAATAGAGTTGGAGGACTTACACCACCTGACTTGTTATAAAGCTAGACTAACGAGAGTGTGGCACTAGCCTTGAGGTAGACAGTGGGTCAGTGCCACAGAGAGCAAGTTTAGAAACAGACCCATGGATGGATGAGCCAGCTTTCCACAGTGCTGCAAAGGCAACTTAGTGAAGAAAAGACAGTCTTTTCCTTCGATGATGCTGGGAAAACCGGATATCCAAATGCAAACAAAAGATGAATTTCAACGCATATTTTGAAGTGTACACAAAAAATAACTGCAAATGGATCACTCGTAAACCAAGATATAAAACCTAAAACTATAAAACTTCTGGAACAAAACAGGAGAAAATGCTTGCTCTCCTGAGGGAGGCAAAGATTTTTATATATAATTCCAAAAGTACTATCTATAAAAGAAAAACATGGATAAATTGGACTTCGTCAAAATTAAGTCTCCTACAAAAGACTGTTAAAAGAATGAGAAGATACACCAGTCACAGACACGCAAAGGGAGGAAGCCGGGGCGACTGTCGGCGGTAGTGGAATCAAGTTAGAGGCCATGTTTAGCTCTGTATGTTGAGGAGACAGATGGCCACATACAGAAATATTTACAGATGTGCATGTGAACAGGAGTTAGCGTGCACACAGGGGCTTCCTCATTCTGTCAGCTGAGAGGACCTGCAAGCAGTGGTTTCCTGGCAGCAGTAAGCACATCGCACACCCAGATCTTGGTTTCTAAATACCATTTTCCATTAAAACGATCCAGAGTTCCTTGGAGAAATGGGTGATTCCAGGGCTGGTGCGGGGCATATACGAGATGTAGTCAAAAGTGAGGAAGTGCCGGAGGTGGGGGTGACGCCTGTCACAGGGACACAGGGGCCAGCGGAAGGAGTTCCCAGTGGCCAAGGCTGGAGCAAGTTGAGCAACAAGATAAAGACCCATTGGATTATAACCCAAGTATAAAGTAAAATCCATAAGTAGGCCGGGCGCAGTGGCTCACACCTGTAATCCCAGCACTTTGGGAGGCCGAGGTGGGTGGATCATTTGAGGTCAAGAGTTCAAGACCAGCCTGGCCAACATGGTGAAACCCCATCTCTACCAAAAGTACAAAAATTAGTCAGATGTGGTGGTGCATGCCTGTAATTCCAACTACTCAGGAGACTGAGGTGGGAATCTCTTGAACCCGGGAGGTGGAGGCTGCGGTGGGTGGAGGTTGCAGTGAGCTGAGATCGCACCACTCACTCCAGCCTGGGTGACACAGACCCTATCTCAAAAAGAAGAAAAAACTAAGTCCATACTGATATAAATGAGTAATTCAATAGGTAGGAATAGACAAATCTGTGCAGAATAATGACAAATAATTTACGTACATATCCACCCTCCAGGAGCTGGAGCCTAACTCCACCCCTCAGGTGTGGGCCGGGCACAGTGACTCCTCCTACAGAGTGTGGCACGGAGCAGGAGGAGGAGACGGTACCTCACAGGAGCCTGCCAGCCGTGACCTCAGCTAGGTCATCGAGGCCAGTGGCAACACTGCGGAGTTACGCTGTGCAGAGCGGGAGGCAGACCCAGATCAGCCTGAGGGGAGCCCCCTCCTCTCTGACTGCAGCACCTGGCTTGGGGCCAGCTGCCTTCGCCCACTTGTTTCTGTTGGTTTTCTGACCGGCAGGCAGGGGGCCCAGGCCATGGCTGCCCCAGCCTTGCTGCCAGCCAGAGGGCAGAAGCTGCCTGCTCTCCTCCTGCTCCCCAGGCGCCTTCCCTGTGTTCTCCTCCTGCTCCCCTGGCGCCTTCCCTGCACCTCCACTCACGCCAGCACAGGCACGGCAGCTTCCCAGCCCACACAGTGCTCAGAAGGGCCCCCGGCACCTCTCTGCCACTCACACAGCCACGTCCCCCCAGAAACGCTCAGCCCCCAGCTGCACAGGGTGAGCCCCCAACAGGCCCAGGGGCCTGCTCACCAGCCAAGTGCGGGAGCTGAGTGGGCGCTGGCTCCTGGCGTTTTGTTCTGTCGTGCTGATGGTTGTCTTTGCTCCCCAGTGACACAGCACATAAAAGAGCTCCTGGAAAGAAACACTAAGAAGAAGTCCAAATTGAGAAAGAAACCCAAGCCTTATGTTGAAGAGCCGGATGGTAGGGCCTCTCCCCGCAGCCCCTGGGCGCGGCGTCTGCACAGCTCTGCTCTCCAGCCTCGGCCGCCTGGCCTTCTCTTCTCTAACCGCTTCTGGGCGGGGGGGATGGGGCCACTAACCTCAGGCCTGTGGCCTCCTGAGCGAGCTGGAGGGCCCAGGTGACTGACTGGACCCCTGGAGCGGTCAAGCCTGTCCACACGTGTCTTTGTGGTGTCCAGAGCCATTTCCAACTTGCTTGCTGGGTTCTTGATGGGGTGGGGGCATGATAACTTGCCGGCTGAGGGCTCCTGGAGGTGCCCCCAGGTGAGTGTTTGGGCCTGACCCCCACAGGGAAGTTTGCAGGTGGAGGGGTGTGTGGTGCCCTGCAGACAAGCACCCCTCAGTCCTGTCTTCCCGCCCAGGGCTGCCCCTGGGCCACAAGAGCCAAGCCTGGTGTTCAGAATCTGCAAGGAGTCGTCCCCTGCTTTGATGGTGGGCCCCTAGCACAGCCCCAGAAGCAGGGGGAGGGCTTCCCCACCCTCCCCACCAGCACCCTTCCCACCCACACTCTCACACAGCTTCCACCTCTCTACCTTCCCCCAGGCCCTGGCTCAGGAAAGCCCTGTGAACCCAGGGCTGTGCTCTCCCTTTTGAGAGCTACGCTGTCAGACCAAGTCAGCTCCGCGCTCACACCCATGCACACACAGGCTTCCAGGGCCGTCCTCCCGACCCCTGCAGTGTGGTCCTGCCAGTTAGTGCCTCACGCCCACTCATCTGTCTAGAGCTCCGCCACCACCTCTCTGCTCCACTTCCTTTGAGACCACTTGGCTTAGGCACCTCTTCCTCCAGGAAGCCATCCCTGACTGCATGCTGCCCATGCAGGCCCAGAACAGTGCCAGCGAGCTTTCTGTGGATGAGGTTTGCTTAGGGCCAACTCTGGGACCAGCAGGAGGCTACAGGGGCACGAAGGGCCCTCGTGGGGAATGCCAGGATGGCATCTGCTGGGCTAGGGACTTGTCCTCACCCTGGCACCTCCGAGGCTGCCACCAGCAGGTCTGTGCCAGGGGTCCCTGGCCCAGTCCCGAGTCACCCAGCCTGGCCTCACCCAGGACCCTGGGAGAAGAGGGCCAGCTGCAATGTAGGGGTGAGATTCCTGGCCACAGACGTCCTCAGACCACTCCATCTGGGGCAGCGTAGAAGGAGCTTTGCGCTCCTACCTGAGCTGGCGTCCGGTGGCCTGAGAGCTGGACCGACACCGCTGGCCATAAAAGCCTCCTGGCTGCAGCCAGGCGGAGCAGGGAGCAGACTCCCCTGTGCCTGGAGTGGAGCCCAGTGGGACATTGCGGCCCAGGGTGTGTCAGGTGGGGAGCAGGGTCAACATCAGGAGGCCCTGGCCACACCTGGTGGCCTGGGAGACCTGTGACCTGGTCCTGTAGCTCTAAGGTCCCCGGGGCAGGCCTGGCCCCCGAGCAGAGTAGCACAGGCCTTAGGAGAGCTGCTGCTGTTGGTGCCTCTGTGGGCAGCCGTCCCTCCTGGGCTTGCCTACAGCCGGAGGGGGATGGAGATGAGGGCTGAGGTCCAGGCAAGGCCGGATCAGGGCAGTGGGCTCAGAGCAGAGCACCCCACACAGGTGAGGGTCTCCCTGGGCTGGCGATGGGCACTGCCCACTATCCCACTGCAGGTCAGCAGACACCTTGGTGCCTGGCCCTGTGCCTGAGGCAGCGTGAGTGCAGTCATCCCCACCTTCCTAGACCTTAGGGCACAGGCAGCCTGACCCCCAGAGTGAAGTTGCAGGTGAAGTAGTGTGGCCTCAGTCCCTGGCCTGCCCACTACAGTTGTGACACCGGCAGCTGCCTGCTGAGCACTGCAACAGACAGGCATTGTCACAGTCCCCATCCTACAGAGGAGTAAACTGAGGCACAGAGAGACTGCATTATGATCACCTTCATCAGCTGAGAGGCGGTGGCCCCAGTGTATCCCAGTCACAGAGTGTTGGAGGGTGTCCCAGTCCCAAGCAGGCTCAGGCTGGGGTGTTTGTCCCACCAGGGGCCTGGGGACAGGAGATCAGGGCCTGTCTTCCCGCAGGGACAGCAAGCAGGAGGCCCAGCCCTGCCGTCTGCCCCAGGCCCCCCAGCCTAGTGACTACATGTCCCAGCTGCTGAGCTGAGGCCCTGGGTTTCTGCCGCCTTCCTGCAAAGCTCATTCCCTCCTTGCCTTCTTGAGGCTCTGAAGCCTGGGTCCAGTGTGCGTGGGCACCATCCATTCTAGAAAAACAAGGGTACCTCATAGCCTGCCCAGAGGGGCCCTTGGTTCCACATGGTCCCACGCTGGAGGCTGGGGCCACATCCTCTGCCAAGACCTGTGGTCCCAAGGACCATGACAGATTTTCTAGGACCTAAACGTCTATGAAAAAAAAAATTCATTTTGGTTCCTCTAAAAAAGAGTCTCCTTAGCAGTCACATGTCAACTATTCTGTGATAATTAGAGATGGACTCAAGACACGTGTGCACTTTTTTTTAACCTGGTCCAAGGACCCCATGCCCTCAGCTGTCCACCAGAAACTGCTCCTTCAAAGAAGACAAAGGTGTTCCGATTGGGGGTCAGGATCCAGAGGCCCCCCTCACCCTGGCAGGCGGTAGGCGCTGGGCGCTGGGGCAGGTCTCATGTCCAGAAGCACAGGGTCCTGTCCATCTGTCCGAGGTCCATGGCTCCCCTGGCCCCAGACAGCTTCTCTTGGCGTGTTCTCTCATCTGCTGCTTCCCGACCTGGAGCAGGAAGGTGCCGCGCCTTCCAGACCCAGCCTGGGAATCCTCTCCCCTCTAGCACCTTCCCCTGGGCTCTGTGTCTGGAGACTCCCCAGGCTGAGGTCCCTGAGTCCCTCATCAGGTGCTGACTCAGGCACACTGCCCCTCCCCTCAGGGACCCTGCTGTCGGGCTGAGTTTTAGGAAGCCCCTCCTTTGAGAAAGGAGACTGGGCCCTCTCATTGCTGCCTCAGTCCTTCAGAAGAGCCCAGAGGTGGTACTTCAGGCCCAGGGCTGCAGCAGAGCTGGGCTTGCTGTGCAGATAGCTCAGTGCCTGCCTCCCCCAGCACTGGCTGCGGGTGCTGGGTAGGTGGAAATGACTCCTCCAGGGGCTCCTGCCCACAGCCTAAAAGCCAGGGAGGGGCCTGAAGCAGAGAAGAGTCAAATACCTGGACAGCTCCCTGGGTCAGGCCCCGGGGAGGGAGCAGTGGGGTCTAGAGGCCCTCAGACCCAGGTCCTGCCCTTCCTGTTCCTGCGTGGCCGTAGGAGGGCAGGTGGAGCTGCCAGGCGGTTCCTCCCAAGCCTGTCCCTCTGCAGGTGGGGAAGTGCTCCTTGGGCCTCTGCTCTAAAGGACACTGCCTGGGAGAGTGTGAGGACCCGCTGTGCTGGGCAGGGGGTGACCGGGGCAAGGCCAGCCCAGCCCCCCAGGGCCCTCGAAGGAGCTGTGTCTGCTCACCCCTCTCCTGGCCCCACACCCACACACCCACATCAGGCTGATCAGGCCCCTTTCCTTTCCAGGGGTGGCGATAAGCACGTATGCCAAGTACTGTTACCACAAGCTACAGAAGGCAGCCCTGACCGGGGCCAAGAAGGTACGGGTGCGCCTGGGGGGCCGGGGAGGGCAGGCGGGGACACAGAGACCCTTGGTGGACAGCCCCAGGAGCCCCGCCTGCAGTTTGGTATGGGGCAGCAGCGCAGAGGGTGCCACATGGAGCCCGCCTAGGCGGGTGGCGGGGTACGCTAGGCTGACCCCGTGTTCTTCTGGGCTGCACCCTCCCCCGGGGGCTCTTCCTGGGCCCGGACCCCCAGCTCAGGAGCAAGGCAGGCAACGGGCTCAGTCACACCGCACCACAGGGACAGGACCCCGTTCCCTGGACCTGTCCCAAGAGCCTGGCCCCTTCCCCACATCCTCTTCTCTCTGATGCGCTGCTCCCATCATACCCCTCCCCAGCGCTCTCAGCCCTGCCACAGACTTCTGGAAGTTTCACCCCAGCTCAGCTAGCTTGGCCTCTGCTGTGCTCCCCAACAGCCCTGGCCGGCCCAGGACTCACTCCCACCTTCCCAAGGGCCCCTGTGAGCTGGTGCTGTAGACGGTGACTCTGGCCAGGGAGCTGGGCTTGTCCGTAGCTCTAGTTGGAGCCAGGAGTTCACAGGGATGAGAGGAGGGGGAGGCAGAGCCAGGGGCAGCCCAGGAGGAGTTAGGGTTTGGGGGGCGAGGAGGGCTGGTCCAGGGATGGACAGTGGCCTGGGGAAACACCACACTCGGACCCAGGTGTGTGGGGCAGGAATTCTGAAGAGCGCCACCCACCTATGTTCGGGGAAAGAAGACAACCGGGGTGGCGGGGGGTCCTGAGGATGGCCAGGCCAGACCAGGACGGAGCCTCTGTCTTCACAGGGGCTGAAGAAGCCCAACGTGGAGGAGATCCGGCATGCCAAGAACGCCGTGTTCAGCCCGTCCATGTTCGGCAGCGCACTGCAGGAGGTCATGGGCATGCAGAGAGAGCGCTACCCCGAGCGCCAGCTGCCCTGGGTGCAGACACGGCTCTCTGAGGAGGTGCTGGCGCTCAACGGTGACCAGACAGAGGGCATCTTCAGGTGCCACGGCAACCCCGGGCGCCGGGTGTGGGGGCCACAGCCATGTGTCCACCATGCATCTGTGGCATGCAGGGGCCATTAAGCCTCAGGCCCACTGGGCTGCTTCCGCACCCATACCTGAGAGCAGATGGAAGGGTGGGGCCACAGTGTGGAAGCTGACCCTGAGGGTGTGCAGGCCAGGAGAGAGGGCAGGACCCATTCCAAAGAGGCAGCACAGCCAGCCAGGGAGGGCGCCCCTGCAGAGACGGCCACCAGGGGTCCAGAGCGTGCTTGGACACCAGCCATGGGTAGCCTGGAGTGGGAGCCTCAGATGACAGGCAGCCCTTGTCTGTGAACAGGGATGGCACAGGGTGCCACCCACTCCCATGACTCACCTGTCAGGGCAAGGGGTACCCAGGCCCCAGGAGGGCAGCTGGGGAAACTGAGGCTTGCAGGTTGAGCCCCAGTGGCCCTTTGGTGAGGGCATCCACCCAGGGAGCCAGCAGGGGTCCAGGGAGGGACGGTGGCCTGGGGAAGCACCACACTCGGACGCAGGTGTGTGGGGCAGGAATCCTGAAGAGCGCCACCCACCCACGTTCGTGGGAAAGAGGCCAACCGGGGTGGCGGGGGGTCCTGAGGTTTTGCTCCCCTCCCCGGGTCAGCAGGGGCCTACCGGAGGGAGTGTCCAGGCGGAATCATGAAGCCGCAGCACAGGCTCCTGTTGCCTGAGACCTGCCCTGTGCCCTGCAGGGTCCCTGGGGACATTGACGAGGTGAATGCCCTGAAGCTGCAGGTGGACCAGTGGAAGGTGCCCACAGGCCTGGAAGACCCCCACGTCCCTGGTGAGTCCCCCACACACGCTGCAGCAGAGCGGGCCTGGCTCAGGCAGTGGTTCTCAGGGGCCCCTGTCTCCGCCTCTGGGGTCCACCCTGATCCTGCCCAGTGATGTGATGGCTTCCCAGTCACTTCTAGCACATCCTCCCTTCTGCCCATTGGACAGTTTCCCCAGGTGTCTGCTGGGCACCCCGAGGCCTACCTGTGCAATGCAGCCCACTCCCCACCTGCTGCTCCCTGCCCTGTGCCCTTCTGCCGTGCCTGCTATGTCTAGCCTACTCCCCACCTGCTGCTCCCTGCCCTGTGCCCTTCTGCCGTGCCTGCTATGTCTAGCCTACTCCCCACCTGCTGCTCCCTGCCCTGTGCCCTTCTGCCGTGCCTGCTATGTCTAGCCCACTCCCCACCTGCTGCTCCCTGCCCTGTGCCCTTCTGCCGTGCCTGCTATGTCTAGCCCACTCCCCACCTGCTGCTCGCTGCCCTGTGCCCTTCTGCCGTGCCTGCTATGTCTAGCCCACTCCCCACCTGCTGCTCCCTGCCCTGTGCCCTTCTGCCGTGCCTGCTATGTCTAGCCCACTCCCCACCTGCTGCTCCCTGCCCTGTGCCCTTCTGCCGTGCCTGCTATGTCTAGCCTACTCCCCACCTGCTGCTCCCTGCCCTGTGCCCTTCTGCCGTGCCTGCTATGTCTAGCCCACTCCCCACCTGCTGCTCCCTGCCCTGTGCCCTTCTGCCGTGCCTGCTATGTCTAGCCCACTCCCCACCTGCTGCTCCCTGCCCTGTGCCCTTCTGCCGTGCCTGCTATGTCTAGCCCACTCCCCACCTGCTGCTCGCTGCCCTGTGCCCTTCTGCCGTGCCTGCTATGTCTAGCCCACTCCCCACCTGCTGCTCCCTGCCCTGTGCCCTTCTGCCGTGCCTGCTATGTCTAGCCCACTCCCCACCTGCTGCTCGCTGCCCTGTGCCCTTCTGCCGTGCCTGCTATGTCTAGCCTACTCCCCACCTGCTGCTCCCTGCCCTGTGCCCTTCTGCCGTGCCTGCTATGTCTAGCCCACTCCCCACCTGCTGCTCGCTGCCCTGTGCCCTTCTGCCGTGCCTGCTATGTCTAGCCCACTCCCCACCTGCTGCTCTCTGCCCTGTGCCCTTCAGCTGTGCCTGCTCTGCAGACACCCCCTCACGGTGGCTACACAGACGACTCCTGAGAAAAATCCTGTTTTGCACAACTCTGCTGGCGTGACCCACATGCCTCCAGGATCGAGTTCAGGCCCCCAGGAGCCGAAAGGCCCTCTGGGGTCAGGGCCCAGCCTGGCCAGATGGGCCCTGTCCAGAATGAGCCGGCCCTCCCAGCCTGTCCCCCACAGCACCCCTCCATGCATGTCCGCCACGGGACCCCATTTGGCCCAGGGGTGCCCGCCGAGCAGGGCCGCTGAGCCCCGTGCTGTGTCCCCAGCGTCCCTGCTGAAGCTGTGGTACCGGGAGCTGGAGGAGCCCCTGATCCCGCACGAGTTCTACGAGCAGTGCATCGCGCACTACGACAGCCCCGAGGCGGCGGTGGCCGTGGTGCACGCGCTGCCCCGCATCAACCGCATGGTGCTGTGCTACCTCATCCGCTTCCTGCAGGTACTTCCCTCCCCGGGGGTCCCCGCTGCTTTCCCCTCCCCGCCCCGCCCCCGCCCCTCCGCGCCCACCCTCGCTCCTCCACCAGGTCTTCGTGCAGCCGGCCAACGTCGCGGTCACCAAGATGGATGTCAGCAACCTGGCCATGGTGATGGCGCCCAACTGCTTGCGCTGCCAGTCCGACGACCCGCGCGTCATCTTCGAGAACACCCGCAAGGAGATGTCCTTCCTGCGGGTGCTCATCCAGCACCTGGACACCAGCTTCATGGAGGGTGTGCTGTAGCGGGGGCGCCCGGGGACAGGAGGGATGTCCTGCCGCCCCCAGCCAGGCCGAACTCCGCACTCGCTCTCCCGGCAGAGGGGCCAGAATCGCCCGGCCCAGCCCTGGAGCCCCCTCCACTCCCCCAGGCCCCTGGCCCCGGCGCTCCCCACGTCTTCTGCCTGGTCTGAGGGTGCAGCCAGGGCACAGCAGCGGCGGGGAGGGCGCCTCTGGCCCCCCACCTCACGGCCAGTTCCCGCGGGCACCGCCTCGCCCTCCGCTGGCCGCGGGTCAGCTCCGAGAAAGTGCCTTCTGTGTCCTGGAGCCGAGCGACGCTGCCTCCTTGGGGCCGGGCTGCCTCCCTGTGGCTCCTGCGCGCCCTGGCCTGGGCCTTGCCCAGCCGCCCCGGTCTCTCCTTCCCTTTCTCCTGTCCTCGTCCTGGCCTGCAGCTCTTCCCAGCCCCGAGAGAGCTTCCCGACCTGTCCCCGCCTCCTCTCCCTCCCTCGGCCCGTGGTCCCCAGCTGGTGACTGCTCAGGAGTTTGGGGGCTCCAGGACAGTGGGCCCGGGGCCTGGCAGGCTCTCGGTGGGTGGGGTGGGGGCCCCCAAACCAAAGTCCTCTGGGGTAGGGAGCAGGGCTGGGCAGGCATTCTGGGGGCAGGGTGGGGGAGGGGCGAGAGTATTTTTTTCTTCGTGTAACTGTAAATCCAGAATCTATCCTGCATCGCAGCCCACCGTGTATAGAGATATAAATAGAGGGAAAGATATAAGAACTAAATTTGCTAATGACATAGTTTTAACCTAAATGCTATTTATCTCTGAGCCGTCCCCGTCCTCCGTGCAGAGCAAGTTGAGGTCATTCCTTCTTTTCTTCTCCGATCTTTTTTCTTGGCTTCTGACCAAAAACCAAGCTCTACCCCATCCCCATCCCAGACCTGCAGGAGACGAGCGAGCGGGAAGGCGCCGGGCCCGGGACTGTCCGTTCTCGGGGCCAGAGCTGCTGGGGGACCGAGTTTGTACATTTTCCATTTTGGAATTTTGAGTTCCAATTGTTGTAAAACTTAATTTCTCCCCAGTTTTTATATATATATTTTTTAGAGTTCCGTTTTTATTTATTAAAAACAAAAGCCCCAGCCCTGCCGAGGCCTGGGCGGCGTCCTCAGTCGGGTGGTCCCGGGGCCTTTGCGGTCCCGCCCGGCTGAGACGCTCGCCCCGACGCATGGACCCGAGAGGCGACGACACGAGTGAATAAAGTGCACATGGACCCTGCGCGTCCTCCCGTTCCTTGTGGGCGCGGCCGGGGGCGGGAAGAGACGCGGGGCGGACCGGAAGGGGCGTCACCGGCACACGCCTCTCGGAAGGCCAGGGCGGGCGAGCCCCCGAGGCCCGAGGGAGAGGGAAGAGCGCCGGGCCCGGGTCGCGGAGGCGGGCGCCGCCGGAACGCGAAGCGCGGGGCTACTGCGGGCAGGCGCGAGTTCGCGCAGCACCGCCCCCGGCGTGACCTGCTGGTCGCTTCCGGCGCGGGAGGAGAATGTGGCCGCCTTGCGGGACGCTCCGGACCCTGGCCTTGGCGCGGTCGCGGGGAGCCCGGGCCTGCAGCGGGGATGGGGGCGTTTCCTACACGCAGGGCCAGAGTCCGGAGCCGCGGACCCGCGAGTATTTCTACTACGTGGACCACCAGGGCCAGGTGGGCGGGGGCAGGGCCGTTGCTCGAGAGGCGGGGCCGGGAGAGGTCTCTGGGCGGGGCGGGGGGGGGGGCGTGGCTCTGTGGGCGGGACCATTGCTCGAGGGGCGGGGCCGGAGGGACGTTCCAGGGGGTGGGTGGGTGGGCGGGGCCTGCGCGGTGGGCAACCTCGACTCCTCAGAGCTGGAGGAGAGCGCGCTGGAAAGACGGGGAGTTGGGTCGGTCCGGGCCGAGGCTCCTACATGGGCCGCGTCCCTGCTGCGTTGTGCAGCTTCGGACTCTGTCCTACAAGTCCCCAGCCCCGGCGCTGACTTCTCGCCGCTGCCAGGGAGACACCCGGGCCGCCCTGCCTTTTTTTGGAAGCCCTGTCAAAAGGCAGCTGCATGTCCGGGAGGCAGCAGGCCAGGTAGTCTCCGCGGAGGAGGTGGTACAACTGATTACAAACTTGAAAAGAGGGAAAAGGTGCGGGAAAGAATTGGCTGACCAGGGAGCAGAGGTGCGCATAGACGCGGATAAGTCGGCGGGGCCCCCAGGTTTACCTTTCACGCGCCTCCCTGCATGCGGTGTGCACAGACAAGCAGGAAAAGTGGGCTCGGGCCGGTTCAGGACCTCCCGAGCTTCAGGACCTCCTGAGCTTCCCCGCCCCCACCTGCACGCTGGGACTTATCACGGCCTGGCCCTCTATCTGCAGCTTTTCCTGGATGATTCCAAAATGAAGAATTTCATCACCTGCTTCAAAGGTAATGCTGTGCCTCCCTCTCCAGCCCCTTCTTTCTCCCTTCCGGGCAGCCCCTGATGGGCTCCCCGACTCTGCCGACGGGCCCAGCGCACCAAGGAGTGGGCGTCCTGCGCTCAGGAGCCCCGCTGAGTGAGGCCAGGCGAACCTCTTACCGTCGGCGCCTGCCCTCGGTATGGTCCTGGGCCCGGAGGCCTTGGGAGCCCAGCGCGCTGAGTACACGCACCCTTCATCCCCCAGACCCGCAGTTCCTGGTCACCTTCTTCTCCCGCCTGAGACCCAACCGCAGCGGGCGCTACGAGGCCGCTTTCCCCTTCCTCTCGCCCTGCGGCAGAGAGCGCAACTTCCTGCGCTGCGAGGACCGGCCGGTGGTCTTCACGCACCTGCTGACCGCGGACCACGGGCCTCCGCGCCTCTCCTACTGCGGCGGTGGCGAGGCCCTGGCCGTGCCCTTCGAGCCGGCGCGCCTGCTGCCCCTGGCCGCCAACGGGCGCCTGTACCACCCGGCGCCGGAGCGTGCGGGCGGCGTGGGCCTGGTGCGCTCCGCCCTGGCCTTCGAGCTCAGCGCCTGCTTCGAGTACGGGCCCGGCGCGCCTGCGCTGCCCTCGCACGTGCGCTGGCAGGGCCGCCGCCTCGCCCTCACCATGGACCTGGCCCCGCTGCTGCTCGCGGCTCGGTCGCCCTGAGCGGGGCCAAGGGAAAGGCGGGAGGCCGCGGGCGCCTCTCGCCCCGCTCCCCCGGGACTCCACGCCCCGGAAAGCCCGCGCCACCCGCGCTCGCGGCAGCCTAGTGCGCCTGCGCGCTCGGCCCCGCCCCCACCCGGCGCTGTCCTTGGTGCTGCCGCGGCCCGGCCCTCCCGGACACCCCGCTCCCCACGGCGCGCGCCCCCCGCGCACCCGACTCCGGCGCCCTCCGGATTGGCCTGCGCTCGAGACGTCAGGCACTGGCGGCGGGCGCGGGGCTCTGGTGCGCGTGCGCGAGCGTCCCCCGCCCCCTCCCAGCCCGGCGACTGCTCGGGCCCGGCCGCCACCTGCACGGCGGGGGAGCCGCTCGCCGCGGGAGCGTCAGGTGAGGGGACGCCCGACCCAAGGTCACCAGGCGTGGGGGCGCTGGGGGATCGGGGACCATCCCGGCTCTGACCCTGGTGCGCTCCGAGAAGGGCGTGGGTCCTGGAGGGGGATGGGGAACGCGGAGGCCACGCCCTCCCTGAGCCCGGCCGAAAATCAACCGGCTCTCGTGGGTAGCAGAGGAGGCCGTGGGGGATACAGGCACCAGGTCGCAGCGCTGCAGAGGTGCGCAAGGGCCGCCCAAAGACCAGCTTGGGCCTCGCACTGCGCCCGAGGCAGACACAGGGCGTTCCATCCTCTTCCCTCCCCGCTCCCGCACAGAGGGGCGCCCAGGAGGCAGTGACAGTCGTCGCGGAATCCTGCGTGTGACACCCCGCCCCTGCCCAGCGGATTAGGGAGTTGTCCTCTGGTAAAAGGATTTCTGGGCTGCTTCCAGCTTGGGGCCCTCATCCCTGCCCTGGCAGGCCTTTCTACACCGATCTGCATCTAGTGGGGGGTCAGCGTGAGCAGCAGCGCCGTGAGTTCTGAGGCCAAGAACCTTCTCCACTTGAGAAGCCTTCCTGGGGGAGGCTGAGTGGGCCAGGCCTGGAGCCACGTACCAACACTTTATACCCAGGGGAATGGATCCCAAGGGCCCAGATAACGCCCCCAACTTCTTGGGGTTCACACGCGTCCTGAGACATCTGGGAACTGCCTCTGCCTGGGCCAAAGCTATTCCATTAAAACTTTATTGCTGTGCTTACTTATTTCTAGTGACTTTAAATAATCATGTGAGTTACAATTTAGGGCAAGATTTAAACACCAAGGCCACTTGGTCCTGTCCCTTTCCACATGACTCGAAAGGAGGAAGAGCTGATGGACAGGCAAATGTTTGGGGAGGCCGGCCAGATGAGGCTGGGAGACAGGACACCTGCAGCCCTGTTTTCCCTGGCTTCGGGTGGGCTGGCTGGCTTAGCCCAGATCCCTACTTTTAAAACTGGGCTCCTTGTTCCTGAAACCAGACCCCAGCCTTCCCATTTCTTTACGACAAGTACATGTATATGGTCCCCCAGCAAACTCCCTGCTCCTTGCTGATCTCAGAGGTCACACTGCTCCCAGAGCCCACTTGGGAAGCCACACCAGAAACCCAGTTGGTGGCCCAAGGCGTCCCCTGTCCCACCCCAGCTTTCCCAGGGCCCCATCTATCCCCAAAGACAGGACACCTTTCTGGGGACCGGCATGGGAAGCACAGACCCATGGCTCCTGAACCGAATTTCCTATTATTTTTCTCATCCCCCAATTCTCTGACAGGTTACCTGAGAAAAAGGCCCAATTCTAGTTAAGCTGGTCCCACCCCTAGGCCAGCAGGAGCAGGTGCTGGACAAAGCTGTGCCTTGACTTCCCTGGGGCTCGTAGCTCCTCTGAGGCCAGCTCTGCCCAGGCCCCCACAGGATAACAAGGAGGCGTGTCTGCCCAGGGCCTGCTCTCCCCCTCCTAGCCATGCTTGGGTAATGGGACCCCGGGCTTTGTCACCTAAGCAAAGTTCTCAAGCCATACCCTGTACTTCCAGCTTCTTGCACCCTAGAACCAAGCAGCAGCCACTTGCCTGGGGGTAGAGTCGGGGGCAGCAAGCGACACACATCCACGTCCTGAGCAGGAAGCTCCTGACCTGCTGGGCATGGGTGGAGAAGGAGAAGGTGACAGGGTTGGGTGGCTCTCCCTACATGGTCACATCCTGTGAAGACACTGAGGACACCAGGAATTCTAAATTTGAACCTGATGCCCCAGAGCTTTAAGAAAATGTTTTTGTCAAAGGAGAAAACCAGAACGTTTTATTAGTTTCTTGAACCTATTTATAGCGTCAAAAGTTAGACGCAGGTGCAGGCCTCCATTCCATCTATTGGCTGGCTCTCGACTGCCGAGACTGGCCTGCCAACCTGTGTTTCAGGAGGGCACGCGTCTGCGGCTGAACCGCGGAAGGGCCGGTGAGGAACCGGGCCTCGGGAGATGGCCCTGAGGGCCCCCGCACTGCTGCCGCTGCTGCTGCTACTACTGCCGCTCCGCGCCGCCGGCTGCCCAGCAGCCTGCCGCTGCTACAGCGCCACGGTGGAGTGTGGCGCCCTGCGGTTGCGCGTCGTCCCGCTGGGAATCCCGCCAGGGACGCAGGTGGGCACCGTGTGGAGCTGCGGGAGGACGGGGTGCCCCCAGGGAGAGGAAGACCCCCGCAACGGGGTAAGCGCCTCCTCTTTCCCCGGCCTGCAGACACTGTTCCTGCAGGACAACAACATCGCCCGCCTAGAGCCGGGAGCCCTGGCGCCACTCGCCGCTCTGCGCCGGCTCTACCTGCACAACAACAGCCTGCGCGCCCTGGAGGCCGGCGCCTTCCGCGCGCAGCCGCGCCTGCTGGAGCTGGCGCTCACTAGCAACCGGCTGCGCGGCTTGCGCAGCGGCGCCTTCGTAGGCCTGGCCCAGCTGCGCGTGCTCTACCTGGCGGGCAACCAGCTGGCGCGGCTGCTGGATTTCACCTTCTTGCACCTGCCGGTGAGCGCCTGGGGTCTAAAGGGGCGGGATACTCCATTATGGCCCCTCGCCCTGTAGGGCTGGAATAGTTAGAAAAGGCAACCCAGTCTAGCTTGGTAAGAAGAGAGACATGCCCCCAACCTCGGCGCCCTTTTTCCTCACGATCTGCTGTCCTTACTTCAGCGACTGCAGGAGCTTCACCTGCAAGAAAACAGCATTGAGCTGCTGGAGGACCAGGCTCTAGCGGGGCTGTCCTCCCTAGCACTGCTGGACCTCAGCAGGAACCAGCTGGGCACCATCAGCCGAGAGGCCCTGCAGCCCCTGGCCAGTCTGCAAGTCCTGCGCCTCACAGGTACCTCTTCCTCGGAAAGCGTCTCTGTCTGGGCCACGGTGTTGGCAGTAGGGAGCAGGCTCATGTGTGGAGGGGCTCTGACATCAGGCAACTGGGCAGCAGTCTGGAAGGCTGCACCACCGCCTGCAGCCACACTGGAGGGCTGCGGGAGTGGGTGTGCTGGGGAATACAGCTCAGGCACCCTGCCTGGGGAAAACAGAAGACAGGAACTCCACAGGGTGACTTAACAGAATTGAGGGTTCTGCACACTTTTAGGCTGAGGGGAGGCAGACAAAATTGCAAAGGAGAGAGACAGCTGACCAGGACTGGGGACATTCCCAAGAGAGGGCATCCAAAGGCAAGGCTGAGAGGACTTGTGAGGTTTCAGTGCTGGTGAGATGTCTATGTGGACGCCCAGGTTCCTAAAAACAGTGGCACTTGTTGCAGGAAGACTTAAGGAGCAGGTGCTTTCTCAGAGACCGACGGAGAAGTGATCTGTAACAGGCAGGCATCACAGAGCTAAAGGGGAGGGGGGCGAGGGTGAAGGGCCTGCCGCCCCAAGGAGCTTGGGGTCAAGGAAGGGGTGGCAGGGCCTTGGACTCCGTGTGAAAACGCTGTGGGAGGTGGGAAAGAGGCCTCTGTCCTGGCCTGCAAAACCCCAACTGCACAGGCTGTTTTAGCAGCACCCTCAAGCCACCTGCCTAACGCTGCTCTCCCACAGAGAACCCATGGCGCTGTGACTGCGCCCTGCACTGGCTGGGTGCCTGGATCAAGGAGGGCGGCCAGCGGCTGCTCACCTCCAGGGACAGGAAGATCATGTGTGCAGAGCCCCCGCGCCTGGCGCTCCAGAGTCTCCTGGACGTATCCCACAGCAGCCTCATCTGCATTCCGCCCTCTGTCCACGTGCAGCCGCTGGAGCTCACAGCCAACCTGGGTGAGGACCTGCGGGTTGCCTGCCAAGCCTCCGGCTACCCGCAGCCATTGGTGACCTGGAGAAAGGTGCCCCAGCCTCGCGAGGGCCGGCCGCGAGCCCAGGCCCAGCTAGAAGGCGGGTTGCTGGGCCTGGGCGGACACTCGGCATCCGACACGGGCAGCGGCATGCTCTTCCTCAGCAACATCACGCTGGCGCACGCCGGTAAGTACGAGTGCGAGGCCTCCAACGCCGGCGGCGCTGCCCGCGTGCCCTTCCGGCTCCTGGTCAACGCGTCCCGGCAGCAGCCGCAGCAGCCCGCGCAACCGCCGCCTCCGGCCGCCCGCCCCGCCGGCAGCGAGCCCCGGCCCGAGGCGGGCAGCATGGCCTTCCGCGCCCTGGGCGTGGCCACACAGACGGCCATTGCGGCGGCCATCGCGCTGCTGGCGCTCACGGCGCTGCTCCTGGTCGCCATGATCTGTCGCCGGCGCCGCAGGCGAAAAAAGGCGCGGGGGCCTCCGGGGGAGGGAGCGCTGTTCGTCAACGACTACTTGGACGGCCCCTGTACGTTCGCACAGCTAGAGGAGCTCCGCGACGAGCGCGGCCACGAGATGTTCGTCATCAACCGCTCCAAGCCGCTCTTCGCCGAGGGTCCGGCGGAGGCGCCCGCTGACTGCGGCCCGGAACAGGGGGCGGGGCCGGGACTCCGCGTGCCCCCGCCGGTCGCCTACGAGATCCACTGCTAGGGCCGCGGGCGCGCGGATGACGTGGGCGCCGGAGATTGGCCGGTGCGGCCTCGCGCATGCTCCGTCAGTAAAGGTGGAAGCCGCGCAGTGTGCGCTGAGCCGTGTGTGGGGCGCGAGCCGGGAACGTTGCACTCGGGAATCCTGGGGTAGCAATGGAAGGTGGCCGGGGAGGCCCCAACACCTCCCTTGAAGCTCTTCCGAAAAGACATCACCCCAACCTCCAGCTCTGCATGGGGGGGGTCCCTCGCTGGCCCTGGCCGGCCACAGTAGGATCTTGGGCCTCCGAAAGGTGGGAAGAGCAAGGACTGGCCGGCAGTGCCGACGGGGCTGCCCCGCGAAGGGCGGGGCGACAGGCTGGATGGCAGTTGTTGCCGGGTGGCCATGTTGGGGGTGACAGCAGAGATAAGGATAAGGGTGACCAACGTGGACAGAAAAAAAAACAGCCACAAATTCAACTTCCAGGCACATGTGTACCTTGATGACCCCCTCCAGCCCGAGCCCAGCCCAGTGGGGTGGCTGGGTGGCAGGGTAGGGAACACGTAAGAGGCGTGAGTGCCTGGGGACTCCCAGCTTCCCTGAAGCAGGCCTCTGTCCAACTTCAACCCCAGAAGCACTGAGCTCTCAGTAAAGGGAGAGGAAAGGCCCAGAGAGGCCATCATCTCTCTCAGCTCACAACTGGAATCCCAAAGCATTTGCACAAAGGACCAGGACCCCAGACGGCAGCCAAATGCAGCCAAACTGAGCAGGGCAATGGAGGCCTGACATCCAGCCCCGGGGCCCACAGATGATCAGCCAATTATGGAGCAAGTGCAGGGAAAACCGCGTGGGGCACTGCAGAAAGCAGGGGAGGCTTGAGGTGTGCCCAGAAGCAAGGTAGACCCAGCAGGAAACCAGTAACCAGTGCTTTTGTGAAGGCCTCCACCAGGGGTCCCAGCAAAGGCCCTGCCTACCTAAAGAGACTGCAGGGCGGCCTGTGTCTCACCCAGAGCTACTTCATCATAGGCTGAAGTAGTCCGCAGCCAGTCGCCCGTAGATGTCCGTGGTCCAGAGCACATGGGCACGGCCTGAGGCTAGAAGCAGCTGGTGCAACTCAGCTTCTACGCGGGCAAACTTCTCCTCATTGATGGAGGCCTCCAGCAGGACAGAGGCAGGCGGCGGCCAGGGCAAGCCCTCATAGCAGTCCACAGGGAAGGGGTGCACCACAGTACGCAGCTCAGCCTGTGCCACTGAGTCCCGCAGCAGCTCCTTGAGGCCCGCCATGGACAGTGGGTTGCCATAGAGGCCAAGGTACCGGAGACTGGCGCACTGAGTCAGGATGGGTAGTGTGGCCAACAGCTGGGTGTCTGCGAGCTGACACTCAGTCAGCTCCAGATGCAACAGTGTGGCTGCTGATGCCTGCAACAGACCCTGGAAGGGTGCCAGCTGGCTGCCAGACAGGTCGTTACCACTCAGGTCCAACTTCTTGAGGTGGGCAGCATGTGGGCTCCGTGCCAGGAAGCGTAGGTCCTCAGGCAGCAGAGCACAGAAGGCCAACTCCAGGCTCTCCAGGGGGCTCTGCAGGGTGCTACAGGGGACACAGGGGTCACAGACAGGCAGAGCCAGGGAGGGTCCCTACAGAAGGGAGGGGCAGGGCAGTGGTGGGGCCCGCTCACCTGAGCAGCTGGTCCAGCCTCCCTGAAAGGAGAGAGGAGCCCATGCTGAGCTCACGCAGACAGGTGAAGCGGCCCATCTGGGCAAGGAAGTAGCGGAAGTTGTCCTCGCCATCCACGGAGGGCTGCCTTGAATCCCCATGCACATAGTGGAGCCGCAGGCTGGCCAGGTGCTGGAAGCGGGCCACGTGTGGGATGATCACAGACAGGCCGCGCAGGCCCAGATTGTTGAAGCGCAGGTCCACGCGGCGCAGGCAGCCTGCATCCAGAAGCTGCAGCAGGGCCACAGTGTTGCGCATGGGCAGGTCCTCAGCTCGCAGGTCCCGGCAGCAGAGCCGCAGCGGGCTGCCCACGCTGCTTCGGAGTGCCTCCCGCAGGAACGCATAGGAGGCCCGGTTCACCCGCAGGTCCACGCGCACCTCCACGGGGATGGGGGCTGGCCCAGGCTCTGCGGCCCCACCCTGCTGCTGGGCAATGCATGTGCGAGCTACGGCAGCAGTACAGTCCCACATGCTCATGGTGCCAGGATCCTGTTCCACACCATCATCCAAGAGGCCCGTCATGTCCAGCACCCGCAGCGCATGCTTCCTGGGAGTAGGAATGGTGTGAGGAAGGGGTGGAGGGGCAGCGCCCATACCCCCTCCCAGCCACCTTGGGACAGGAGCAACGCGCCTGCTCCTGCATGAGCTCTTGCTAACTTTATGACCCAAGCCTCCTCAGGGGACCCACTTACACACCCCTGGCCTGACGACCCTCCAGATAAGTCCATACCTGCAGAGGGGCTGTGTGCTGGCCCCAGGCTCTGAGGTGTGGAGCCGGGCAGTCAGCCCCAGGATAACAGCCTGCATGCTCTCAGTGCTAGGCCGCTCCTGCAGGAGGGCACGGCTGCAGTGGGCACACTCCTGTAGCAGCTGCTGGAAACTGAGCAGCGGGAAGGGCCACGTGTGTACCAACTCGCGCAGTACCACTGTCTTCTTGTCCATGAAGGCCACCTTGAACAGCAGGGGGAAGAGTTCGCGTGGCAGCAAGGGCAGGGCCTGGCAGGCAGCTGGCTGGCACTGCAGCACCTGCCGTGTGCTCAAGAACACAAGCGTGTGCATGGTGCTGGGCCGGGCAGACGGCCACCTGCAGGAGAGGGACTTCAGCAGGGAGGAGAGACCCTAGGCCACTACCAAGCCACACACAAGTGGTAGGAAGGCCCAGCATAGTGCCTGAAACAAAGTCAGCAGTTAGCAGTGGCCATGGCACAGAGAAGCACCTATTAGATGCCTAGCGCTGGGCTGGGTGCAGTGAACTGGCAGACAAACTCACAACTCAGCCCCAGCCCTCCAGATGCACAGGATCTCTTTAGAGAAACTAAGCGTCAAGCAGTGTGGCATCGTCAACAACTCGCTTGCTTGGGTATGCTTTTGACAGATGCCTGTTGCCTTGCAGGGCCCCCCATGGGTACTTCAGGCCTCTCAAATTACAAAGCTGCTTCACAAAACCTTCTTCGAAACCTGAATAAAGCCCAGGACTCTCCCCACCAACCTTCATCAGCATTAGTATTGACGGGACACTCTAAGGAGTCAAGCAGCCAAATCACCTTTCCCTCCCCTCTCCTCACAGATGCTCTCCAGGGCTACACTTGGACTCCACAAAACACCAAAGAGCTGGAAGCACAGAAGCAGCTTCATAAGCAACAAGGCAGGTTGAAAAGACCGAGACCCAGGGAACACCGAGTCCAGATGATGTAGCCTATAAAATACAAGCCCCCGCAAAAGCTACTATTCTCCAGAGCGTCACCAAGCACGGAGACCCCGAAAGAAAGCAACCCTCACCTTTGTTGGCCCTTACCACTGGCCTAAACCTCTCCCTCTTCCCTGGAGAGCCACTGTGGAAAGACCAAGTCTTAAGTATGTGGGATTCAGAAGGTGCAAAGCTACAGACTGCTCAGACAAGGCAAAGAAAGCTGCCTCAGCAGCACCCAAGCTGCAGAGATGCACAAACACTCCCAAGGCCACAAGGTACCTGTGACACAGGGTGCCAGCCCTGCTGCTGCCTGTAGCATCCTCAAAACTAAATCGCAGCCATCTCCCTGTGACAGATTAGAAAATGAAGGCCTCGGCCTGGCCCAAGGTCACAGCCTGAGTGACAAGCCAGGGAAGGGGGCCGGGGAAGACACTCTGGCCCCAAGGCCCTTCTTTTTGTCGACTTTTCCACATACAAGTAAGTCCTTAAGGCACCGGTTCCTGAAAAGTCCCAGACACCAACCCTCGGCCTAGTTCTGCCGGTGGACAGATCTCAACGATCATACTCGCTCTGACAGGACAGACCAACCGAGCACTTGTCACGGGAGAACACCAAAGCAGACGGCCTGCCCACCAAGGGAGGCAGGCACCTCCGTGCGACGCCCCCTCCCCTCCCGCCGGCCGCAGGGAACGCGACGGTCCTCGGTCGCCTGCGTTTCGCGAAGACGCCCCCGCCCGGCTCCTCCGGGCCTCGAGCCGCGGGAGGCGCTGGACCCTCCGCTCTTTCGCCTCCCGAGCGGGGCCTGCTCCTCCAGGTCGGATGCGTCTCCCACCAGGGCCTGACGCCGCTCCGACCGGCCCGGGGACTCCCAGTCCTTCCCGGCCCGCGGTGGCACCTCCCAGGCTCCCGGCCTCGGCCCCGGGCTCCCAAATGCAGCCACTGCCTCCCTCGGCCAGGCCGCCCCGAGCGACCGGTGCCCCGCCCCTTGAGGCCAGGCAGGGCCAGGGGCGTGCGCCGCCCCGCTCAGACACCCCCCCGGCCGCCCGCGCTCACCGGTCCCGCAACCGCAGCCACCGCCTCCAGCCCCGCCTAGACCGTCCGCCGCTCCCCGCCCGGCGCCGCGGCGCCCCGCGATGACGTTGACGCCTCCCATTGGCTGCTTGTCCGAGGCCCGACGGACTGGCTGCCCAGGGGCGGTGGCCCCGCCCCCGGCCCGCCGCGCATCCGCATTGGCTGTCGGCCCCCGCGACGGCTGCGCGGGAGATTCGCTGGACGATCGCAAGCGCGGAGGCCGGGCGGGCGCGCGCGCCATGGAGCGGCTGCGGGACGTGCGGGAGCGGCTGCAGGCGTGGGAGCGCGCGTTCCGACGGCAGCGCGGGCGGCGACCGAGCCAGGTGCGGGCTGCCCAGGGGCCGAGGGGCTGAGGGCGCGGCCCGCGGCTGACGCGTTCCCTTTACAGGACGACGTGGAGGCGGCGCCGGAGGAGACCCGCGGTGAGCGCGCGGCGGGGCGGCGGGGGCGAGAAGACACCGGGTCGGCAGGGGCCCAGGCCCCACCCTGACCCCGCCTCCCGCTCGCCCACGCAGCGCTCTACCGGGAATACCGCACTCTGAAGCGTACCACGGGCCAGGCCGGCGGCGGGCTCCGCAGCTCCGAGTCGCTCCCCGCGGCGGCCGAAGAGGTACCCAGGCCCCGCCGCCCCAGCCTCCTCCCACTTCCCTGTTTGGCGGAGTGGCGGGAGCCACGGAGTCGCGGCCAGGCCGCCGTGGGGCACAGAACTTGGGAGGGGGACTGGGCAAAGTGAAGAAGGGCCGGGCCTCGCTCCAGGTGCGGGAGGGGTGGCTGGGAGCGCTTCTGCCGCCACAACAGCCTTTTCTGGCCTGTGCCCCTGTTGTCTCCTGCAGGCGCCAGAGCCCCGCTGCTGGGGGCCCCATCTGAATCGGGCTGCGACCAAGAGTCCACAGTCTACGCCAGGGCGGAGCCGCCAGGGCTCGGTGCCGGACTACGGGCAGCGGCTCAAGGCCAATCTGAAAGGCACCCTGCAGGTGAGGAGTGGGCAGGCAGTGAGTCCACGCTAGGTCCACAGCTGCTTCCGGTCCGGGTCGCCCTCTTGTCATTTTTTCCACACAGACAGGCACGGGCCCCTGTGCCAACCAGGGCACGAGTCTTCAGGGAGCTTCTCGGGGCCTTCGCCCTTGACTCCCTTTCTAGTCCAGCCTTGTGCTAATTAGCCTGCTCTACAATTGAGCGTGGGGACTCAGGTAGGTTTTAGAGTCTACAGTAGCTCAGGGGCCTGAGTTCCTCCTGCTGTTCTGTTGTTCCCCTCCCAGGCCGGACCAGCCCTGGGCCGCAGACCGTGGCCTCTAGGAAGAGCCTCATCTAAGGCATCCACCCCAAAGCCCCCAGGTACAGGGCCTGTCCCCTCCTTTGCAGAAAAAGTCAGTGATGAGCCTCCACAGCTCCCTGAGCCCCAGCCAAGGCCAGGCCGGCTCCAGCATCTGCAGGCATCCCTGAGCCAGCGGCTGGGCTCCCTAGATCCTGGCTGGTTACAGCGATGTCACAGTGAGGTCCCAGATTTTCTGGGGGCCCCCAAAGCCTGCAGGCCTGATCTAGGCTCAGAGGAATCACAACTTCTGATCCCTGGTGAGTCGGCTGTCCTTGGTCCTGGTGCTGGCTCCCAGGGCCCAGAGGCTTCAGCCTTCCAAGAAGTCAGCATCCGTGTGGGGAGCCCCCAGCCCAGCAGCAGTGGAGGCGAGAAGCGGAGATGGAACGAGGAGCCCTGGGAGAGCCCCGCACAGGTCCAGCAGGAGAGCAGCCAAGCTGGACCCCCATCGGAGGGGGCTGGGGCTGTAGCAGTTGAGGAAGACCCTCCAGGGGAACCTGTACAGGCACAGCCACCTCAGCCCTGCAGCAGCCCATCGAACCCCAGGTACCACGGACTCAGCCCCTCCAGTCAAGCTAGGGCTGGGAAGGCTGAGGGCACAGCCCCCCTGCACATCTTCCCTCGGCTGGCCCGCCATGACAGGGGCAATTACGTACGGCTCAACATGAAGCAGAAACACTACGTGCGGGGCCGGGCACTCCGTAGCAGGCTCCTCCGCAAGCAGGTAAGACAGCGACGGGCCAGGACAGGCATTCCCTTTCCCTCCCCTCAGCCCTCCCGTATTTCCCGCCCAGTGACCCTCCTATGTGGGCACCCCCCAGGCATGGAAGCAGAAGTGGCGGAAGAAAGGGGAGTGTTTTGGGGGTGGTGGTGCCACAGTCACAACCAAGGAGTCTTGTTTCCTGAACGAGCAGTTCGATCACTGGGCAGCCCAGTGTCCCCGGCCAGGTGAGACATCTGCCCTGGAGGGTGGGTCCGGCCAACACTGTGGAGAGGGCGCAGTGCTCTTTTGGGGGACACTTATGTTCCAAGCAACAGGCCTTCCAGGTACCCCTGGTCCAGGCCCTACCCTAGCTCCCCTGAAGGAGGGTGGCAGGGACGACGATGGCTGTCACTCTTTTCTGCTTTGGAAAAAGTAGCCCAGAGGAAGGGCACTGCCTGCTGCCAACCCCCTTTGGGGGAAGGAGAGGTTGTGGCCAGTGGTTGTCTTGCCCGACCTGGAGCTCCCATTCTACCCTCTCCTGCCTGCCCCAGCAAGTGAGGAAGACACAGATGCTGTTGGGCCTGAGCCACTGGTTCCTTCACCACAACCTGTACCTGAGGTGCCCAGCCTGGACCCCACCGTGCTGCCACTCTACTCCCTGGGGCCCTCAGGGCAGTTGGCAGGTGAGCAGTCAGCTTCTGGCCCAGAGCCTTCACTGAGGGGTTGGGGTGACTCAAGTCATGGTGATCAACATCTGTGTCTGCAGAGACGCCGGCTGAGGTGTTCCAGGCCCTGGAGCAGCTGGGGCACCAAGCCTTTCGCCCTGGGCAGGAGCGTGCAGTCATGCGGATCCTGTCTGGTGAGCGTGGCTGCCAGGGCTGAGGCTGGGCTGAGGCCAGGCTGCAGAACCCTGCTGCTGACTCCCGCCCCATCCAGGCATCTCCACGCTGCTGGTGCTGCCTACAGGTGCCGGCAAGTCCCTGTGCTACCAGCTCCCAGCGCTGCTCTACAGCCGGCGCAGCCCCTGCCTCACGTTGGTCGTCTCTCCCCTGCTGTCACTCATGGATGACCAGGTGTGCACACAGGGCCCTGGGCACACGTACACAGCCAAGAACCAGCACTTGTGACTCCCAAGGGCAACTGCTGCTTGTCCCCTAACCACCCCCTCCCCTGGGAGCTTCAAGGTGTCTGTGGCCTCAGTCCCAGTCTTGGCAGCAGGTCAAAGGCAGCCCAGCTCCACAGGCACCACAGCCACCCCTACGGGAAATGTGCTGGGAAAGGAGCCATCCCTACTTCAGTCTGTCTGCTCTGGGGCTCCTGGGCCAAGGCCCACAGGTGGCTCTAAACCCTTAGCCCTAGGACCCAGGACCTGGTTCTCCTCTCCCCTGAGGGACTAGGATGGACATGGCAGCAGCTCTGGGATGACTTGGGGAAGGGCCAGGGCTGGGCTGGCGTATGACGGCTGTCGCTCCTGCATTTGCAGGTGTCTGGCCTGCCACCGTGTCTCAAGGCGGCCTGCATACACTCGGGCATGACCAGGAAGCAACGGGAATCTGTCCTGCAGAAGGTGGGGGCCTCATGGGCCTAGGGGTGAGGGAGGCAGCGGGCGGGCACCTGGGCTGTGCCTCTGATCTTGCTGCCTTCAGATTCGGGCAGCCCAGGTACACGTGCTGATGCTGACACCTGAGGCACTGGTGGGGGCGGGAGGCCTCCCTCCAGCCGCACAGCTGCCTCCAGTTGCTTTTGCCTGCATTGATGAGGCCCACTGCCTCTCCCAGTGGTCCCACAACTTCCGGCCCTGCTACCTGCGCGTCTGCAAGGTGAGCCATATGTGAACTGGGGTGGGCGGCCAGGGCCGGGATGGGCTGGGCGGCCTCACACCACTGCCGCCTCTGGTGCAGGTGCTTCGGGAGCGCATGGGCGTGCACTGCTTCCTGGGCCTCACAGCCACAGCCACACGCCGCACTGCCAGTGACGTGGCACAGCACCTGGCTGTGGCTGAAGAGCCTGACCTCCACGGGCCAGCCCCAGTTCCCACCAACCTGCACCTTTCCGTGTCCATGGACAGGGACACAGACCAGGTGGGTGTGTGTGCTCTGGGGACCCTGCAGGGCCCTGGCTGCTGACTGCCCACGCCGACCCCTCCTCACTCCCCACCGCCCACGCCGACCCCTTCTCACTCCCCACCGCCCACGCCGACCCCTCCTCACTCCCCACGCCGACCCCTCCTCACTCCCCACTGCACACGCCGACCCCTCCTCACTCCCCACTGCCCACGCCAACCGCTCCTCATCAGGCACTGTTGACGCTGCTGCAAGGCAAACGTTTTCAAAACCTCGATTCCATTATCATTTACTGCAACCGGCGCGAGGACACAGAGCGGATCGCTGCGCTCCTCCGAACCTGCCTGCACGCAGCCTGGGTCCCAGGGTCTGGAGGTGCGGCATGGACAGAGCTGGTGTCCCCGTGGACCCACCTTGGGCACACATGGTCCCATCCCACTGACCATCTGCCTGTCTTCCCCAAAGGTCGTGCCCCCAAAACCACAGCCGAGGCCTACCACGCGGGCATGTGCAGCCGGGAACGGCGGCGGGTACAGCGAGCCTTCATGCAGGGCCAGTTGCGGGTGGTGGTGGCCACGGTGGCCTTTGGGATGGGGCTGGACCGGCCAGATGTGCGGGCTGTGCTGCATCTGGGGCTGCCCCCAAGCTTCGAGAGCTACGTGCAGGCCGTGGGCCGGGCCGGGCGTGACGGGCAGCCTGCCCACTGCCACCTCTTCCTGCAGCCCCAGGTTGGCACCCCCCCCCCCCACACTGCCAGTGCTCGAGCCCCCAGTGGTCCACCCCACCCTCATGAAAGTTGCCCTGCAGGGCGAAGACCTGCGAGAGCTGCGCAGACATGTGCACGCCGACAGCACGGACTTCCTGGCTGTGAAGAGGCTGGTACAGCGCGTGTTCCCAGCCTGCACCTGCACCTGCACCAGGCCGCCCTCGGAGCAGGAAGGGGCCGTGGGTGGGGAGAGGCCTGTGCCCAAGTACCCCCCTCAAGAGGCTGAGCAGCTTAGCCACCAAGCAGCCCCAGGACCCAGAAGGGTCTGCATGGGCCATGAGCGGGCACTCCCAATACAGCTTACCGTACAGGCTTTGGACATGCCGGAGGAGGGTGAGGAACCTGGGGTAAGCCACAGGGGTGTGGAGGGGCTGTCCCCGCGTCCGCTGAGCCCTGCTCTGCCCCCAGCCATCGAGACTTTGCTGTGCTACCTGGAGCTGCACCCACACCACTGGCTGGAGCTGCTGGCGACCACCTATACCCATTGCCGTCTGAACTGCCCTGGGGGCCCTGCCCAGCTCCAGGCCCTGGCCCACAGGTAAGCACGCCCTGCCCAGTTGGAGACGAGGTTGGAGAATCAGGGCTGTTGGCCACATGTCCCTTTTTCCCTGGGCACAGGTGTCCCCCTTTGGCTGTGTGCTTGGCCCAGCAGCTGCCTGAGGACCCAGGGCAAGGCAGCAGCTCCGTGGAGTTTGACATGGTCAAGCTGGTGGACTCCATGGGCTGGGAGCTGGCCTCTGTGCGGCGGGCTCTCTGCCAGCTGCAGTGGGACCACGAGCCCAGGACAGGTGCGCCTCTCCCCACCCCACACCGCCCTGGACGCTGCCTGCCTGCATCTGACATGCTTTCCGGCAGGTGTGCGGCGTGGGACAGGGGTGCTTGTGGAGTTCAGTGAGCTGGCCTTCCACCTTCGCAGCCCGGGGGACTTGACCGCTGAGGAGAAGGACCAGATATGTGACTTCCTCTATGGCCGTGTGCAGGCCCGGGAGCGCCAGGCCCTGGCCCGTCTGCGCAGAACCTTCCAGGCCTTTCACAGGTTGGGAGGAGGCGGGCGGGGCCTGGGACCATCCACCCTCCCGCAGTGATCAGCTCTGACAGGCTCCTCCCCACAGCGTAGCCTTCCCCAGCTGCGGGCCCTGCCTGGAGCAGCAGGATGAGGAGCGCAGCACCAGGCTCAAGGACCTGCTCGGCCGCTACTTTGAGGAAGAGGAAGGGCAGGAGCCGGGAGGCATGGAGGACGCACAGGGCCCCGAGCCAGGGCAGGCCAGAGTGAGTGCAGTAAGGCCAGGCAGCTCATCGGGGTTGCAGGTTCCCTGGGCTGCATGGGGCTTGCTCTGTGGATGCAGTGCCACGGGAGCTCAGAGGAAGCCTGATGTGCCTGTCCACACAGCTCCAGGATTGGGAGGACCAGGTCCGCTGCGACATCCGCCAGTTCCTGTCCCTGAGGCCAGAGGAGAAGTTCTCCAGCAGGGCTGTGGCCCGCATCTTCCACGGCATCGGTGAGGCCTGGGAGGCCCCACCCGCTGCAGGCTGGGGCTGGGGGCTGGGGCAGGTGAGGCCTGGGAGGCTCCACCCGCTGCAGGCTGGGGCTGGGGCTCACGGCTGTGTCTTGGCTCCACCGTAGGAAGCCCCTGCTACCCGGCCCAGGTGTACGGGCAGGACCGACGCTTCTGGAGAAAATACCTGCACCTGAGCTTCCATGCCCTGGTGGGCCTGGCCACGGAAGAGCTCCTGCAGGTGGCCCGCTGACTGCACTGCATTGGGGGATGTCGGGTAGAGCTGGGGTTGTCAGAGGCTAGGGCAGTGACTGAGGACCTGGGCAAAACCTGCCACAGGGTGTGGGAACGAGGAGGCTCCAAAATGCAGAATAAAAAATGCTCACTTTGTTTTTATGGGCCCTCTTGGCCAATGAGGCAACCCCCACAAGCTGGGGACAAGCACATCACATATTCCAGGCACAGAGACATCTGGGCCACAGGCACATGTGGCTTTATTGACCACTCCAGCCACTCAGCTCAGAGAAAGGTGCTGGGTGCTAGGTCCAGGTACAGAACGGGAAAGGCAGAGAGGATGAGCAGGAGCAAGAAGCAGGGATGTGGCCCCAACCCATCAGCCAGGCCTCCGGCCAGAGTGCCCAGCAGCAGCTTCCCCAGCAGCTCCAGCGTGGCCAGAAGGCTGTAGTGTGTGGCCTGAGGGGGGTGGGGGTCACGGTCAAGGTCAGGCCCACACAGCCCCAGCCCCGTGGTCTCTCTTGTGTCCCTGCTACATCTACTCACCTGCAGGGCCCTGGGGGCCAGCTGGCTGCAGCGCATCATCCCAGTGAAGGTGACTGTGGTGACCAGGCCTCCCAAGAAGTGCTGCAGACATAGGCTCAGCAAGGCTGACCCTGGGAGGGCAGAAGTCAGCAGTGCCCCAGGCTCCTGGCCCCTCTCTTCCTCCTCAAGGCCAGCCCCTCACCTCTCAAGATTGTGCCAGCGTCCATGCTGGCCCCCAGGGTGTCCAGGTGGAAGACCAAGGCAGTCTGACAGGCTAGGCCCCCGAGGCGGAAGCGCAGCACCGACCTCAACAGAGGCAGCAGTTTCCTGGGATGGGGGTGGGAAATGGGTCAGTATAGTGGATTGGGGGCAGCTCAGGTACAAGTGGGTGGGCAGGGTACACTGGGGAGGGCTCACCAGTGCTTGGCCAGCAAGGTCCCACCCAGGGAGGAGCCAGCGATGGAGCAGACCACAGCACCCACACCATTCCACAGTCCCAACTCGGGAGCAGAAACGCCGTGGTCCAGCAGGAGAAGAGGAAACAGGCTGCTGGCACCCTGCTCACCTTGGGTGGTGGGGGGGGCATGAGCACGGGAGGTTCCATATCTGCCCCCACCTCCCTTCTCCCCACCTGGGCCCTCAGTCCTGCCCTGCTCTCCTCAGTGTTCCAGAGCTGCAGATACTGGGGGAGAAGTGGGGCAGCCCGAGAGAGCGCTCAGGGATGGGGCTAGAGCTGGGGGCGGACAAGACACAAGGCCCAGCTGCAGAGCCCCGGATGTCAGGGCCAAGTCTTGCAGGTCATACCCCAGAAAGAGCGTGGCCCTGTAATGGGTTGCAAGCCCCTGGGGACACACCTGGAGCTGTCCCGGAAGCCCCAACTGCTGTTGCCTGGCTCGAGGCCTCACTCACCCAGCTTGTAGGTGAGCACAAAGCCTGCCGTCCACACGGTCCCCGGCACGGCTAGCACGTCCCGCAGAAGGTGCGCGGTGTGGGGACGCTGCTCGGAAGGGGGCTGCTGTGGGAGCCGCCGCAGGGCTGGTGCAGCCCAGGCCAGGGCCGCGGCCAGCCAGTAGGTGGCAGCCAGGAGCAGAAAGAGTTGCGGCCACGAGAAGGTGGGCAGCAGCGCCAGCAGCGCGCCCCCAGCTAGCGCGGCCCCCAGCTTGTACGCGACCACCTGCACGGTATTGCCCGGCCCCAGTTCGGCCGGCTCCAGCAGCTGCACAGCCAGCGCGTCCAGGGCCACATCCTGCATGGCGGCACCCAGGTTCAACAACAGCAGCAACCCCGCCACAGCGGCGGGCAGCCCGGCCTGGCCAGCTCCAGGAGGGGGCAGCCCGGCAAGCAGCCCACACACCAGGCCCAGGCCCGCCGTGCTGCGCGTCACCCAGGCCCTCGCCGAGCCCTGCGCGTCCACCAGCGGGGCCCAAGCCAGCTTGAGCAGCCACGGAGCGTACAGAACCTTGGCCAGCCCCACGCGCGTCAGCGAGAGGCCGCCGGCACGCAGCAGCACTGGCAGGAGGCCGGACTGGAGCCCGTAGGGCAGGCCCTGCACCAGGTAGAGGCCGGCCAGCGGCAGCAACTTCCCGCGCATGGCGGCTCAGGCCGGCTGCGAGGCTGGGAGGTCGGGTTCCAGGTGGGGTCCCGCAAGGCGAGGTCCCCTCCGCGTGGGGTCAGAGGCCACACCCCGGCATGGCTTTGGTTCTGGGACCGGGCAGAGTCAGCGTCGTACAGGCTAGGGTCTGGACACGTGCTCTCGGGCTTTAGGAGCATCAACACCCCAGAAGAACCGAAGTCGGGTCCAAACGGGGGCGAGCGGTCCGGACACCGGCGGCCGGCGGCTCCCGGCATGCTCTGCGCGGCCGCAGGGAAGGGGGCGGGGCCACTGCCTCCCGGGGCTCCCACCATGCTCTGCGATACCGCAGGTGAGGGGAGCGGGGCCACTGCCTCCCGCGGCTCCCAGCATGCTCTGCGAGGCCGCAGGTAAAGAGGGCGGGGCCGCTGCCTCCCGGGGCCCTCGGCCCGCGCCCAGCACTGCCGGCCGGGCCGGACTCTCAGCAGTTTCTCGGCCCCCTGGAGCCACAGAGCGGAGCACGGACCACACGGCGTCGCTGGAGCCCCGCGGCCACCGGCTCCAGGGCCGGAAGGTCGCGCGGGCCACAGAGACCGCAACGGGCCAGAGCGTCAGCTCGCGGGCGCCCCCGGTGGCCAGTCCGGGCTCGGGCCCGCGGCCCCCCGCCCCGCCACGTGCGCGCTCCCACCGAGGTCCTGCGCGGGTGAGAGGCCCAGAGGGGGAAGCTACAGAGCTGGGCCGGCCTCGAATGTAAGGATCGGCCTGCGCCCACGGCCAGCCCTGGCCCCTCTCAGTAGTTTCGGATCCGCTCCAGGCGTGCTTCCTTCCTGGTGTCAGCCGAAGCGTGGTTGCTGCAGTGCCCAGCCCCCGCTTCTCCAGCCGCCCGCATGAAGGCGTCCGTTTCTTAAGGGTTCCGCCGTCTACCACTGGATACTTCCGGTGCGGACCCCAACCTTGCTGTGTCTGTGGCTTCAGCTCCTCCGTAAGGCGGTGACAGAGCCATGGAAGTTAGGAGGGAAGTGTGAAAGGTCAGGACCCAGCTTAGCTCAGAAGGACACCGCCAGCCACTGCCCGTGACGCCCTTCGGTGTCCGGTGACAAGGCTAGGAGCACCCTGCCTGATTCGAGCCCGCCCTGCCAAGGGAGGGGCCCACCTGCTGTGTCTCCTGCCCAGAGCTGTGCCCTCTGGGGCTCCCGAGGGCCAGATGAGGCTGTGAAGTGTGTGTGGCCTGTGGTTAAGAACCATCTCCAGAGCGAAAAAAACCAGGTGCCCTTGGCCAGTCCTATCTCCCAAGTTTGTGAGTCTCTAAAGCCAGCCCTGTCCTTGGCGGACTTGAGGGCACTGGACCCAACGCATTTTTCTGGCTGCCGAGGCCTCTGAGGGGGTTTCTTGTCAGCTCAGCAGGTTTTTGGGTTGCAGGTTTCCACGTCTATCAAATGGGGACTATCATGCCTACTTCAGAAGAGCATCTGTGCAGATTGAGTGACCCCCCAGCAGTGTCTGCATGTAGTAGGTGCTCAGCCATGCTCCCCAGGCCAGGACACAGCGCTGCCCACTCCCGCTCAGCCCAGCCCCTGCCTCCTCCAGCCCCAGCCCTCCCCTGGGACGCTCCCTTATCCTCTCCCTCTGCCTCCCACTCCACCCAGCCGAAGGACTGCACCACACAATGACACCAAAGGTGGTCTCTGGCCCCCCAGACAGTGGCCCCACCCCTGCTTCCTTGGGTAAGAGAACCAAGACTTCCTTCCTGAGCTGTCAGTCACCCTGACCAGCCAGCACCATGCTGGTTTAGTATTTCCCCCTGCCCCAGGGAAGACATGGACCTCACAGGAAAGGGAGCCAGGAAGGAGGCAGTTCACTGTGCCTTCCTCAGGAAAGGCTGTGTTTCTTCGGGTGGCCACCTGGGCCCCTGGCTCCCTAGATTCTTGGGGGCTTCCACAAAGGGGTGTGGGGCCTGCGCTTTCCTCACACTCTGGACCCTCTCAACCCATTTCTGTGTGATCTGACGGGCTCTGCCCCACAACCAGAGGCCAGAGGGAAGACCCAGCCTATGGTGGGCACGGGGTCTTCAGGAGGAAGAGGTGGGTGGTGGCCGTGGAAGGTCCCTTCTCTGAAGGGACTCAGGCCTGCAAGAAGGGTAGGCAGGTGGGAGCGGGCCACGCAGCTGCCAACGCTTCCTCCCTGGAGTCAGACTGCCACACAGCTTTATTAGGGACCTGCAGAGAGGCAGGGGCCCAGCACCCCCCCCACCCCACCCCGCCAGGCATCAAGAGCAAGTACAGTGGGCTCCAGAGCCTCCCAGGGCTCCTGAGCACACAGTCCAGGGCGACCCAGCCTGGCCCCAGCTGGGGTGCTCAGGAGTACTCGAGGGTGAACTTGGCATGGAACCTGCTCAGCTTCTCCAGCAGCAGCCGCAGTTTCTCCAAGGGGGGCAGAATGGTCATCCTGAAAGGAGTTGACAGTGAGTGAAGGGCCAGGGTGGCGGGACAGGGAGTGAGGGCCAGGCCTCACCGGAAGTGGTAGGTGCCTTCCCGCTGCCCAAAGCCGCTCCCTGGCACCACGCAGATGCCGGTCTCCTCCAGGAGGCGCAGGCAGAAGAACATATCGGGGGCCAGGCCCAGCTCCTGTGGACGGAGAGCCGTCAGAGAGGGATGCCCGGCCCCCCCTGCCCACCCCGCAGGCCCCGCCCCCGCCTGACCTGAGCGCGCTCCACCGCCCGCGGGGGCAGCTGCACGCGCGGGAAGGAGTACATGGCGCCCTGCACTGGGTTGCAGCTGATGCCAGGAGCCTCATTGAAGACCTGCTCGGTGAGCTTGGCCTTGGCCGCCAGCTCTGCCAGCACTGCCTGCTTCTCCTGTGGCCGCGGAGGGAGGGCCCATCAGGGCACGGCACTCGGCATCCCCCACCCCTGATTAGGTCACCTGGACCCCCTCCTGCCCCCAACTCACAGCCTGGAACTGCGCAAAGGAGGGGTCGGTGGGCGCGGGCGGGCTGACCACCAGGTCCAGCAGGGCCTGTCCTGGCACCGGCGGGCACAGCCGCACACTCATCAGCTTCAGCATCTGCTGCTGCACTGCAGCGTCCATGTTCACCACCTCCACATAGCCGCCGCGGAACCCGCACCTGCGCACGGCCAGGTCAGGTGCGGAGGAGGGGGTGGCCCATCGGGCGAGGAGGGCCTGGCCATGGCCCGCGAGCCCCCACCCGCCTCGTACGCACGCACTCGCCCATGTAGCCCTTGGAGGTGGAGTGGAAGGAGGCAAGCTCCTGCTGCCCGGCGTAGGGCGGCCCCATCTCCATGAGCACCTTCTTGAATGAGTGGAACTGCGAACCCGCGGCGTACACGTTGTCCTGGTACACCTGGAAGGGCGCAAGGCGTCACGGGGGCGGACTGTTGCCCGGCTTCCCGCTCCCCCGCGCCGCGCACCTCGTCCGCCAGCAGAAAGAGCCGCTCTTCGAAGGCGAAGCGGATCACGGCCTCGATGCACTCGCGGGTCTGCACCTGCCCTGGGGTGCCGGGGAGGCAGCAGTGCTGGGTGAGCCAAGGGGGCGCACTGCCCTCCGCTGGGCAGCCGGGGTCCAGCGGACCCGGCACTGCCTGGGCCAGGGCGCACGTGGGTGCGGGAGGAGTGGGGCGGGGCGGCGGGGAACGCACCGTGGGCGCGGAGGGAGTGGGGCGGGGCGGCGGGGAACGCACCGTGGGCGCGGGGGGAGTGGGGCGGGGCGGCGGGGAACGCACCGTGGGCGCGGGGGGAGTGGGGCGGGGCGGCGGGGAACGCACCGTGGGCGCGGGGGGAGTGGGGCGGGGCGGCGGGGAACGCAACGTGGGCGCGGGGGGAGTGGGGCGGGGCGGCGGGGAACGCACCGGTGGGGTTGCCAGGGTTGATGACACAGAGCGCACGAGGGCGGCAGTGGTCACGCGCCTGGCCCAGTGCACGGTGAAGCTCGGCCACGTCCAGCGCCCAGGCACGCTCCTCGTCCAGGTAGTAATCCACCTGCACTGCGCCCAGCTCTGCCAGCGTGGCCGAGTAGAGTGGGTACTGGGGGATGGGGATGAGCACACCCGTGCGTGTGTGGCCCTCGCCGGCCACCAGCAGCTTCAGCACCGTCTGCGGAAAGGAAGGGGAAGGCAGGGTTGGCGAGGCCTGGGGCCGCACCTGTCCCCCACCCTGGGCGCCCCCTCTGCAGTGTCAGGAATGTCTTGGTGCCCATGCCCAGCCTACCACGATGGCATCGCTGGCCCCTGTGGACAGGAAGACGTTGTTGGGGTCCGCAGGGATGCCTCCGTCACGCCTCTCAATGTACCGCGCCACGTCCTCCCGGATCAGCTGGATGCCGGAGCTGACGCTGTAGGCCCCTGGACTCGGGCAGGACAGGATGGGAAGTACAGGTGAAGTTCTCCTCAGCCCTCCCAAGGGACTTCCCTCCTCCAGTGGCAGGGCGGCCCTCTGCTTCCTCCTGGCCCTGGCTCTCACCCAGACTGTGGCCCCCACACGCCTGCAAGATGCGCTCCGCCCTTTTCTTGGCATCGTCAGGGAAGTTGGGGCTGCTCAGAAGATCAGGGTTAACACAGAGGGCCAAGACCTGGGAAGACGGAGTGCTGAGGCCAGGGCACATGGGCTGGGGGTGGGGGGGTGCTCCGGGCAGTGCAGGAGCCTCACCTGGCGCAGGAAGGTGATGGGCCTCTGCCCCATAGCCTGTGCGTCCCCGATGTTGGCACGGATGACCTCGGTGAAAGGCTTCTTCACACCCTGGGAGGGGAGGGGAGCAGGCAGGGAGACTGTGCCCTACCTAACCCCTCAGCCCTTGTCCCATGTGCCAGTGGGGCTGGGGCCAACTCGGCCACCCCATTGTGACCTGGAGGGCAGCGAGGGGCCCTGGGCCATACCTGGCGCAGCTCCTGCTCCAGCTCCAAGGCTCGCTGCACTATGGGGCCACGCACTGCGTACTCCACTCTCCGCACACGCGGGTTCATGCCGTCCAGCGTCAGCACCTTCGCCCTCAGTCCATGCCTCACCGCCTGGCTCCGGTCACCTGTGCTCGAGGCCATGACTCTACCCAGACCAGGCGGGAAGGCAGCTCAGGAGGTGGCAGGACCAGAAGTGGGAATGGCGACAGCTGGGTCTGGCTTAGTGGGCCAGGGCTGGGAGGGGGCAGCCGTAGCAGAGGGAACTCCAGGCAAGAGAGCACCCTCTTCACCGCAGCTGGCCTCACTGGGAGGGACAGAAAGGGCTGAAGGAGCTGGGGACAGTTGGGCCCCGCCCCACCCGTCTGGGAACAGCTCTGCCCCAGGGAGGCAGAGGCAGTGGGTGAGGTGGCAGGCGGGGCTTGGGGCAAGGCCCAGTGCCTGCCTAGTGTCCCCACGAAGGGAGAGCAGGAGACCCACATGGGGGGTAGGTACAGACGTCAGTCCGGACAGCTCTGAGGGACTAGACATGGGGGGAGGGGGAGAGGGCTGAGCACCTGGGGTGCTCAGGAGGTGAAGGGGTGCCCAGCAGCCCTGAGGGGCTGGCAGAGCTGGCAAGGAGGGACCCCCGAGGCGAGACTGGAGCCTGGGCTGCTGGGATTTACCCCAGCAGGGCTTGGCCGAGGCCTGGCCCTCGTGGCACCCGCATCTTTGCTTGGGCCAGCGGACCTGTCTCCTATTAACTGAGCCAGGCCTCAGGAATCCAGGGGGTGCTGGGGGGAGGGGAGGGGTGTTCAGGCTCTGGGTTCCATCTGGACCCTCCAGAGCTGGCAGCTATGGCCCAGAGGCTGCAAGAGCTCTGTAGCTGGACCTTGGTCCCTGATGAGCACTGCGAGGGGCTGGGGGAGGGGGCTGGAGCCAGGCAGTCCAGCCCTGAGCCCTGGGACAGCTCACACCGTGGCTGCTGTCATGCCCTTTCACCAGGCACCAGCTGGGGGTTGCCCTTGGGACACACCCGAGGCTAGGGGTGACCTGAGCTCTCCAGCCCTCTTGTTCCCGATTGGAGGAGAGAGTAGGAAACGAGCTGGGATAGGCCGTCAGAGCCCCACCTCCACAGGCCTGCTGAGCTGAAAGGCCAGGCTCCACGCTGGCCCACCCCAGCGTCGGGCACCGAAACCTGAACCATGGGGGTCAGGGAGCCGGCCCTCTGAGCAGGGCTGTGGGCAACCAGCCAGGCCCAAGTCGGACCTTGGCTCCTCTGATCCTGCTGGCTGGGAGAAAAGCCATCGGGAGCCCTGGACAGCCGGCCCCCAGGCCTCTCACCGTGCACGTCTCTGTTCCGCTGCCACAACAGCCTCCCCGTGCGCAGGCCTGCCCCTCTGGCCCCCAGGCCGGGGCACAGGTTAACATGGGCCTGGCCCCAGGCAGAGCCAGCCCCTGCCCGCCCCCTGGCAAGGGAGTCCAAGTGGCAGCCCTGGTGGCAGGTGGACCTTGGGCAGCTGCCCCACCCCCCACACTAAATTTAACCAGCAGCCAGCCCTGGCCCGCCCACAGCCCTGTGAGGACACCCTTCCAACCAGGGATGCTAGGGGAAGGGCAGGCCCAAAGGACACTGGGCTGACGGGCCCGTGCTGAGCCAGGAGGGAGAACAGCCCAAACCCACACCACCCAGCACTGGTGGCCACACAAAGCCGCCCACCATGAACAGACGAACCAGCGGTGCCCTCAGCCCTCCTGCTTGAGGCCCCTAAGGGGCCCCCTCACCCTGACACATTGTGCCAAGCCAGCTCAGAGCCAGAGTGGCCAACTGCGTGTCCCCTATGCCAGCCCAGGCGGAAGCTGGCAGCCAGGCCCCAGGATTAAGGCTGCGTGCCAGGAACTGGGGACCCACAACCCCCCCAGGGAGCTTCTGACACAGCCTTGTGCTTGTTTTGCCCCTCTGGCTCTGACACAAGAGTCTTGTGGAAAACACCACCTCCCTTTCCAAGCCATGGTCCCTGGGACCCCCACCTTCCGCCCCTCAGCACAGACACCCTAGGCCCTGGCCCCCATGGAGGCTCCTTCAAAGCACCTGGCTCCTCTCAGGAGAGCAAAGGGTTACGGAGGAGGCTCCAGGAGGCTGAGCATGGGAGGGAGTGGGTGAGGCCCAGGCTTCCAGCCCAGTGGCTGTGAGCCTCACTCCCACACAGCCAGGGCTGCCACATGCCCCAGCGCGCACCTACAGGCTTTCATGCTCACAGGCACGGGTGGCACCCCAGCCAAACAGCACAACCCACTCCCCACTGTGGGACAGCGACCCAGCTGAGACACACAACACACAACGAGGCTCCATGGCAAAACAGCCCTTTATCAAGAGTTGCAGGATAAAAATAGTCTTTGCAGCCAGACATCCCTCCAGGCATGTCTTCTGACCTGAGAGGGGCCAGTGTCCTGTACAGTAGAAGCCGGGGTTTCCGTGCTGCACCCGCAGCACCAGGGCACGCACCGTGGGGAGGCAGCCTTGGGCTGTGCCCGCGACAGGGCCCCTGCATGCTGAGCAACAGCCTCACATGAGCAGGCAGCACGGCCTCCTCTCCACGGGAGCCTCCACCGCCGGGGCTGTGAGCTTGAGCAGGGGTGGGTCCCCGCCTGCCCTGAAGCCACAGTCAGGCTGGGGGGTCACCGTGTCACCAGGCAGGCCAGGCTCAGCTGTCTCAGGGCTCTCGGGCCCCTCAGGTGGGGGTCGCTGCAGCTTGGCAGCAGCTCGCTGGCGCTTCAGGTCAGCCAGGGTGTGGTGGGCCTTGTCGTGGACCAGGGTGTGGGGGGTGGTGCTGTCCAGGGGGCTCAGCTGGTAGGAGACACTCCGGTCTAGTCGCTTGGAGTATAGATGCCGCACTGGGGAGCCCCCTACTCGGCCATTGTGCGGCCTGACCACTTCGGGGTTGTCCTCCTGCGGGCAGTGAAGGTCCCAGAGCCATCAGGAGGCTCCTCCCCCCTCCCTGGCCTTGGGTTCAGGCTGTATGGTCATGAAGGGACAGACAGGAGAGATGGGGCAAAAGCTGGCCCCTGCAGGGCACCATTCCTGACACAGGCAGGAGGGGGTCCAAGCGGAGAGAGAACCAGGGCAGAGCCAGGCCCACCCCTGCGCTGGGCGGAGCAGGGACGGGGCGCTCACCTCCGGGGGCGGCGGCCTGAGCTCTGCGCCTGTCTGGCGGTCATCGTTGTCCTCGGGCGGCTCCGGGCTGGTGGGCGGCGGCTGTTGCCACACGATGGCCTCCTGGGCGTGCTGCTTGCGGTACAGGTCGGTGCGCTGGGTTAGGCTCACCCGCCTCACCACCTTCCTGGGGAGGAGAGAGGAGAGGGAGTGAGGGGAAGGGGAGTGCCCGGAGGACCCCGCCCACCCCCTCGGACTCTGCCCCCAGTTCGGCTGGCACTCCGCCCGGGGCTGACGTCCGCGGGGCCAAGCCCGGGGCGGGGCCTGCTGGGGGCGGCGCTCACCCGCGGCTGCCGGCGCTGGAGGTGCGGCGGCGCAGCAAGGAGCGCTGGCGGCTCTGGGCGCGCAGGAGGGCGTCGTGCTTGTGCTTCAGCTCCAGCAGCTTGGCCCGCACCTCCTCGTCCCCGCACACATCTGAGAAGTGGGCGCAGGCGTCAGGGGCGCCCTCCCCGCCTGTCCTCTCCCCCAGGTGGAGGTGGGCCCCGCAAGCTCACCAAGGGGCGTCTCGTCCATCAGGGACTTTGCGTTCAGGTCGGCCCCGTGCGCCACGAGCAGCTCCACCAGGGGCACCTGTGGACGGCAGGCCGGAGCTGCAGACTGCTGCGCTGGAAGCCCCCTCCCACCTGCTCCCGCCCGCACTCACCTGGCCCCAGTAGGCCGCGGCGTGCAGCGGCTCCCAGCCGTCTTGGTCCTTAGCGCTCAGGCTGGCTCGGTGTTCCAGCAGCAGGGCAGCCGCCTCGCTGAACCCGTTGGCGGCTGCGACGTGCAGCTGCAGGCAAGCGCCCGGCCTGAATTCGGCCCCATCCCCCACCTCCAAGTAGCGAGGCCCCCAGCCCCGTGTGCCCCTCACCCCCCAGCCCTCACCAGCGTGGCCCCGTGGTCCAGGGGGGCATGGAGGTCTGCCCCGGCCTGCAGCCGGCTCCGGATGTCGTCCAGCATGCGCAGTTCTGGCACGGCCCGGGCGGCCTCGATGCTGTCCTGGGTGATGCCTGCGAGGCGGCAGGCTCAGAGGGAGCGCGACCGGCAGCCCTCCCACAGCCGCACCGCCGCACCTACCACGGTCGGCCATGGCAGTCTCCAGGCAGTCCAGCGTCTGCTCATCATCACACAGGTCATAGGGCATGTTCCCGTCGGTGTTGACCGCCAGGAGATTGGCGCCACTGCAGGGAAGACGGACGGGGTGCTGGGCACAAGGCCCTTCCCCGCTTGCCAGGCTCCTCACTTGGAGAAGTCCCCGCCAGGGCCCCTCAGCCCAGGGCTGCCCCTCAGGAGGCACCCTGTCCACCTGCTGCTGGGAGAGGCAGCCTTGGGGCCCATCGGCTGTCCTAGATCCTGTCATTAAGCCAGACAGGCCTCCTGCAGTCTCTATCCATCCAGGGATCCAGGTTCCTGGCACCTCCAGGGGCAGCGGTGCCCCCATAAACATGCATTGGATGGGCCTGCCTGCTGGGGAGCAGGGAGCACAGGGTGGCGGGGGTGCAGGACCAGGCAGCCACGCTGAGGGGCTGCTGAGCTGTGGGGAGCATGGCCCCAGGGAAGAAGGGCGGTGAAGGGGAGCCCAGAACACAGAAGGGGGTGTCTGTGTGCAGTGGAGGAGCAGGCCTACCTGTGGACACCCCACATCCCCGCCTGCCCCGCAGCGCCTGTGTGTGACGCGACCGCCATGCACACCCCACCCGGCCTCACAGGGGCACTCGAGAATGACCGCAGCCCTGACCTCTCTCCCACTACAGATGCCTGGAGCAAAGGGGAAGGGAGGAGGCTCATGGACCCTCCCTGCTCAGAGTTCCCCCCGCTCTACGTCCCTCTGTGTTAAAGGTAAAGGCCCTACCTGTGCTCAGGTACCCTCTCCTCCCAAGCCACCTGGCCTCCTCACTCTGCTTCCCTCCTTAGCAGTTCTGCCCTCCTCACTGACCAAGACATTTCTCTGTGCACACTCTGGGGGGGGGCCCGAGGCCTGCCCTCTCGGCAGGAGGACGAATGCTGGGGAGGCAGGGACCGCGCTGCCCTGGGCACATGCCCATTCCCCTGGAGCCCCAGGCCCTGCTCTCCATGCCAGGACACAGGCAGGGTCAGCAAAGGTGAAGGCGGGAACACAGGAGGCCGAGAGCCACAGATACTGCCCAAGAGGAGCCTCCTGAGCGGCCATCTGAGAGGAAGCCTCTCCCTGCCAAGGACGCCCAACAGGCCCTACCTGGCGATGAGCAGCTCCACCAGGTGCAGGTGGCCGCAGGTGGCCGCAGCATGCAGAGGCGTCCAGCACTCACTGTCACAGGCATTGATGTTGGCCCCAGCCTCCAGGAGCTGCTGCACCATCTCTCGGAAATCATCAATGCAGCACTGCAAACCGTGCCACGTGAGCGACCAGAGCACGGGGGCCAGCCCCCACCCTGCCCACACCCAGTGCAGGCTGACCTGGTGCAGGGCCGTCAGGCCGTCCTCGTTGGCCAAGTCAGGGCTGACCCCACTCCCAAGGAACTGGCGGACTGCAAAAAGGTGGCGAGGTGAGGACAGGGTCCTGCCCCTGGTCAGGTCCTGTCAACTGTGCTTCGGCCCAGGACCCAGGGAAGGACAAGGAAGACAGTGGTGCCGATGGCAGGAGGCACACCAGAGCCCAGGGGTGGGGGCAGAAGCACCAGGCATCTGTCTGGCCCAGGCCGGTCACACTCCCAGAAGCCCTCTGCCTCCACCCACCTGCAGGCCCTTCATGGTGGTGCTCCAGCCCTCCGACCCCCAGAACAGGCCGTGCTCCTGTGTGAGAGCAGCACTCCAACAATCCCACACCTCCCTCCAGCCCAGGAAGAGCTCCCTGCCTGGAGGCTACCACAGCTCCTTCGGCTCTTCCCTGACAACCTGCCAGCCCTGTGTTCATGAGCTCTCCTGGGTCCTCTGGGACCTGACCTGAGGCTCCCCACCACCAGAGCACATCCCTGCTCTCACTCCCCTCCCCATCAAAGATCCCAACTCGGGCCCAGCTCTCGCCCAGGTCACCAGGGTTCTCCCTGACGGTGCCTGGGGTGCAGCAGGAGGGCTCCCACCTTCCCACAGCTCCCTGTGGACCATGGCACCCTCCGCCTCTTCCCTCTGCCTCCAGGCCTCCCGGGAGGGCTCCTGTCCACATGGAAAGATGCAGGCCAGACACTGCCGGCTCCTCTTTACTCTCTGCTCCGGAGGGAGGCAGGAAGGAGTCTCAAGGGCCACCACAGTGCCTCTTCCCCCAAGACTCCAGAGCACCAGAAGTGGAACCCACACAGCTGGGGCTGCAAGCGTGGGGCACAGGTGAGGAGAAGAGAGTCACAAGCAGAGCCTAGGGCAGGCACTGAGAGGGGGCCACCTGCATAGCTCTGTGCCTGCCCAGGGCCTGGCTCTCTCACCCACAGAGGTGGCTGGTCCCACCCTATTTCACGGAGGTGGAGACCAGGGCTCTCCTGAGCAGCCTAACAAGAAGCAGCAATGACTACCGGCCACCCCTGCTCCCGTGGGGCCCCGCACTAGGTTTTTCTGCAGGCTCCTGGGGGTCCACTCATGGCCTCAGCTCACCTCACAGCAGGAGCCCTCTGCATGCAGCCCCCGCCTGAAGGACGGCTGTCCCGCACAGGCTCACCTCAGGGCTGCCCACTGCTTGGGGCTTGCCTGATGGGGGCACCCTGGGCCACCCAGCCTGAAGAGACCAGGCAAGATCTGGGGGCTGGAGCCCAGGAGCTGTGGACAGGCCCAGCCCCCAGCCTTGGCATGAGACGGCACCCAGGTAGCAGGGAGTGGGCCGTCTGCTGGGAGCTGCTCTGGGCTCAGCCACACTCACCTTCTTCCAGGTCATTTCGGGCAGCGGCCTCCAGAAGGACAACACTGGGAGGGAAGAGGACCTGCTTCAGGAGCCCTTGGCTGGCTGCCTCCTTCCGGGGACGCTCCCCAGGACCCTTCTTGCCCTGGGCCTCCTTCTCAGCCTGGGCCCACATCTTCACCTGCTGGGCGCGCCGCTTCTGGGCATGCTTCAGCCGCTCCTGTGTGCTCATCCTGCCCACCATGGGCATCTCTGCCAGCAGCTCCAGGTGCTCGGCCATGGCGGCGGCTGCTTGCCCACAGGGCTGCTCGGGGCACCAGAGTGGGGAGCTTGGGGGCCAGGCTGGGCCTGAGGGGTGGGGCAGCTAGCTGGACTGGCACCCTCGGGGGCATCCCCTTCCCAGAGCTTCGTGCCCTTGGCTGGGTCAGGAGGCCCCACACAATAACCAGGCCCAGGCAGCCCTGGGGGGCATGGGCCGGGGCAGGGAGGGCAGTGTGGGAGGGCACCCCAAACCTGCTCCCCAGGCCAGCCTCTAGCTGTCGACAAGCAGCGCCTCGCCTCCCTCTCGGGGTCAGGGTGCACAACCTATGGGAGGCAGCCCCGAGACCTGGCCGGCCTCAGTGCAGGGTCTGAAACTAATTACCCAGATAACAAGGTTCCAGCTTCCGGGCACCCTGCTGAGGGGGAAGGGAGGGCAGGGCCAACCAGCAGTGAGAGCCCCTGTGAGCCCCTGAGAGTCCTCTTTTCACCTTCTAGGCTCAGGAGCCTGGGTGGGGCCTGGGAGCAGCCATGACCCAGCCCCCAACCCCTCCCAGCTGTGTGCCGAGGTCAGTGCATCAGTACTAACGAGGAGGTGCAGCCGCTGAGGCTGGGGGAGGGCAGGTAGTCAGAGTCCTGGAGTCCTGGCCCCAGGGCCCAGGGGTGAGGCTCTCTAGGCAGCCAGGGCACCAAGGGCACAGGCGGGCCGGCCGCAGTGTCTTCAGGAGCACCTCCTCTTCCAGCAGCTGCTCACACCTGAGAAGTGGGGAACAAGGAAGCATATCAAGGCCGGCTTGAGGCAGGGTGGCCCGGGGGAGCCCCTGCCCTGGGCCTCAGGTGAGACCAGGCTTCCAGCTGTCTCAGGTCCTGCCCTGTGTGAGGCCCACCCTTTGTCCACAGAGAGCACTGCAGGTCAACAGTCCTGGGGGTACGGGGAGCTACTCTGCCCCCATTCTGCCCCAGGTTCAGAGAGGGGCGGGGGAAAGGCATGTCAGGCTCCTCCCACCCACCCTTTCCAGAAAGGGCCGCCCACCCCAGCGAGGCGTTCCCTGCTAGGCTGCTCCTCCAGGGCCAGGCGCTGCCCTAAGGCTGGGCAGGGTGAGGTCTCGTGGAACAGCCTTGAGGGCTTTGCAGGCTACTGCCTTCCAAGGGCAGGCCCCGCCTCCTGGGCCTCCACCTCTCCTGCCTTCCAAGGGTAGGCCCCGCCTCCTCCTGTCCTGACTGATACCCCAGCCTCTCACTGCCCAGTCTCTAGACCTCTTCCTTGATGGGCTCCCACAATGCCTCTGCCATCCTAGGCTGCAATAAAAGCCCCCACCTGGTGCCTGGCTTGAGGCCTATGGGGACAGACAGGCAGGCAGACAGCTTCGGCTGGGGCACAACCCTGCCTATGTACCTGCTATGGCCCTAGTCCTGCCCGACACACTAAGTGTGGTTGCTGGGCTGGCCACAGGCCTCACCTCAGAAGGCACTCTGTGCTTGGCCAGGCGCGGTGGCTCAGGCCTGTAATCCCAGCACTTTGGGAGGCCAAGGCGGGTGGATCACGAGGTCAGGAGATCGAGACCATCCTAGCTAACAGGGTGAAACCCCATCTCTGCTAAAAATACAAAAAAAATAGCTGGGCGTGGTGGCACGTGCCTGTAGTCCCAGCTACTCGGGAGGCTGAGGCAGGAGAATGGCGTGAACCAGGGAGGCAGAGCTTGCAATGAGCCAAGATCACGCCACTGCACTCCAGCCTGGGTGACAGAGCGAGACTCCGAGAAAGAAAGAAAGGAAGAAAGAAAAGAAAGAAGGCACTCCGTGCTCTGCAGAAGATGCCTGCCAGGAGTCCTATTCTCCACCCAGCCAGGCCTCATGGCCATCTACACACTGACCCAACTCTTCACTGCTGGACTTCTACCCAGGTGTTTCATAGAATGCCCCCTTCTTTCAGAAAGGGAACTGTCCTGGGCCAGGTCAAATTAAGCCAGTCAGGTCCTTCCTGCTCAGGGGCCCCCAATTTATCTGGGAGCCCCACTTTACAGGTTCAGCCTACTCTAGACATAGTCCCCCCCTGTAGGCCTAGCCTCAGAGGCTTCCTGAGGACACGGCCAATAAGGCCAGTGGCCCTGACCTGGCTTTCTGCCTGCCAAGTAAAGAGCTTTTCCAGGCAGTAACTCTCCCTCCGAGCAGCCTGCTCCTAAGCCTGGCCAGCTCTGTAGACCGCAGAGGCCAGGGCAAGCACACACTGGCCAGACACCCTGCCCAGGCTCCCAAGTCCTCCCCTTGCCCTCTAGAGACACAGCATGGGTACCAGAGAGGCAGGAGAGCCAGTCTTGCAGGCATGCTGCCAGGTCCGCATCCATGAGGACAGAGGAGGCAGACCACACCTGGCATGCCAGAGCCCTCCCTCCCTGCCAGCCACTCACAGCCCACACCCTCTTCCTGACAGGGCTGGCAAGAGGAGATCCTCACCTTTCTGTCATTAGCATCTCTGGACCTGCCAGAGAACCCACCTGGGCAGTAGCTACTCACCCCCACCCCAACCCAAAGAGATCACAAGCCAAGAGCAAGGCAGGCTGCCCTTGCCCATCCCCAGTCTCTCTCCAGCCACGGGAAGGAAAGATTAAGATTTAACCGTCAGGGAACAGTGGCTCATGCCAGCACTTTGGGAGGCCAAGGTAGTAAGATCACTTGAACCCAGGAGTTCAAGGCCAGCCTGGGCAGCAGGGTAAGACCCTGTCTCTACAGAATAATTTTAAAATTAGCTGGTGGCATGCGCCTGTGGTCCCACCTCCTCGGGAGGCTGAGGTGGGAGGATCCCTTGAGCCCGGGAGGTAGAGGCTGCAGCGAGCTGAGATCACACCCTGCACTCCAGCCTGGCAGACAGAGGGCGATCCTGTCTCAAAAAAAAAGATTTAACAGACACCACCTACTGTCCCCAGCATCTTACAGAACAAAAGATCGGCGGGGCACAGTGGCTCATACCTGTAATCCCAGCACTTTGGGAGGCCTAAGCAGGCTGGTCGCTTGAGCCCAAGAGTTCGAGACCAGCCTGGGCAATACAGCGAGACCCCATCTCAATTTATATTATTTAAAAAATAATTAATGTAAGAGAAATTAAAACAGATTTTTAAAAAGGAAAAAAGATGTTCTGTTGCCCATGTCCTACAGAAGAGAAAGCCTGAGCATGGCAGCCACACTCCCGACGGAACGCCTGTCTTGTTTCTCATTCCGAGGCACATCCGTGAAAATTCATCAGAGAACAGCAGCTGGACAGTGGGAACCCCCCCAGTCCCCCTGGCTGCAGAGGGAGGCCCACGGGCGGGGAGGCTCTACCTCCCCCACCCCACCCAGCACGGCTCACAGGGCACTTGGCCCCACCCTAGCAGGCCCACCTTCCTAGCTGGAAGCTGCCCAATGTCTCCATGGGACTCTGGGCAGGTTCCTGTCCTGCTCGAGGGTCCAACTGCCTCCTCTAAGAGAAAACGAGGTACCCAAAGTGAGCCCAGGGCCCCCCAAGAGTGGGTGCCAGGGGGTGTCCCAGTGCCCACCTCCCCCCAGGCTGAGCCCTAAGCGTCCCCCTCTGGCCTCCCTGCCCAGGAATCACCCTCAGAAGGAAGCAGCCAGCCGAAGGCCCACGGCAGTGGGCTGAGGGCTCCAGAAGGAAAGACTGCCTCCCTCCTACCTGAACCTTGGCTGCCCTAGCAGAACTTCTAGTGGAAGCTTTGTCTACTCCTCCCAGCCACAAGATGGACCAGGAACAGCCCACCAGAGCTGAGAAGACTTGCCCCTTGGCTGAGCCATGAGAGCCTGGTGGCCAGCTCGTAGTCCCACCAAATGGACACACCCAGGCTGAGGGGGCTGGGCAGGGCGGCTCCCTCTACTCCACAAACCTTCCCCCAAACCTCCTTGGAATGTCAAACAGATTCCCGGGTCGGTTCATTCCAGTTCTAAACAGATAACCCGGTGGGTTCATTCCACTCCTCAAAGCCCAGGCCAGCTGCCTGAGTGTGGGACCCAGGCGGGAGGAGCCCCATGGAGGATACTGGGCACTGTCCCCGACCCCCACCCACCGTCCCCTCACTGCCTACATACCGCTGGGCCATGTGGATTCAGGAAGGGAGGCCCAGCCCAAGCTCCCAGGAGCCCCCGTGAGGACAGCTCCAGGCCCGAGAGCCTCAGTGCCCTCTCTACTCCCATCACTGCCTCAGGCACCTGCCATCACCCCATCTTCCACATGGGGAGACCAAGGCCAAGCCTAAACCCAGAGCTGCCCCGGTCACTACTTTACCACAGTACCCATCTCCCAGTGTCCATGGTGCGACGAGAGCCCACAGCCTGAGGGGCGGTGTCACTCTATTCACCCAGAGATAGGGACAAGGGACAGGTAGAGGCCGCATGCCATTCAAAGAAAGAAAAGAGAGGAAAGGGGCAGGGGAAGGAAGAGTCTCAGAGAAATGGTGAGGAGGGTGCAGAAAGAGGATGGGAACTTGCTTCTACAGGCGGAGCGAAAGGCCGGGGACCTGCTGTAGGCTCCCCTTTCACAGGGATGTGTGTACGGTGCACCTCAGTAAGGTGCACCTCCAAACTTAAAATGTGCACCTAGGCACAGTGGCTCACGCCTGTAATCCCAGCACTTTGGGAGGCCGAGGTGGGCAGATCACGAGGTCAGGAGATCGAGACCATCCTTGCTAACAAGGTAAAACCCCATCTCTACTAAAAATACAAAAAATTAGCTGGGTGGGGTGGCAGGCGCCTGTAGTCCCAGCTACTTGGGAGGCTGAGGCAGAAGAATCACTTGAATCCAGGAGGCGGAGCTTGCACTGAGCTGAGATCGCACCACTGCACCCCAGCCTGGGTGACAGAGAGAGACTCCCTATCAAAAAAAAAAAAAAAAAAAGTACACCTTTTGACAGCCCCATTTCTAGGACGCCACCCTACTAAAACCCCCAGAGCAGGTCAGCTAGAGGGACTCACAGTGCTGGGGAGCCAGAGGGAAGTGAGCCTGCCTGCCCTCTGGCCGCACATCGCAGGGTGAAAGCCCGAGTGCCACAGTGCAGCGGGTGGCATCTGGGCGGTCAGCACGGGAGCCCCGGCAGTGACGGGCTGGCCCAGTGCCCCCACACCACCTGCCCTCCGGCTGGTTCTGGGGGCCAGCCCAGCGCCCCCACATTGCCTGCCCTCCAGCTGGCTCTGGGGGCTTTAATAGCCCAGTTATGCTTAGGCTTGGTGGAGTTGGTTCCTGTAACTTATAACTAAAAGACTTGGTTGTTTTGTTGTTGATTTTTTATTATGTTTTTTAAGAGACAGGGTCTCACTCTATTGCCCAGGCTGGGGTGCAGTGGTGCAATCACGGCTCGCTGTAGCCTCGACCTCCCAAGGTCAAGCAGTCCTCCCACCTTGGCCTCCCACGTAGCTGGGACCATAGGTGGGCACCACCACACCCGGCTAACTTTTTTTTTTTTTTTTTTTGAAACAGAGTCTCGCTCCATCGCCCAGGCTGGAGTGCAGTGCTGCAATCTCCGCTCACTGCGAGCTCCGCCTCCCAGGTTCATGCCATTCTCCTGCCTCAGCCTCCCGAGTAGCTGGAACTACAGGCGCCTGCCACCACACCCAGCTAATTTTTTGTATTTTTAGTAGAGATGGGGTTTCACCGTGTTAGCCAGGATAGTCTCGATCTCCTGACCTCGTGATCTGCTCATGTCAGCCTCCCAAAGTGCTGGGATTACAGGTGTGAGCCAGCATGCCCGGCCTACACCCAGCTAATTTTTTAATTTGTTTTGTAGAGACAGTGTTTCCCTATGTTGCCCAGGCTGGTGTCTGGAATTCCTGGTCTTAAGCAATCCTTATGCCTTGGCCTCCCAAAATGCTGGGATTATAGGTATGAGCCACCACACCCGACCAGATTTGATTTTATTTGTAGCAATATCTATGAGATACGGAGCAAAAAATGGGAAAATACCTAGATGCCCATCATTCTGGGAAAAATATCTGTGTAGCCATTCTGTAGAATAACATCTATACATATACGTCTGTTAACAAGATGAGGTGGGTCTCAATGTCCATGGGAGAATGGCTATGGTATCTTGCCCGTGGGTGCAGAGGCTGCCAGAGCCTGGCTAAAGGTGTTACATACACACACAGACTGGTTTGTTTGATTCTGTTTTGTTTGCTTCTGAGGCAGGGTCTTGCTCTGTCCCCACGCTGGAGTGCAGTGCTGCCGTCACAGCTCACTGCAGCCTCAACTTCCTGGGGTCCAGCGATCCTCCCACCTCACCCTCCCCAGTAGCTGGGGAGGTGCACGCCACCACACCCGGCTAATTTGTTATTGTCTTTTTTGTGTGTGGAGTTGGGGTCTCCCTATGTTGCCCAGACTGGTCTCAAACTCCTGGGCTGACGCGACCCTCCTGCCTCAGCCTCCCAAAGTGTTGTGATCACAGGCATGCATCACCATGCCTGGCCAGACTTATTTGCATGGGCAGAGAGGCTGTCTGGGGGTTAGTGGCTGCAGTGCTGGACTCTCAGAAGGACTGCTGACCTTCTGAAGGTGCAGTCTCTGGAGACATGCCTCACCTCAGCTATAACCAACCCCAGTGCTGGATGTCCCGCCAGAGTGACTGTTCACCGTTCATTTGGAAGGCTGGATGGGAGGCTTCTCCAGCCAGACTGCTGGTCTCTCCCCAGCCCTTGGCTGGGCAGACAGCAGGTCACTTTCTTTTTTTTTTTTTTGAGACAGGGTCTCGCTCTGTCACCCAGGCTGGAGTGCAGTGGCATGATCTTGGCTCACTGCAACCTCCACCTCCCAGGTTCAAGTGATTCTCCTGCCTAAGTCTCCCAAGTAGCTGGGATTACAGACGCCCACCACCACACAGGCTAATTTTTGTATCTTTAGTAGATACGGGGTTTCGCCATGTTGGCCAGGCTGGTCCGGAACTCCTGACCTCAGGTGATTTGCCTGCCTTGGCCTCCCACAGTGCTGGGATTACAGGCGTGAGCCATCGCGCCCGGCCCCAGCAGCTCACCTTTGAAGACTCCACCGTTCATGTGCCTGATGGCACCTGCTCGACCCCTGCCACCAACCCACAGCGGTGTCCACACGTGGGCTCTGTGTCCCGGCCAGTGTCTTCCACTAGACGACAGGCTTGCTGAGAGCACAATCTGCAGGCCCCTCTTCTACGACTCCTCATCCGTGTGCCAGTACCTGGAAAAGGGGCCTTCATCAGTCTTTGTGAAGGACCGAGGGAGCCAGGCAGATGCTGGCAAGGCAGGCACAGCTCAGTGCGGCCAAGGAGGGGACAAGCTCAGGCCAAGGCTCCCTATGGCCCATGGCCCGCGGCTCACAGGGTCCACTCTGAAAAGAAGCCAAATGTCTAGAGACCTCCTGAAATGTGACAAGGACAGCACCAGCCATAAAGCAGGTTGGTGGCTGCTGGAGAGGCTCCATTTGCACTTGTCTGGCTGCGCCCTGGGGAGGGACAGTGGGAGGAGGCCCTGCACTTAAGCAGCCTACATCTGGGGACTGGAGCTGAGTTGCAGGATGCACATCAGCACGTCACACCACGTCTACTGAGGTCAGCACAGAAGGCATCGGGGTGTACAGGGCAGAAGAGGAGGCTCTGGAGGGGCCTCTGCAGCCACATGAAGCTCTGGGAGGGAGGCCCCAGCATTAAGTTTCCTACACACAGGGCATCCCCGGGGCCTGCAGACTGCTCCAAGGAAGCAGCAGTTTAGGGGAAGTGGTGGCTGGACGAGTGAGTGGTGATGGGGTCAGGAGGGAGGGTCTGAGTGTCCTCCAGGGCCCAGTGTGCAGCTCACCCCCTCCCAGACAAACCCCCCTCCCAGTCCAACCCCCCTCAGACCAACCCCCCTCAGACCAACCCCTCTCCCAGTCCAACCCCCCTCCCAGACCAACCCCCTTCCCAGTCCAACCCCCCTCAGACCAACCCCCCTCCCAGTCCAACCCCCCTCCCAGTCCAACCCCCCTCCCAGGCCAACCCCCCTCCCAGGCCAACCCCCCTCCCAGACCAACCCCCCTCCCAGTCCAACCCTAAGAAGTTCATCCCAAAGCACCTGCGTAGGCATGAAATACTGCAACCTCCAGCTCCTGGGTTCAAATGATTCTCCTGCCTCAGCCTCCTGAGTAGCTGCAATTATAGGTGTGTGCCACAACACCCGGCTAATATTTGTATTTTTAGTAGAGAGCGGGTTTCACCATGTTGGCAAGGCTGGTCTTGAACTCCTGACCTCAAGTGATCCGCCTGTCTCAGCCTCCCAAAGTGCTGGGATTACAGGGGTGAGCCACTGCACCAGGCCAGGAGGGGGCTTCTGATCCAGGCTCTCTCCACCCTCCATCCTGAAACCCTCCCCTGGGGCTCTGTCCCCAGCGACACCATGTCCTCCCTACTGAGGGCCCTCTTTCCCCAACCCCTGTGCTCCTGGCTGAGGCCTGGAGTCCCCCTCCCATCCTCTCCCTGAGCATCCCAGCTGGAGCACACATCATCAGGCACCAACCACCCAGCACCAGCCCTCACTGTGGCTTCACCCCCGCCCATCGTTGCCCAAATTCCTGGTGGTCTAATGTTCTTGTGGACAAACCTTTGTGGACTGCCTATCCCCTCTGAGCCTTGACCTCTTCTCTACACCAGTGTCCTTATCTTCTGGCCAGCTGTGCTCCATCACCACCAGTAACTGCAGCCCATGCCTGTCACCTCCATTCAACATCCCACTCTCTGCCCATCGCCTCCTCTCTGCCTGGCTCGCTACTACAAGCCCTGACTCCAACACTCCAGTGCCTCCCTCGCTGCCATGCCCTCACCTTGCCCCATGCCCTCCTGCTCCCACAGCCCCAGTGACTCTGAACATAGCAGAGCCACTCCCTCAAGGGCTCTGACGCTTGCAGAAATCTGCTTCCCTTGCCTTTTCTCTCCTGCCCTCCCAGACAAAGCAAATTCCCTGGAAAGAGCTTCCCTTGCCTTTTCTCTCCTGCCCTCCCAAAGCATATCCCCTGGAAAGAGCTTCCCTTGCCTTTTCTCTCCTGCCCTCCCAAAGCATATCCCCTGGAAAGAGCTTCCCTTGCCTTTTCTCTCCTGCCCTCCCAAAGCAAATTCCCTGGAAAGACAGAGGCTGTCAGGGGAGGATGTCCACTCCTACTTAGAACTGAACAACAGAATAGCACCCAAAAGCCTCAATGCCTCGGAATAAGCCTAACAAAAGATGTACAGAGTAAACCACAACCATATCTTTATGGGAAGATATAGGAGGAGACATCTCGTTATATGTTGCAAAACCCAGAACTGAAAAGATGTCATTTCTCCCCAAATTCATCCAAGATTTGACGTAGTCCCAATCAAAACCCCAACAGTGTGAGACTCACAAGCTAATGCTCCACTTATATGGAAACACAAAAGGCCAAGAACACTAGGGATAAGCCTGAAAGAGAACAAATTTGAAGTACTTACACTATTAGATGTCAAGACTTATTATATACAGTTTGGTAAGTAAGACCTAAGTTACTGGCTTAGGCATAGAGAAATAAACCAATGGAATACGGTTGAGTCCAGAAAATTGCCAGATGAGGCAGCTCACACCTGCAATCCCAGCAATTTGGGAGGCCGAGGCAGGAGGATCACTTGAGCCCAGGGATTCAAGGCCAGCCTAGGCAAAACAGGGAGACTCTCATCTCTACAAAATTTAAAAAATTAGCCAGGCATGGTGGTGCACCCCTGCAGTTCCAGCTACTTGGGAGGCTGAGGTGGGAAGATCACTTGAGCCTGGGAGGCAGAGGTTGCAGTGAGCCGAAATCAACACTGCACTCCAGCCTGGGGGACAGAGAAAGACTCTGTCTCTGACTGTTTTGTTTTGTCCCCAAAACAAAACAGAAATAAACCTACACATGTGTAGACATGCAATTTATGACACTGCTGGGAGTGGAAAAGCCTTCAATAAATGGTGCTGGGGCCAGGCGCAGTGACTTACGCCTGTAATCCCAGCACTTCGGGAGGCTGAGGGGGAAGGATTGCTTGAGATCAGGAGTTCGAGACCAACAGGGTGAAACCCCGTCTCTACTAGAAATACAAAAAATTAGCCGGTTGTGGTGCCACACACCTGTAGTCCCAGCTACTCTGAAGGCTGAGGTAGGAGAATCGCTTGAATCTGGGAGGTGGAGGTTGCAGTGAGCCGAGATCACACCACTGCACTCCAGACTGGGTGACAGAAAATAATCAAAAAACAAAAAAACAGAAGAAAAGAAAAGAATCTTGACCCCCACCCCAGGTGAAATGCAAATCTAACGTAAAGGTAAAATAATAGCACTTCTACAGAGTGGTGACACCAAAAGCAAAAGCACAGTCTATAAAACGGAAAACGGAAAAACTGGACCTTGACAAGATTAAAAACTTTTGCCTTGCTAAAAACCCTGAGAGGAGGATGAAAAGACAGCTACTGAGTGAGTAAATATCCACAGACCACACACAGAACAAAGGACTGCTGTCAAGAACACACGAGTCTCAAAAAATCAGCAGTAAAAATGAAACGATCCAATTAGAAAATGGGCAGAGGATGCAAAGACACACCTCACTGAAGAGGATACACAGATGGCAAATGCGTCCGTGACAAGATGCTCAACATCACCCGCCATTCGTAAAATGCAAATTAGAGCCACAGCGAGATACCGCTGCCCACGAATCCAAACGGCAAGGATGTGAGGACAAAGGAATCTCACAGGAGCTGATGAAAACCTGTGAAATAAAACAGCCACCACTCTGGAGAGCAGTGTGGAAGTTTCTTAAACCAAAACAGCTCAACATGCAACTCCCAAACCACCCAGCAGCTGCGCTCACGGGCCTTTATCCCAGAGAAATGAAAATTTAAGTCAGGCGTGGTGGCTCACGCCTGTAATCCCAGCACTTTCGGAGGCTGGGGCAGGCGGGATCACATGAGGTCAGGAGTTCAAGACCAGCCTGGCTAACATGGCAAAACCCCATCTGTACTACAAATACAAAAATTAGCCAGGTGTGGTGGCGCGAGATCACACCACTGCACTCCAACCTGGCAACAGTGTGAGGCTCTGTCTCAAAAAATAAAAAAAATTAAGTCACACAAAAAACTACATAAATGTTCATGGCAACTTTATTCATAATAGCAAAAAACTGGGGGAAAAAACCAAATGTCTTGTAACAGGTGAAACATGATGGTCCGTCCATCCATACCATAGACGTTTCCTCCAGTCAAAGGAACACACTAGTAGTGCACACAACTGGATGGACCTCAGGACATCACGCCGACCTCAACGCCCACACCCTGCAGCACTCCATTTATGGAGCATTCTCGTAATGGTGAAACCATACAGATGGAGAACATACCAGTGGCTCTCAGGGGTTCAGGCTGGGAAAGGGAGGTGGCTGTGGCTGCAAGAGGGCAGCTCAAGAGGTCCCTATGGTGGCTGTGCTGCATCTTGGCCATGGGCTCACACAAACCCTACAGTGACAGATGCGCAGAACTAAACCACACACACACAGGTAGACACATGGAAAGCTGTGAAATCTGAATAAGGTCAATGGAGCACATTGGTGTCAACATCCCCTTGAACTGCTGTACTCCATTGACAGGTGCAACGTTACCACATGGGTACCCGGGAAGTCTACAAGGGATCTCTGAGCCATCTCTTTTCTTTTTTTATTTATTTTTCTTTATCTATTGTTTTTTTTTTTCCCGAGATGGAGTGTTGCTCTGTTGCCCGGGCTGCAGTGCAGTGGCGCAATCTCAGCTCACTGCAAGCTCTACCTCCTGGGTTCGTGCCATTCTCCTGCCTCAGCCTCCCGGGTAGCTGGGATTACAGGTGTGTGCCACCACGCCTGGCTAATTTTTTGTATTTTCAGTAGAGACACGGTTTCACCATGTCGGCCAGGCTATTCTTGAACTCCTGACCTCAAGTGATCCACCCACCTTGGCCTCCCAAAGTGCTAGAATTACAGGCATGAGCCACTGCGCCTGGCCTTTTTTTTTTTTTTTTTTTTTTTTTTTTGAGATTCTATTCTTTTTTACTGGTTCTTTTGTCAATCCTTGAGCCTGTCCCACATGTCCTCCTCACTATGGCTTCCTAAGGAGCCTCCTCTCTGGTCCCACCTCTGAGGGGGCTGACTCCTACTCACACTCTGGTCTCAGCCTCCTTTCTGGCCCCTGGCATGAGATTCTTCATTCTGCCTCGGCCTCCCGAAGTGCTGGGATGACAGGCGTGAGCCACGCACCCGGCCTCTTTCCCAGTGATCTCAGTGCTCCTCAGATTCCCCCTGCATAACACCCAGCAGCAGAACCATATGAAATTGAAACTATTCCACTATTTTTTATCTACAAACACAAATCATTATTTACCTCAGTAACAGCTGCCTGGCTAAAGCCCTGTGAGGGAGGGAAGACCCCGTGATTTGGACATTTGCACACATCATGCTTCCAGCCCGGGACAGGAGATACGCGTGGACCACACCAGGGACTGGCCCGCTAACCATGAGCTCTCACGCAATGTCTGTCAGGGGCTGGAGAATTGGGGAAGCCTCTCCCCAGAAACCAGGGGAAGCGTTGCATCTCCCTCTTCAATTTCCTTTCCCCTTGCCACCTGGCTTCAAAATAAATCGAATAAACTAACTCACAGCAAGGTGTCAAAGGCCCAGATGCCTAAATGAAAGAAGCTGGCAGCCTGAGGCATCTGCATTTGAAAAGAGACTCAACGAGAACTGAAGATAAAAGCCAGCCCTAGACCAAAAGAAAGGGAAGAGAGGGCAGGGAGGGCTCCTAGCAGCCCCTGCAAATCACACCTTTCTAGAAGCCAGGGCCACAAGCAGCCTTCCCTATGAACTGCCTCATTCAGCCTCATAGCTCTAATGGGCCATAACCCCCACGGAGTAGATGTGGCAACTAAGGTCTGTCAAGTACAATGGTGAGGAAACCAAAATCACAAAAGTGAGCTTCAGAGGGGTCGGCGCTGTAACCCAGGATTTGCTCTGACTCGGTATTCACTTCCTCACAGAGACACAGACCTTTCGGTCTAGGTGGGGCTGTGGGAAGGGGACCTGCGGACAGACGTGCCAGTGGCACAGGGCCTGGGAGTGTGGAAGGAGGCAGCACTGGGACCGTGAGGGTCCCCAGCCTTAGGACAACAGAGGTGTGGGGTCTAGACAACCAACCTAGGGCGCAGGTGACACAGTAAGCCACTGAGATGCCTGTGAGCCTGGGACAGGAGCTGGAAAGGCATTTCCAAGAAAGAGAGCTCACAGTCAGCCAGCACATTCCTAGAAGTTGGAAGGAAAGATGGTAGGAGCTGTCAGAGCAGAGAGATGAGCAGGGGAAGGTGGCCAAGGAAAAAGAAAACAGGGAAGGGCTGGGCATGGTGGCTCACGCCTATAATCCCAACATATGGGAGGCCAAAGCAGGAGGATTGCTTGAACCCAGGAGTTTGAGGCTGCAGTGATCTCTAATCACACCACTGCTCTCCAGCCTGGGCAACAGAGCAAGACTCTGTCTCAAAAAAAAAAAGAGACCGGGCGCAGTGGCTCATGCCTGTAATCCCAGCACTTTGGGAGGCCAAGGCGGGTGGATCACCTGAGGTCAAGAGTTCGAGACCAGCCTGACCAACAGGGTAAAACCCCATTTCTACTAAAAATACAAAAGCCGGTCGTGGCGGCATGCACCTGTAGTCTCAGCTACTCAGGAAGCTGAGGCACGAGAATCACTTGAATCCAGGAGGCAGAGGTTGCAGTGAGCCAAGATGGTGCCACTGCACTCCAGCCTGGGCGACAGAGCAAGACTTCGTCTCAAAAATAAATGAATAAATAAAAAGAAATAAAGAAAACAGAACGACACAACACATAGGATGACAAAGTTCAAAAAATTCACGTGATGAAGGAGACTGATGATGCATGAAACAGGAGGAAAGCCTTTGAACTTGAAGCCAGCCAAGAACATCATTTGTAGGAGGCAGGAATTGGGACACTGGACCCACAGATGAGGAAACCTACTTTACACACACTGCCTGGTTCTGTAGATAGAAAGACTGACATGTGAACATCGTTACAGAACAGAACGTAACTCTGTCAGCCACACAACATAAAAAAGAAGGCATATCCTACTTCTGGGTACATACGCAAAAGAAATGAAAGTTGGGCCGGGCGCGGTGGCTCACACCTGTAATTCCAGCACTTTGGGAGTTGAGGGGGGCGGATCACCTGAGGTCAGGAGTTCAAGACCAGCCTGGCCAAAATGGCAAAAACCCGTCTCTACTAAAAATACAAAAAAATAAGCCGGGCGCGGTGGCTCACGCCTGTAATCCCAGCACTTTGGGAGGCTGAGGCGGGTGGACCATGAGGTCAGGAGCTCAAGACCATCCTGGCCAACATGGTGAAACCCGTCTCTACTAAAATTACAAAAATCAGCTGGACGTGGTGGCGGGCGCCTGTAGTCCCAGCTACTCGGGAGGCTGAGGCAGGAGAATCGCTTGAACCCAGGAGGCAGAGGTTGCAGTGAGCCTAGATCACTGCACTCTAGCCTGGCGATAGAGTGAGACTGTCCCAAAAAAAAAAAAAAAAAAAGTTAGCTGGGCATGCTGGCATGTGCCTGTAGTCCCAGCTACTCGGGAGGTTGAGGCAGGGAGAACTGCTTAAACCCGGGAGGTTGAGGCAGGGAGAAATGCTTAAACCCGGGAGGTTGAGGCAGGGAGAACTGCTTAAACCCGGGAGGTTGAGGCAGGGAGAACTGCTTAAACCCAGGAGGTGGAGGTTGCAGTGAGCCAAGATTGTGCCACTGCACTCCAGCCTGAGCAACAGAGCAAGACTCCATCTCAAAAATAAGTAAATAAAAATAAAATAAAAAATAAGAAAACTATAAACTGGCCAGGAGCGGTGGCTCATGCCTATAATCCCAGCACTTTGGGAGGCTGAGGCAGGCAGATCACTTCAGGTAGTCTGGCCAACATGGAGAAACCCCGTCTCTACTAAAAATACAAAAATTAGCTGGGTGTGGTGGTACATGCCTACAGTCCCAGCTACTTGGGAGGCTGAGGCAGAAGAATCGCTTGAACCCGGGAGGCCAAGGCTGCAATGAGCCGAGATGACACCACTGCACTTGGCAAGACTCCATCTCAAAAAAAAAGGCGGCGGCGGCGGCGGCGGCAGCCGGGCACAGTGGCTCACACTGGTAATCCCAGCACTTTGGGAGGCCAAGGCGGGCGGATACGAGGTCAGGAGTTCGAGACCAGCCTGGCCAGCATGGTGAAACCCTGTCTCTACTAAAAATACAAAAAATTAGCAGGGCATGGTGGCAGGCGCCTGTAGTCCCAGCTACTCAGAAGGCTGAGGCAGGAGAATTGCTTGAACCTGGCAGGCGGAGGATGCGGTGAGCCAAGATCGTGCCACTGCACTCCCGCCTGGGCAACAGAGCAAGACTCTGTCTCAAAAAAACAAAAAAGAAAAAAGAAAAAGGGAATCAACTACGGATACACAAAACCACTTGAATCTCTAAAACATTGTCATCTGGCAAAATAAATCAGACACAAAAGTATTCATTCCATATGATTCCATTGATGTGAAATTATTTTATTTTTTGAGATGGAGTTTCGCTCTTTTTGCCCAGGCTAGAGTGCAATGGTGCGATCTCGGCTCACCGCAACCTCCGCCTCCCACGTTCAAGGGATTCTCCTACCTCAGCCTCCCGAGTAGCTGGAATTACAGGCATGCGCCACCATGCCTGGCTAACTTTTTGTATTTTTAGTAGAGACAGGGTTTCTCCATGGTGGTCAGGCTGGTCTCGAACTCCCAACCTCAGATGATCCACCCGCCTCAGCCTCCCAAAGTGCTGGGATTACAGGCGTGAGCCCCCACGCCCAGCCAATGTGAAATTCTTAAAAAGGGACGCCAAACCTACAGTAATAGAAAGCGATCACTATTGCCTGGGCTGGGTGTGAGGAAGGGCTTACCACAGAGGAGCACGAGAGAACTTTTGGGGGCAACGGAAATGTTTTATATTTGGATTATGACGTTGTTCACAAAACCCATCAAACAGGCCGGGCGCGGTGGTCACGCCTGTAATCCCAGCACTTTGGGAGGCCGAGGCGGGCGGATCACGAGGTCAGGAGATCGAGACCATCCTGGCTAACATGGTGAAACCCCGACTCTACTAAAAAAATACAAAAAATTAGCCGGGCGTGGTGGTGGGCGCCTGTAGTCCCAGCTACTTGGGAGGCTGAGGCAGGAGAATGGTGTGAACCCAGGAGGCGGAGCTTGCAGTGAGCCAAGATCGTGCCACTGCACTCCAGCCTGGGCGACACAGCATGAGACTCCGTCAAAAAAAAAAACCCATCAAACAAAACCCATTAAACAAAACCCATCACACAAAACCCATTAAAATAGGTGCATCTTACTGTAAGTTACACCTCAATAAAGTTTGATGTAAAAAATCAAAGCATGGGCTGGGCACAGTGGCTCACGCCTGTAATCCCCGCACTTCGGGAGGCCAAGGCAGGAGGATAATGAGGTCAGGAGTTCGAGACCATTCTGGCCAACACGGTGAAATCCCATCTCTACTAAAAGTACAAAAATTACTGGCCGTGGTGGCATGCGCCTGTAGTCCCAGCTACTTGGGAGGCTGAGGCAGGAGAATCACTTGAATTCGAGAGACGGAGGTTGCAGTGAGCTGAGATTGCACCACTGCACTGCAGCCTGGCTACAGAGCAAGACTCTGTCTCAAAAAAAAAAAAAAAGATATAAAAATTAACTGGCATGGTAGCATGTGCCTGTAATCCCAGCTACTGGGGAGGCTGAGGCAGGAAAATCATTTGAACGCGGGAGGCAGAGGTTGCAGTGAGTGGAGATTGTGCAACCGCACTCCAGTCTGGGCGACAGAGTGAGACTCCATCTCAAACAAACAAAAAAACAGAAAGCCACATGGTCAGCAAAGCCTAAAATGTTTGCTGCCTAGCCCTTCACAGTAAAAGCTGGCCAACCCCTGGTCTAGCACATTTATTTGGTGCTACCAGCTTCATCATCACCGCCACCTTCATCAGCTGCTCCTTCTGTCTGGAAAGTTCTTCCACCGGATCTTAGGACAGCATGCTCCTTTGTGGGACTCGGATCACATCTTAAGTGCAACCTCCTCAGAGATCTTCTGTGGTTACCTTGTCATTCTCTTATCTCATCACCTTGTTTTAATTCTTGACATGCCAGTTACTGTTTGTTTCCCTGTTGCATCCTAAGAACTTGGCCAGTTCCTGACTCATAGGCAGCACTCAGTAAGTGCAGTGAGCTGAACAAGTGAACAGCTGCTGAGCCTCTGGCACAGGGGTCCCAGCACAGGATGTGACATGGAAGGCTCTGAGCTCCTGGCTGAGCAAGTCTGATGAAAAGGCCTCCCTTTAGGTGTGCGTGCACCAGTGCCAGGAGAGCCTCGGCATGAAAGAAGGGCCTGGAACTGCCACCCAGTTCTCATTTTGGCCAATGGATAGATGTGGCACAAGTGCTAGGGTTAGGACACGCTCGGGGAAGAGCAAGGGTGGAGCTGGGGGTGCTGGTAGTCTGTGGGGTCACCTGAGACTGAGGTTCCTAAGCTGCATGCAGTGGAGAGCTGTATCAATCGGCTGTTCATTCAGACCAGAGGTTCAAGAATCCCTAGAACACAGACCCCAAAGTACAGTCATACAGGAGGAGCCCCCTTGCTAGGTGCCAGCCCAGGCAACCCTCGGGGCAAAGCAGAGTCCAAGTGCATCCCAAGCAGGTGAGGGATGAGGCCAGGACAGGCCAATCAGAGACACGAGGGATGGCCCCAGCCAACAGGGAGGAAATCCAGCTCGAGCACCAGGAGGGGGAAGGACCCCCTAAAGCCACCCCCATCCCAACCCCAGCCCGGGGGACTTGGGGCAGGGGCAGGCAGCTGGCCCTGTAGAGCTCTGAGCGTCCACCACAGTGACAGGTATGGAGCCAGCATGTGTGCAAGTCCACCAGGCAGCCCCCAGCCCCTCAGGCAACCCAGCCGCACGCCGCCGGAGCTCCTCTCGGCGAGTCGTGGCTCTGGGTCCCTGAATCAGGCAGCGCAACCAGAGGCCTCTTCAGGAGGCCCAGGGTACTGCAGGCAAGACCCTTCTCCCAGAGAAACCCCAATACGTCCAGGAAGCAACTGGGGCGCCAAGACGCCCAGGAGGGCTCACTGCTGGACTAGACACACTTTGAGAAAGGCAGCGGTACCCCCGCCTCCACCTCCACCCCCAGGTAGGAATCCAGGAAGAAAAGGAAGGCACAGAGGTTTGGGGAAGGCTAACTTTGCTCTGTCTCCCCTAAGCCTAGAATGACTCCGTACACGGCTCCCCTCTCTGCACCCATGGAAATTAATCCCACCGTGCCCCGGGCCTCCGCTCTGGTACAGACAGGGGCCCACACCAGTCCTGGACGCTCCCTCCCAGGCGGGGTGCTTGCTTAGTTAGTAATTCTTGCCCTGATCCCAATTCCTGAGGGGTGGTCCGGACGCCCCGCACTACAAGTGAGGTCATTTGAATCCCTGAAAGTTGAAGGAACTTGCCCCAGTGAGACTCCACTTTCTCCTTCAGCCTAGCTCCAAGGCCCACACAAAGCTTAAGTTTGGGTAAGTCCCTTCTCTGCGGCCTCGATTTCCTCATCTGAAAATGAAGACAATTCCGGAGCTGTCTACCTGACCGACGGGCTGCGGAGAATCCACACACCTTCGCCTTGGAACAAAACGCGAAGCGCCCACCGGCAGCCTTCGGCTCCCTGCCTTTCCTGACCGTTGGCACCTGCTGCCCTGGGCCTCAGCCAGCAACGCCCAAGGCGGCCCGGCGGGACCTGTGCCCTGGGCGCCCGCGTGCCGGCAGCCGCGTCTCCCGAGGGCCCCTCCCCGGCCTCCTCCGTCGCCAGCCTCCTCTCTCCCTTCGGTCTCCTCCTCCTCCCGCCCTTCCCGGCCTCCTCCCTCTCCTCTGCCTCATCCTTCCCCGGCCCGGCCTCCTCTCTCGGTGTCGACCCAGTGCCCCTCCTTCCCGGGCCCGCCACTGCTCTCCCTGGCCGGGGCCCCTCTCCCTCGCTCCGCTCCCGCCGCAGGACCCGGGAGTCCGCGCCTCACCTCGCGCCCCGCGCCGACCGCCGCACAAGTGGGTCCGCTGGCTTCCGCGGGTCAGTGGGCCCCGCGCTCCCTGAGGCGCTGCGGGGGCGGGCCCCGCACCCGGCCCTCGCCATGGCAACGCTACACTTCCGGCCCGCGGTACCCATAGCCGGAAGCCGCGGTGCCCCGTGGGAGCCGGGGGCGGAGCCTGGGAGGAGGAAATGTCGGGGGCGGGGCCTGGGGAGGGACGGTCGGGGGTGGGGGCCAACGCGGACAGCTGCGGGCGGCCGGGCGAGTCCTCCGCGGCTGGGACCTCCTTGGGGCGTGGGTGGGACGGGAATGGCTCAAAGTGCTCCAAGGCTCCCGGGACGGTGGTCATTGATTTATGCTGGACAAAACCGAGTCATCGCGGGCAACGGGACGGGCGCCAGCGGAATGGGTGGCAGCTTTGGGGGTGGTTTCGGGCCCAGGACAGTGCGGTCGGAGAAGAGCGGTCAGAACTTGGGGAGCCTCCAGCGCCCCACCAAGGAAGCGCCAGTGGAGAGGGGGGTGCCTTAAAACTTACGGGAGACCGGGCGCGGTGTCTCACGCCTGTAATCCCAGCACTTTGGGAGGCCGAGGCGGGCAGATCACGAGGTCAGGAAATCGAGACCATCCTAGCTAACCTGATGAAACCCCGTCTCCACTAAAAATACAAAAAAATTAGCCGGGCGTGGTGGTGGGCGCCTGTAGTCCCAGCTACTCGGGAGGCTGAGGCAGGAGAATGGCATGAACCCGGGAAGCGGAGCTTGCAGTGAGCCGAGATCACGCCACTGCACTCCAGCCTGGGCGGCAGAGTGAGACTCCGTCTCAAAAAAAAAAAAAAAATTATGGGAAAGGCCCGGCCCGGTGGCTCACGTCTGTGATCCCAGCACTTTGGGAGGAGGCCGAGGCCAGTGGGTCACTTGAGCCCGGGAGACCAACCTGAGCAACATAGGCAGGCCCGGTCCCTACCAAAAATTAAGAAATTAGCTGGGCTCTGTGGCGCACGCCTGTAGTCCCGGGACGCTGAGTCGGGAGGATCGCCCTAGCGGGGGAGGTGGAGGCTGCACGGGGCCCAGATCGCACCACTGCACTCCAGCCTGGGCAACAGAGTGAGACCTTGTCTCAAAACAACAACAACAACAAACACTTGTAGGAAAGAACGACGCCTTGCTGACCGAATGGGGTGAAGTGGCCACAAGTATTAGCCTCATGAGGCACAGGATTGTGCAGCCATAACCTAGGGAACACAGCAGAGAGGTGGTGGCAGGAGTCCTGAGGGAAACCACGTGGCGTCTGAGGGGAGAGTCAGAGATAGAAGGAAAAGGGGCACCACCCGACCGGGGGTGTGGGGGGCAGGAGCAGTGTGGTACCCCACATACAAGGCCCCTTGCGGCCCAGGCCTCCTCCTCCTGGACACTTGCTGCCTGTCCCTCCCCTCCACACCTCAGGGTGTGCTGGACCCCACCGTATGCTGCAGATTTTCAGCCCTTTGAGGTTATCATGGTGGAGGCTGCACAAGAAAAGCTGAATTCTCAGAGTGAAGGGCAAAAGCATATCCCTGGGCCCCCGTGTGTCTGGGGGCCCTTGGCCTGGTGCCAGCACCAACCACCGCTGCTAATTCCCAGAGCTGCTATCCTCTTGGGCAAACTTGCCCCTTGTGAGGGAGGAGAACCTGGGCTTTGGGGCAGGATACACAATACCAGCCTTGCTTGGGTGGAGGAGCAGAGATGGCTAGGGAGGAGGAGGTGAGCGGTCCACCTGGGCTCCTGAAGCAACTCCCAGGAAATCAGTTGAGTCAATGTGTCCCCCTCTTGTTCCTAGGGTGCGGGCTTCATGGCCTTCTCCTCCAGGAAGCTCCACCTGATCATGTCCTGGGTGGATATCCAGCCCCCATAGTTCAGGGCCTACTAGCAGCTGCTAGATCTTGAACTCCAGGAGCGCCCCACGCCTTGGGAGCTTGGCATGGGCTAAATACTCCCCCATTTGTTAAATGGGGTCCTGAAACCTGACCAGGGAAGACGGGATAAAGTAGCCATGGGTCATCGCAGCCCCTTTGAAGCCGGGCCTGGCCACCCAAAGGCAACTCAGGGGTGGAGACTGAGGCCTCAGGAGAAGCCCCCACTAGAATGCTCTCTGCCCCTCCCTTCCAGATTAACCAAAACCTGCTAATTGTGGAAGCCCTCGGCATGCTCCCCTCCCCCACAGCCTCTTCCTCCCTTCCCTCCCCTCCCCCTTCCATCCGAATGATAAAGGCCCCAGCCCGCCTGCCCCAGCCCGGCCTCAGGTCCCGGCCCTGCCTTCTACACTGCCCCACCGCCCTGCACCCTCCACCCGGCCAGGCCCCTGCCCACGCTGTCTACCGTCCCGCATGGGGCCCTGCAGCGGCTCCCGCCTGGGGCCCCCAGAGGCAGAGTCGCCCTCCCAGCCCCCTAAGAGGAGGAAGAAGAGGTACCTGCGACATGACAAGCCCCCCTACACCTACTTGGCCATGATCGCCTTGGTGATTCAGGCCGCTCCCTCCCGCAGACTGAAGCTGGCCCAGGTGAGCGGGCCCCGGCCCCCACTCTCTCTTTCCCCAGACTCGTTCCCCACCCACTTCCAGGTTCAAGCCCTGACCCCCACCCCTTCCTAGCCCACCCAGGTATGCCAGTGGGACCAGTCCTGAGAGCTGAGGGCCTCAAGGCACGACCCTTCTCCGGGAGCCCCTTGCCCTCTCTGCCGCGCTTCCGCGCAGAAATGTCCTTCTTCGGGGACAGCAGGGGCCGGCACCGCGCGCCCCTGAGCCCGGTAGTGGGGGAGGGGTAGGGCGCTACCCCCTCCCCGTCTGGGCTCACGGCGCCGGCCGGCCGCCTGGCGGTTTCAGATCATCCGTCAGGTCCAGGCCGTGTTCCCCTTCTTCAGGGAAGACTACGAGGGCTGGAAAGACTCCATTCGCCACAACCTTTCCTCCAACCGATGCTTCCGCAAGGTGGGGCAGGCCAGGGTCGGAGCCCGGGGGCGGAGCGCGCGCGGAAGTCCTGAGCATCCAAGGTTGGGCAGCCCCACCCATGTCTGACCCCCACACCCAGGTGCCCAAGGACCCTGCAAAGCCCCAGGCCAAGGGCAACTTCTGGGCGGTCGACGTGAGCCTGATCCCAGCTGAGGCGCTCCGGCTGCAGAACACCGCCCTGTGCCGGCGCTGGCAGAACGGAGGTGCGCGTGGAGCCTTCGCCAAGGACCTGGGCCCCTACGTGCTGCACGGCCGGCCATACCGGCCGCCCAGTCCCCCGCCACCACCCAGTGAGGGCTTCAGCATCAAGTCCCTGCTAGGAGGGTCCGGGGAGGGGGCACCCTGGCCGGGGCTAGCTCCACAGAGCAGCCCAGTTCCTGCAGGCACAGGGAACAGTGGGGAGGAGGCGGTGCCCACCCCACCCCTTCCCTCTTCTGAGAGGCCTCTGTGGCCCCTCTGCCCCCTTCCTGGCCCCACGAGAGTGGAGGGGGAGACTGTGCAGGGGGGAGCCATCGGGCCCTCAACCCTCTCCCCAGAGCCTAGGGCCTGGCCTCTCCACTTACTGCAGGGCACCGCAGTTCCTGGGGGACGGTCCAGCGGGGGACACAGGGCCTCCCTCTGGGGGCAGCTGCCCACCTCCTACTTGCCTATCTAC